>NC_000001.11:48341713-48644744 GCF_000001405.40 Homo sapiens
GATTGTAAAGAAGAAAAAAAAGTTCATACTAGTTTTGCTGTCACACTTCAAACTATAAAAAGTTATGGCATGGTGCATGGTAAGTGCTTAGTTAAGTTGAGAAAGGCATTAAATTTGCAGGCAGAAGCCATGGATGGAAACATGTTCTAACTGACAGAATGCAAGTTCAGTACATCTGTGGTTTCAGGCATCCACTAAGGGGTCTTGGAACATATCCCCTAAAGATAAGGAGGACTACTGTGTACATGTTCACCAAAGAATATACACAATATATTGTCTATGGTAGCACTATTAGTATTAGCCCAAAATTAAAAGTAGAATTGATTATGGTATTATTTTGGAAGAATACAAATGCAAAAGCAGGGGTTGGCAAACTTTTCTTGTGAAGGGCCAGGTAGGAAATACGTTCAGATTTGTATACTATGGGATCTCTGTCACAATTCTCACCTCTGCTGTTGTAGTTTGAGATCAGTCATGGGTAACATGTATACAAATGAGTATATCCATACTGCAATAAAATTTTGTTTTTTAAAAAATAGCTAGAATTTGCCTGTGTGGCATAGTTTGTTGACTGCAGCTATACAGCAATGAAAATGAAGCACATGCATGTCACAAACATTAATCAAAAGAAATCAGATACAAAAGAATAAATATCACTTTGGGAGGCTGAGGCAGGTGGATCACAAGGTCAGAAGATCGAGACCATCCTGGCTAACATGGTGAAACCCCTTATCTATTAAAAATACAAAATAATTAGTCGGACGTGGTGGCCCGCCCCTGTAGTCCCAGCTACTGGGGAGGCTAAGGCAGGAGAATGGCATGAACCCCGGAGGCAGAGCTTGCAGTGAGCCAAGACTGTGCCACTGTACTCCAGCCTGGGTGACAGAGCGAGACTCCATCTCAAAAAAAAAAAAAAAAGAATAAATATGACTCAATTTATAAAACATTCAAAAACAAACAAATTTATATTTTGTGAGATATTAGAAGAGCAGAGAGTGTAGTGACTGAAAAGAGGCACCAGAGACAATTCTAGGGTGCTAGTAATGTCAAGTCTATGACCTGGATGCTGTTCACACATGGGTCCACTTTGTGAAAACTCATTGTGCAATATAATTTAGAATAAAAGCAGACTATTCTGAAATAAAAAATTTTAAAGGACCTAGAATAGTAGTACCAAATAATACATGGAAAGCATCTGTGACAAAATGAGGTGACAAGATATCTTCATGAACCCCAACGTATGAGGAGGAACAAACCACCAGTAGTAATAAGATAAAGTTGGTATCTGCATCTGTGGAGGAGAGCTCAGAGGAAAACAGGAGGCATCTAATAAACCTGATAACTTCAAAATAACAAAAAAATGCTCACTCAAAAATATCAGTGGTTTAATTTAAGAACAGCAACAGAAATTGGGAGAGGTTTTTGATTTTTGTGTGATGAAATGTACAAGATGAGTCTGGGACTCATCTATGTGGCCTACTAGGGCCACATAAAAAGATTTGCAAGACATAAAGACATGAAGAGTTTCCCATTGGCCAAAGTTGAGCTTATTTGGGAACCAATAGTAACTGAAATACAACAAAACACATCAATATGTTCAAATCCATGAGTTCACAATTATCTAAAAAAAAGGAAAACTAACTGGTCACCTTTGGAGAATGTTAAAGAACAAAATATTATGAACACTAGAAAATGAAGGGATGAATGAACAATGACATTAAGTAACAAAACAGATGAAGCGGAATGAGGAGTAGAAGGACAGATAAGAAAATTCAATACTTTTGTAACGCCTATGTAATGCATCTTTGCATTGGATTTGCCAGAGAGAGAGGGAAGGAAAGTAGAGATGGAGAGAATATGAATCAGATATTAAGTAACTGCCAATGAAAGACACAATATGACTTCTGAAATAAAAACTGAACTTGATTAAGCCTCTAGATCTCAATTTAAAGGTACCAATTTAGAGAAAATACTGCAGATAACAATGGAACATGCTTATGCCACAGAAGTCGTATCATCAAAATCTTATGGAAAAATTATACGGGAATACAAATACAAAAGCAGGGGTTGGCAAACATTGTTAAGTCAGAAGAGGAATAAATAAAATTAACATGTTCATTTATGTTAAACTTTAGTAAGAATACTTGTTTTAATCTTTGAAGTTACCATCAAAGGAACAGGAAAGAAAATCCCCAGTTAATAACAGTAGAAAAATTAAATAACAATATAACTCAACCCAAAAGAGGATAAAAGGAAATAAAGAATATAGAACAGGTAGTGCAAATAGAAAACAATAGGTTTATACCCAAATATATCAGTAGGAATGTAAGAAAGGAACAGACTGACTACTACAATTAAAACACCATGATTTCCACACTGTATAAAAAAGTCAATATACGCTATGAAAAATCCCTGTTAAATAAACAAAAATGTTAAAAGTGTAAGTATGAAAGAAGATATTTCTTGCAAAACACTAACCACATAAAGCTATTTTAGTGCTCACTTTGGCAGTACATATACTAACATTGGAAGGATACATAGAAGATTAGCATAGCCCCTGCACAAGGATGACACACAAATTTACGAAGCATTCTATATTTTTCAGACAAGCAAGTGCTGAGGGAATTCATTACCACCAGACCTGCCTTACAAGAGCTCCTGCAGGAAGCCCTAAATATGGAAAGGAAACACAATTACCAGCTATTACAAAAACACACTGAATGAAGTTCACAGACCAGTGACTCTATAAAGGAACCACATAGTCTGCGAGATAAGCAGCTAACACCATGATGTCAGGATCAAATACACACATATAAACACTAAACTTAAATCTAAATGGGCTAAGTGCCCCGATTAAAAGACAGATAGGCAAGCTGGATAAAGAACCAAGACTTGTTGGTATGCTGTCTTCAAGAGACCCAAGAGACATGCAGTGACACACATAGGCTTAAAATAAAGGGATGGAGAAAAATCTACAAAGCAAATGGAAAACAGAAATCGGGATTGCGATTCTAGTTTCTAACAAAACAGACTTTAAACCAACAAAGATAAAGAAAGACAAAGAAGGGCATTACATAATGGTAAAGGGGACAATTCAACAAGAAGATCTACCTATCCTAAATACATATGCACCCAACACAGGAGCACGCAGATTTATAAAGCAAGTTCTTAGAGGCCTTCAAAGAGACTTAGACTCCCACAAAATAACAGTAAGAGACTTTGACACCCCACTGACAATATGAGACAGATCGAGACAGAAAATCAACAAAGATATTCAGGACCTGAACTCAGTTCTGGATCAAATGGACCTGACAGATATCTACAGAACTCTACTCCCAAAAACAACAGAATATACATTCTTCTCATCGCCACCTAGCACATATTCTAAAATTCATCACATAATCAGAAGTAAAACACTCATCAGGAAATGCAAAAGAACTGAAATCTTAACAATCTCTCAGACCACAACACAACCCATTCAAACAGATACAATTACATAGAAATTGAACAAACTGCTCCTGAATGACTTTTGGCTAAATGATGAAATTAAAGCAGAAACCAAGAAGTTCTTTGAAACTAATGAGAACAAAGATACAACATATCAGAATCACTGGGACACAGCTAAGGCAGTGTTAATAGGTAAATTTATAGAACTAGATGCCCACATCAAAAAGTTAGAAAGATCTCAAATTTTAAAACAACATAACATCACAACTAAAAGAAGTAGAGAACCAAGAGCAAGCAATTCCCAAAGCAGGCAGAAGACAAGAAATAACCAAAATCAGAGCTGAACTGAAAGTGATTGACACGAAAAACCATTCAAAAGATCAACAAATCCAGGAGCTGTTTTTCTGAAAAATTAACAAAATAAATAGAGTGCTAGCTAGACTAATAAAGAAGAAAAGAGACATCAAATAAACACAATCCTAGAAACAACAAGGGGATATTACCACTGACCCCACAGAAATGAAAACAACCATCAGACAATATTATGAACACCTCTATGCACATAAACTTGAAAATAAAGAAGAAATAGATAAATTCTTAGATACAAACACCCTTCTAAGACTGAACAGGAAGAAACTGAATCCCTGAACAGACCAATGACATGTTCTGAAATTGAAGAAGTAATAAATAGCCTACTAACAACAACAAAAAACCTCAGGCCAGATGGATTCACAGTTGAATTCTACCAGATGTACAAAGAAGAGATGGTACTATTCTTACTGAAACTATTCCACAAATTTGAGGATGAGGAACTACTCTCTAACTCATTTTATGAGACCACAGCCTCATCCTGATGTCAAAACCTGGAAGACATAAAACTTCAGGCCAATGCTTGATGAACATCAAGGCAAAAATCCTCAACAAAATACTAGAAAACTGAATCCAGCAGCTCATCAAAAAGCTTAGCCGCCACATTCAAGTAGACTTTATCCAGAAGGTGCAAGGTTGGTTCAACATTACACAAATCAAAAAATGTGATTCATCACATAAACAGAAAGACAAAAACCACATGATTATCTCAATAGATACAGAAAAGGCTTTTGATAAAATTCAACATTTCTTCCTGTTAAAACTCTCAATAAACTAAGCATTAGAGGAACATAACTCAAAATAATAAAAGCCATATACAACAAACTGACAGTCAACATCATACTGAATGGGGAAAAGCTAGAAGCATTCCCCTTGAAAACAGCACAAGACAAGATGACCTCTCTCATCACTCTTATTCAACATAGGATTGGAAATCCTGGACGGAGCAATCAGACGAGAGAAAGACATGAAAATAGAAGAGAGGAAGTCAAATCATCCCTGTTTGCAGATTATATGATCTTATATTGAGAAAACCCCATAATCTCAGCCCAAAGCTTCTTAAGCTGAAAAATAACTTGAGCAAAATCTCAGGGGATACAAAATCCATGTTCAAAAATCACTAGCATTCCTATACACCAACAATAGTCAAGCTGAGGGCCAAGTCAGGAATATAATACCCTTCACAACTGCCACAAAAAGAATAAAATATCTAGGGATACAGCTAACCAGGGAGGTGAAAGATCTCTACAAGGAGAACTACAAAACACTGCTCAGAGAAATAGGAAAAGACACAAACAAATGGAAAAACATCCCATGCTCATGGATAGGAAAAATCAACATATCCTTAAAATGGCCATACTGTCCAAAGCAATTTATATATTCAATGCTATTCCTATTAAACTACTATTGAGATTCTTCACAGAAATAGAAAAAATTTTAAAATTCATATTAAACCAAAAAGGAGCCTGAAGAGCCAAGGCAAACCTAAGCAAAAAGAACAAAGTCAGAGGTAACATGCTACACAACTTCAAACTATACTACAGGGCTACACTAACCAAAATAGCATGGTAGTGGTACAAAAACAGACACATAGACCAATGGAACAGAACAGAGAACCCAGAAATAAGGCCACACACCTACAACTAACTGATTTTTGACACATCTGAGAAAAACAAGCAATGGGGAAGGGATTCACTATTCAATAAATGGTGCTGCGATGACTGGCAAGCCAAATGCAGAAGGCTGAAAGTGGGGGAAAACACCATATACAAAAAGTAACTCAAGAAGAATTAAAGACTTAAATATAAAACCCAAAAATATAAAAACCCTGGAAGATAACCTAGGCAATACCATTCACTACATAGGTACGGGCCTATGTATATATAATGCATTATATATACACATATAATATATATGTATATATAATGTATATATAATATAATATATATATTATTAATGTATATATGTATATATAATGTATATATAATGTATTAAATTAATTATAGTAATTAATTATATAATTAATTTAAGTACAGTTAAAATATAAAAGTATATATTTTAACTTTGCTAAAAAATAAGAATAGTTAAACAATAACCCATAATTGCTTGCTTAGCTTGCTTTTCTGTAGTGCTTACTATCCCAGAGTCATGTAACTGGAGGTTTTAAGATTTATAACTTTTCCAACTGCTCCTGTAGGTAACATCACTATTGTGAAACCTAAAGAACTTTTAAGTATTTTTCAGATTTAGAATTTTGGCAGACCAAGAGATGCCACCTGGACTTGTGATCCACACCAAGGAACTGACTCAATTAGTCCTGCAACCCCTCCCTGGAACTAACTCACTAACTCAGCTGCAGGAAGATTGTCTCAACACTCCTGTGACTTCATCCCTAGCTAATAAATTGCCTCAGTTTTCCAGCCCCCTGACCACCAAAGCATCCTTAAAAACCCTAGCCTCTGAATTCTCAGAGAGGCAGATGTGAGAAATACCTCCCATCTCCTCACTTGACTGGCCCTGTTATTATTAAATACTTTCTCCACTGCAACTCCTGCTTTTCTCAGTGTACTAGCTTTTGCGGGCAGTGGGCAAGAACAACCTACTGGGTGATTACAATTTCTCCACCCAAGTTACTATTTGTCCTTTCCATGCACTACTCATTAGAAGCAAGTCACTAAGTCCAGTGTCACTCCAGTACTCACCCAAGGGGACAGAAAGCAAGCTCTACTTCCTGTAGGGGGTACAACATTCATAATCATTTATTTAGAATTCTGGAATGGAGATTTGTCCATTCTCACTATTAGTTATTCATTGTTTCATTTACATCAGTATGGACTCTTGGATATTTATTTTATTCTTTGAATTATAATCCAATTCTACAGTTTTGTATAATATTATTCCAATACTGATGACCAGAGGCTCATTTAGATTGGCTTCTGTATCCTGTTGACATGCCCCCTCTCCCTCTCCATCACCTTTTTCAAGCAAATCTTCACTCTCTGCACTACAAGATGCTCCATGTTAATCTTGTACTTTCCCTACCCCAGCCCCAGAATTAGCCATTGTTACAAGAGCACTAGCAACTTTCATTGGAAAAAGGTCTTTTAGAAACCAAGATCTGGGATCTGGGTGTGCTCACTGCTATTGTCACTGCTTCTGCCCTTTTGAAGGGCAGAGCTAGGAAATATGTATGTATTCTAACTCAGGTATATATTCATATCTATTTTTTTATTTCTGAATCAATCTATTTGTATATATTTTAAAATAAACATGAATTAAAGCTTATCTCAAACTCTAACCCAACATCACAGAGTTCATTCTAGCCTTCATCCTCCTGGCTTCTTTGTACATTCTTTTTCTGACAATGAGAAATCTACTGTCTTTATCTACAGTTTATTTACTTCTTGGTTCAACTCTAATGCATGTGTAAAATATTTTCAGTATTGCTAATCCATATCCCTGTATGAAACACATTTATCTACTACAGCAGGGGTTATCAAACTCCTGGCACTTTGACTATTTTACTATAAGAGCTAAGAATTGTATTTACATTTGTAAATGACTATAAAAATAGAATATTTTATGAAAATTCATGTGAAAATTACATGAAATTTACATTTTAGTGCACAATGATAAAATTTTTTTGGTACACAGAAATGCTCATTTGTTTACATACTGCATATGATTACTTTCTTGCTACAACCACACAGCTGAGTAGTTGTCACAGGGATGCTATGACCTAAAAAGTAAAAAGTATTTAACATCTTACAGTCTACAGAAAAAGTTGGCTGACCACTGAACTAGAATATAGTGACTATGTAGTTCTTTTTGTCTTAGCCTTACCATATGCATTTAAAACATCATATTCCAAAGTTATTTAGGTCAGTTAATTTAAACATGTCTTACATTTTAATATTGTCATATTCATCAATTATGATAGTCATTACATCCTTGGATGACACAACATCATGCTTTTTTCTTTTAATTTTCATATAGTAAAGTTAACTCTGATGTACATATCTATGAGTTTTGACAAATGCATAAAGTTATTTATTGATCACTCCCATACCAATCATAACAGTTCCTGAAACCTAAAAATTTCCCTGTCAGGCTGGTCTCTTTTGTAGTCAACATCTTCTGTCCCCCTCCTTACAAATTTTGTTACTTCAATAATGTCATATAAATAAAATCATACATGTAGCTTTGGGGATCTGGCTTCTTTCACTTAAGCTGTATTTAAGATTCATCATGTTGTGTGAATTAATAGATCATTCTTTTTTATTGTTGAGTAGTATTCCATTGAAGACAGACATGCCATAGTTTGTTCACCATTCACCAATGAAGGGCATCTCTGTTGCCTCCACCTTTTGGCAACCATAAAGTTTCTATAAATATTTGTGTACAAATTTTGGTGTGAACATAAATTTTCAGTGCATTTGGATAAAGACCTAGGAGTAGGATTGCCAGGTCATATGATAAGTATATGTTTAATTTTATTTAAAACTGTCTTATATAGTGGCTATACCATTGGTATTCCCACCAGCATGAAATGGGAGTTCCTATTATTCCACATCCTTGTCAGCATAATTTTGTTGTTGTTTTTGGGTGTATGGTGGTATATCATTATGGTTTTAATTTGCACTTCCATTATGAGTTGAGCATGTTTTAATGTGTTCTTTTGGTGAAGTGCCTGTTCAGATCTTTTGCCCATTATTTAATTTGGTTATTTATTTTTTTTGTTAAGTTTGGATAGTTGTTTTGTGCTTTTCTTTCTTTTTTTTTTTTCCTAACTCTGGATACAAGTCCTAACTCATATATGTGATTTTAAAATATTTTCATCCAACTTGTGGCCTTTTTTCTTTCTCTTAATAGTGACTTCCACAGAGCAAATTAAATCCAATTTATCAGTTTTTTTAACTTTATGGATGTTGTGCTTGCTATCATATAAAAACTCATTGCCGAAATTAAATTACACAGATTTTCTACTATGTTTTCCTCTAGAAGTTTTACAGTTTTACATTGAAGATCTATGATCTATTTTGAATTACACGCCAAGGGGCTTTTAAAAAAAATCTAGAACCATTTGTTTAAAAGATAACAAAAACAAAGTCGACATTTAATTGGCTTTACACTTTTGTCAAAATCAGTTGACAGTATTTACGTGGGTCTATTTCTGGAATCTTTATTCTATTCCTTTGATACATGTGTCCATAATTTAATCAATATAACACAATCTTCATTACTGTGCTTTATTGCAAAAATCTTAAAATTAGGCAGTGAGTCCTCCAGCTTTGTTTGTTTCAGATCGTTTTGATTTTTCAAGTTTCTTTGCCTTTCATACACATTGTTGAATAAGCTTGTCAATATCTACTAAAAACATGTGCTGGAATTTTGATTAAGATTGCATAAAATCTAGACATCAAATTGAGATTCAAATATTGAATCCTCCTGTCCATGAACATGATATGTCAACTCTACTTATTTCTCTCTTCCTTGATTTCTTTCAGTAGTGTCTTCTAGTTCTCAGCATACAGATCCTACACATATTGTTAGAATTTTAGCTAAGCACTTAAATTCCTGCTGCTATTGTAAATGGCATAGATCTTATAACTTAAAATTTCAATTGCTCATTGCTGGTATATAGAAAAAAAATTGACTTTCCTTCTTTCTGTGACCATGCTCAACTCACTATTTCTATGAGCTTTTCTCTAGATCCTTTAGAGTTTTCTACATAAATAATCATATCTTCTGCAAATACAGTTACGTTTCTTCCTTTCTAATCTGTATGACTTTTATTTTACTTGCCTTATTACATTGCCTAAGATTTTCAGTATGACGCTAAAGAAAACAATGCTTTGTTTCCGAACTTTGAGAAAAAGTAATCAGTCTTTCACCAGTGAGCATAATGTTAGCTATAGGTTTTCAACAGATGCTCAAAGGAAGTTCACTTCTACTCCCACTTTACTAAGAGTTTTTATCATGAATGGAGTTTAATTTTATTGAATCCTTTTTTGGGTCTGCTGAAACTACATATAAGAAATATGCTTTTTCTTAATCATTTACTAGGATAAATTTATACTGCATTTCTGCAATAAGTCCACTTAATTGTGATGTATTTTCATTTTTATATACAGATGGATTTAATTTGCTAATATGTTGTTGGGAATTTTTGTATATACATTCATGAGGGCCATTGGTCTACATTTTTCTTTGCTTGTAATGTTGATGTCTGGTTATAGCATTACAGTAAATATTGACTTCATAAAATGACCTGGGAAGTTTTCCTTCTTCTATTTTCAGGGATGTGCAAGACTGGTATTGTGTTCTCCTTAAATTTTGTTTGGATTCACCAGAGAAACCATCTGGGCCTAGGGCTCTCTCCTTGAAAAAGTTCTTAACTACAAATTCAATTTCTTTAATAGATATACAACCAGTAATATTATTTCATCTTCAGTTAGTTATTGTATTAGTCCATTTTCATGCTGCTGATAAAGACATACCTGAGAATGGGCAATTTACAAAAGAAAGAGGTATAATTGGACTTACAGTTCCACGTGGCTGGGGAAGCCTCACAATCATGGTTAAAGCCAATAGGGAGCAAGTCACATCTTACATGGATGGCAGCAAGAAAAGAGAGATCTTATGCAGAGGAACTCCTCTTTTAAAAACCATCAGACCTCATGAGACTTATTCACTATCAAGAGAACAGCCACAGGAAAGACTTGCCCCCATGATTCAATTACCTCCCACAGGGTCCCTCCCACAACACATGGGAATTCAAGATGAGACTTGAGTGGGCACACAGCCAAACCATATCATTTATAGTAGTTTGTATTTTTCCAGGATTTGGCCCATTTCATTGATCAAAGTTTCAACAGCAAAACCTCATGAAAAGCTTTCATCAAAACTTCACAATCAAAATTTCATCAAAGTTTTAACATCAATGCAAATACAGCAGAATATAGGATTAGCAAAGAACAGTTTAAAAGCAAATATCCAAACTGGAGAGAAAAAATAATGAAAAATATGAATATAGGCATAAGATACATATGAGACACATTTTAAAGATTTTTATATAAGTGTAATTTGAAGTTCCAGAAAAACAGCAAAGAGATATTGGGGAAGAAGCAATGTTTAAAGAAAGAATGGCTAAGAGTTTTCCAAAACAGATGAAAGACATGAGTTCTGCATACTGAATGGATATTAATTCAGTAAAACCACATTTAGATAGATCATAGGAAAACTACTATGTCAAATAGCAAATCTTACATGCAACAGAAGGGGGAAAGCCATATTATTGCAAATAAATAATAGCTGATTTTTCAACAGACTCAGAAGCAGCCAGAAGACAATGGATTAGCTTCTTTTAAATACAAAAAAAAAAAAAAAAAATGACTTTTAACCTAGAATTCTACATCCAGCAAAACTATTGTTCATAAATACAACCAAGATGTTTTGAAGAAAACTCAGAATTCTCATCCAGGAGTGTGACATAAAAAGAAGCATTAAAGAGAGTTCTTCATGTTAGAAGGAAAACAATTCTAGAACCCAAATGGAAACAGTGAATTGCAAGAAAGAATGAATAATAATATGTGATTAAAATAAGTGTTACTAGATGAACAAAAATAATTTCTTGTGTTTTATACATGTAGAATTAAGATGCCTGATAATAGATAAGCAAAAAAGAAAGCAGATTAAAAACAGCTAAATGTTTTCATGTTCCAATATTATTCAAAAAATCATAAAAAATAATGTCACGTATGTATGTTGAAATAAGGCAAACAATAACAAAATAGTTAAAAAGAACCACGAGTTAATACAAAGGAAAATAAATTGTTAAAAATTTTGATTAACCCAAACAAAAGACAAAACAACCTACATAAAAATACTACATTTTCATTCTTGAAAAAAAAAAAACTCACGTGTTACTTACAAGATACATCCTTTACATATAATGACATAAACCAAAGAATTGAAAAATATATACCATGCATATACTAGACAAAAAAAGCTGCTGTAGCTATACTAATATCAGATAAAATATACTGTGAAACAAGGAATATTACTAGAGATAAAGAGGGACATTTCATAATTAAAGTTCCATAATCCATCCAATGACATCGCTTCAAAATATATAAAACAAAATTAAGAGAACCAGAATGTAAAATAAACAAATCTATAATCATGAGACTTGAACCTTTCTTGAAATGTGACCCCTAGCTACCACTATGTGGAAAAAAAATAATTCCAAATGGTTCATATATTTAAATGTTAAAGAAAAAGGCCTTTAGAAGACATAGGAGAAAGTCTTAAAGTAGACAAAAACTATAAAAATGCTAATCAAAAAGGAAAAATGATAAACTGTATTCATTAGAATAACTACTTTTAACCAAAAGATACTATTAAGAGTGAAAAGATAAGGCACAGAGTGGAAAAAAAATTGCAAAACATATATCTAAGGACTCATATGAAGAATCTACAAAGAAATCTTACCTAAAAATGAAAGATAGACAATCCAGTAGAAAAATGAACAAATGATGTGAACACAACAGAGGATATCCCAATGGCCAATAAGAATATTCACTCGTCACTGGACACAGCAAATTAAAACCATTATATGATAAATTACTTTTCACTTATCAAAATGCCAAAAGAAAACACAGAGAAGCACAGAGGCATATGCATGCACACACATACACACACACAATCAGTCAAAGAAGTAGGGAGGATGTGAAACAAGTAGAACTCTCCCACATTGGTAGTGGGAGTGTAACTGTTAAAACCATGTGCAACATTCTTTGATAGCATCTACTAAAGCTGAGTGTACATTCCCTCTGATTAATTCCACTGGTAGATACATACCCAAATAAAATGTATGCAATGTCACCCAAGGACATGTGCATACTGCTTACAGCAGCTCTGTAATAGCCCAAACCCAAAACAAACCAAATGCGCACCAATGGAGGAATGAATAAGTAAATGGTAGCATTTTCATACAATAAAATGTATTGTATGAATACATTTTATTCATGGCAACAATAATGAACTACTGCTACACTGCCAGGTAAAACAGGATGTCTAAATTGCAAAAACGCTTGAATTGAAAAACCAAAAAGAAACAGGAATAAAAAAGTAGACACTGTAGGATGTCATTTATATAAAGCTCAAAACGTGCAATATTATATCTTGCTGTTAGAAGATAAAAAACTTTGTTAGAAATTTGATAATGTTTACACTTGGAATAGCAGTAGCTGGCAGGAAACAAGAGGGGCTTCTGCAGAGAACTGTTTCATTTCTTGATCTGGTAGGTAGTTTACATGAGACTGTTAATTTTATAATTTCTCAAGCTGTTACTTATTATTTGTGCATTTTCTATGTGTTCTTTTCTATGCTTTGAAAAGAAGTTTAATTTTAAAAACAGCATGTATATAGAAACTTAAAACTGTAAAAACTGATCCCAAGGTCATATAAACCCCTTATACCCCCCCAAGACTAATCTTAGTGTCCAGCACACATTGATGATAAATGATTGTTTTTTAAACTAATGAATGAAACAAGGGATCAAACACATAAAAAAGTACTGTCATTATTTCCCAGCTGTCATTTATATGAATGCTTATCTGCTTTTTCTCAGAAAATATCCTCATACAGATTTTTCCTAATGTTAAACCTGACAAACCTGACCTGCCCTTTTCCTCTTTTATTCAATTAACATACAAATTAACTGAGAAGTTTCTTCAAAATACATACCTCTCCTACCCACTCATGCTACCATTTAGGATTAAATCTATTTGCAGTAGATGAAATTGCTTTATATTGGGCCACAAAACAAGAGTTCTCATATTTTGAAGGCTGTGAAATAATTATCATCAAGTCACTATGTACTGAAACTTTATAAGATAATTATCACTAACATTGTTTATAGTTAAGATGGTCTATTTCAAACATTTTGCATAATGACTTAGGTCAAGCAGGCATTTAGATATGTTGCCTTGGGCAAAACCACTGACTTCCATCAAATGGAGCTTGCTTGCTTTCTTTTTTTCTTCCCGGTGACTAAATTTTGTAAGCTTTAGGCATCTTTGGTGGTTTTCTTGACCTATTATAAATAGTCTTCAAAAAAAAATTTTAGAAACTAACATATAAATGTCTTTGATGAGCCTGATGTGATTTCAAGACATTTTTTACCCGGTCATGGATCTCATCGCAGTTTGAAGGTGAACACCAATCAGAATGAAATCTGTAGGCAAAAAATAAGTTTTATTTTTGTTACTAAAATCAGGTAATGATTCTAAGCTATACTATCAAGTTTTCACAGTATGTTCAACAAATAGTCTTAATAAAGGTTGGCATACATTGGGGAGAACATACCTATATATCTGACCATTTTAATGATTTCCACACAGTTATTTGGAGCTTTAATTAAAGATACAGATTTTCATATGAAAACAGTAATTCTATGTACAATGCCTTTACATATAGTTCCTATTCTTTAGTAATCATACCCTCAAACTGTGTGAAAAAATTCCTTTCTGCAGAGAAAAAAAATACCTAATTTTATGAAATGAAACAAAATGTGTATAATAGACAAAAATATCTACAATTTAATCATGCTCATTTTTTCAGAATACAGAGCAACACAGAAGTTAAATGGTTTCTTTTCAACACAGATGATATTATCTCTCTAGTCTCAGCTATGAATAAATGCATCTAAAAAATTGAAAAATATAACTTTATTATTAGAGTCTGGGGGTTGAAATTAAAGATATGAAAGAAGAAACAAAGCATCCCTTTCTCTTTTGTATGCCCTTCTCAAATTCAAAACTGACACTAGTATAGATAAACGACTTTATTTCATATAATAATGAAAATTTCTAATTATAATATATAGTGTTATTAATAATTCCCTTATAATGAAATAGGTAAAATGTTGCTATGTTGCTGAAAACTTTGCCTTGTTTTCTTCCCAGTTTGTCCTTTCTTTTTTTTTTTTTTTTTTTTTGACACGGAGTCTCGCTCTGTCACCCATGCTGGAGTGCAATGGCGCGACCTTGGTTAACTGCAACCTCCGCCTCCCAGGTTCAAGCAATTCTCCTGCCTCAGCCTCCTGAGTAGCTGGGATTGCCTGCCACTACACCTGGCTAATTTTTGTATTTTTAGTAGAGAGGTTTCATCATGTTGGTCAGGCTGGTCCCAAACTGCTGACCTCGTGATCCGCCCACCTTGGCCTCCCAAAGTGCTGGGATTACAGGCATGAGCCCAGTTTGTTCTTAAAAGCTACAATATCATATGTTTATACAAAATATAAACTACTAAACAGGATAAATGTTTTATACAATCTACTTTAAAGAATGCAATAAGTAATGAATAATCAATTATCTAAACTTTAATCTCCTGTATATATAAAAGCAAGTTCTATTGCATCTATGAAAAATACATTAGCAGACTTTGTTATTTGCAATATATATAGTACATCTTGGAAATCTGAGATCCAACTATGCAGCTCTGAGAATCCACTGGATCTCTTCAATGATACTATTAGAGGATCCACTAGTCTGTGCTGTGGAATAAGGAATGCTTGCTTGCCAGTCTAATTTCATTTATAAAACTCAAAACTTTAAGCATGATTCAAAAGAATATCAGCTCCTTTTTCAGTAGATTTGCTAGTATTTCTTGGTCTAATTTGAGTAATAACTCAAAAGCTCACACAAATTTTATATTATAATATTAATATTTACACATTGAGAAGGAAACAACTTCTGAAATATAACACTTATAACCAAAATTGAAACCATTTTATGTTGTGCTAACTTTACTGGAGGAATTTCTTAAATGGGCACAAAGCAAAAAACACCTTCACTATAAATAAAGCAATTCATTTGATTAAAGCCATTGGGAAAGTTTCTAAAAATCTGTTTATATACATGATTAAGGAGTCAGCATTTTACTGCAATCTTAGAGAAAACTTACTTAATTTCAATAAATATTTACACAGATAAACTCCTATAACTGTATGTTCTGTCATACATCATCCACGCAAAACTTCCAATTTTGCCTGGAACATATAATCCACATTTACATCAGTTTAAATTGTTTATTGATTTCAATAGATTGTATAAACACCCTACAAGTATACTGCTTAGTGACCTATAAAAAGCCATTTCAGAGAATGTCTTATATTTAAAGATGAGGTACTGAGTGTTGAAAAGAATAAAATTTTTTGTTCCCAGTAGTACGTCTTAGACATTTTATCTTCCTTTAGAGACAAGATATTTAGAAAATACACTCAAATCAAAGGTGTTCTGCTTTAGCGAAAGTAAAAAAAGCTTATCTACCATGCCTGCCCCAGAGAGTATACCAACAGAATGTTAATTTGTATAGGTAAATTCAAAACTAAATTGCCATTGTATTCTTTTATTTTAAAATTACCTAACCTTCCTCAAGTTATAGTTAAATTAGGTAATGTTTAACATTAGAATCACTCATTTTCTTCTAGCAAATAACTTACTACATCTATCATCCTGAGTGAAAATAATGTGTAAATGCCACCGCTATCTACTCTAAGCCCTTCCCCACACTGAAATATGAATAAAGGGACAGCTAACTTTAGCTGTCATCGATGAAGAATTTTTGAATATAGCCTCAATGACAAATTGATCAATCCAGAAAAGACTGAGGTCAAAAGCTGGAACAAAATTGCATACAAAGATAAAGTAACACTGAACTAAAATTAATACTGTACTAGAGTGGTAGGTTTACAATTGGAGAGTTCTGCAAAATATGTGAAAAGGTAGAAAAATAAAAGTATTTATAAAAGTAAATAAAAACAAATTTATTTATAAAAGTAAATAATATTTATTTATAAAAGTATTTATAAAAGTTTATTATAAAAGTAAATAAAAACATATCCAAGGAAATACAGATTTAAAAAATTCTGGAAAACTTACAGAGATGACAAAGGACCTAATCAACAAAATCACAAGAGATGAATTCTAAAAGTCGGTAAAAAGAAAGGAGCACCAACTGTACGTCTAAACAGCTGGGCAGATGAGGAAATCGAGGAAAGTCCCCTGATACTGAGATGCAAGTTATCAACTTCAGCAGAAAAACCGCTCTTCCAGTTTTTCTCCTGAATTTTTGATGTTATTGTTGTTGTTTGTGTGTGTGCGCACCTATGTTAACGATTCCATGATCCCCCACTATCCCGCAACAGGCATGATTCTAATGGACTAGAAGCAACCTTAATCAAAATTCCATATCTCAGGATTAGGGTCTACAACATGCCTCCATATATCCACTATGAATACTTTCAAAGCTAATAAGTAAACAGACAAACCTGTATGTTTAAAATAGGTTTGTTTTAATATAGCATCCAAACTAACACACTGTTGTTCAAATCATCAGTTTTGAGTTAAACTTAACCAGGATTGATTTCTTTTCAACTTATTACAGAAACATGGTTTTCTATATTACTATTAGTGACAGAGGCAAGGAATTTCCTATTTCAATTTTAAAATATATGAAAAGGAACTATTTATTTCACATCCAAATTATAACAGGATCAGACTCTGGTTGCCATAGCATTTTTAAAGGGAGAGCTGGAATCTTTACATGATTAAGATGCTCTTAGGGAGCTGGGGTAGGTTGTTTGAGAAAACTAGATACCATCTACCAAAAATATATAGATAGCCATTATGACTAAATAAAAAATATAATCTGTGTTGTGTTTACACTTAAGGCAAGCCTATAATATTAAATTCCTCTGGATCTACTAAAAACAAACACATATATTACTTTTCACTTTTAAGAACTATAATCTGTAATTAAGGTTAATGTGACCCATATCTGGTTAATAAACTCACATATAGAGAACTGTGCTAGGAAGAAATATCTAACATTATCTAATATGTAATATATTCTAAACAAAAACAATTTAAGCCTTTTAAAATCAAATTACACTTTTATAAACATTCATTTCACATGCATAATTGCTGCTTCCCCTTCTAATACTTATTATTCAAAGATCAGTACAGAAATGAAGACCGCACATAATTACCTTTCCCTGAGAGAAGCTCTATTTAACACAGGGCTTGGAGAATGCTTTGGCATTGTTGAGGGTGCTGAATGGACTAGCAAGGTCCTCGCTGAATGCCGGGGCTTACTACACGACCTTGGGCTCAAATACTCTTCACATTTTTCTAAAGAGTCATCGAAGTCTCTCCCATGGGGTGTCCTGATAACCTGTTTTAAAAATTATATACATATAGATATACAAATACAGATACATATGTATATAACATATTATATAGTAATATAGTATGCATAGTAGTCATATGCATGTGCACACACACACTAATTTTATAAAAGTAATAAAACATATGCCACAGCTATAAAGATAAAATTCAGAACATAGTAATTAGTCACTGTAAGATTAAATATTAAATGTATCAAGATTGTCATTATATATAAAATGTATAAGACAGTTCGAAAGGCTTTTGAGTAGTGGTGGGGTTCGCATAGGGATGTGTGTATCTAAAACAAAGAATACATCCACATGAACCAAATGGTAGCCTAGTTTAGCTATCAGATCAAACAGAACTAGATTCAAATTCAGGTCTAATACTCATTCACTACTTCATTTGTTCTGGGAATGGACACATGAACAAATCAGAAAAGACAAATGAATAAATTCCTGCTCCTGTGGAACATATATTCTGGTAAAATATATATTCTAATAAGAAGAGATAAATGTAAAACACAAAAACACACCAAGATAAAGAACTAGAATAGAGTGTGTTACAGGATATTAAGTAACATGAGAAGCAGGGGGGTTAAGTGCTGATGGGTGCGATGGAAAGATTATGCAGGAAAGGAACTGTAATTTTAAATGGGATAGTCAGTAGGAACCTCACTGAGACCTGAAGACCTCAGTAAAGACCGTAAGACCTAAGTCACGAAGATTATCTGTGGAAAGACTATGCCAGAAGAGAGAAAAATAAATGCAAAGATCTTGGGAGTAGGAGGAGGACATGCTTGATATTAGCAAGGGAGCCAGTGGAGCTCGACTGGGTAGTAAGAAATGAGGTCAAAAAGGTAGGTTTTAAGAAATTAATCTTTTATTCTGAGAGAAAAATATGTCCTGACTTTTTCCTTCTATAAATAGGACATCCCAGGCTATTATATTGAGAATAGTCTGCAGAGGGGCCAAGGGCCCTGGGAGGAAATCAGCTAGGAACCTATTATAATAAAATCTGGAAAAGCATGCTGGCTTGGGCCAGAATGACTGCAATGGAGGTGAGAAGTGATCAGATTCACAATATATTTAGAAGACACAGCCAACAGGTCACAACTGGTCTCGATGTCAAAGATGACACTAAGGTTTTCTGTCCTAATCAACTAGAAGGGTTGGGTTTGTATGAATTAGATATACTCTTCCAATTGTAAGCATAGAAAATTAAGATATTAGGAGTCTAGTTTTGGACATATTAAGCTTCACATATCTATTAATCTATTAATCATTCAATATATTACAGCAGAGTTTGGGGGAAAGTCCAGGATGAAAATATAAATTGGTAATTACTAGAGTCTAAATGGTATTTAGAGGTATTGCACTGGGTGATATTGCCAAGGAAGTAAAAGTAAATCAAAAGTAGAAAACATCTGAAGAATTAGCCCTGGGAATACTCCAATATTTAGAGGCTTGAAAGATGAAAAGAAAACATTACTGAAGAGTAGCCAGGGAAGAAAGGAAAGAAACACGAGAATGTGTTGTTTTGGAAGTGAATAAACAATGTATTTTAAGGAAGGGGGAGTAACTAATGGGTAAATATAACTTGATAGGTCAAGTTAGAAAAGACAGACCTTTGGATGTTAGTAACAGTGAAGTCATCGATAACATCAACAAAAATAGCTTTAACGGAGTGACAAGAGTGAAAATCTGAAGTTGAATTCAAGAGAGAATAAGAGGAGAGGAATTGGATTCATTTAACAAATATTTGAGTCCCAGTCATGTCCTAAGTTTTGGGACTACAATAGTGAACAAAACAAAGTCTCTGCCTTTAAGAGTTTATGTTATAGTAGCGCTATTTGTTAAATATTTGACCATTTAGACAGCTATCTAATTCTTCTCAGACTCATTTCCCTCACATGAAAAATAAAGTTAATAATAGCTAGCTTACAGATCTTCCATTATTTATTTAAACTATATTGCAGGATGTCTAGGTGTATACATTAGTTGCCCAATAAATGTATGTCATTTGTTATTAAAACATAAGTCCAGCATAGGTTTTGCTTCAACACTACCATAATTTTCACTATTTTCCAAAATTACAACAAATAATAAGTCAGTGGTCAGCTGAGAGAATCATGCTTTCATTCCAGAACCTAATAGAACATAGTTCAAATGACACAGTTACAGTCCCCAATAACTGACCAACAAGAAATATGTGATCAAGACTGAAGAAAAAAATAAAATTGCTCCATTTTTAGCTATTCAGAGACAAAACAAAAACACAGTAAAACTTAAAAACAAGATCAAGGAGGCTGATGGTCAACAATGTAAGTGCATATGTTCAGAGACACAGAATAGGTAGCTCACATCTGTAGTCTCAACTATTCAGGAGGCTGAGGCAGGAGGAACACTTGAGCTCAGGAGTTCTATGTTGCAGTGAGCTATGACTGCACCACTGCACTCCAGCCTGGGTGACACAGCAACACTCTGTCTCAAAGAAAAAGAAAAAAAAGAAAAGAAAGAAAAAGAAAGTGGGAGAAGGTGTCACACTGTTGTTTCTAGAATATATCCAAATACGAACCAATTGGCCTGGATTATTTTCTTTTTATCAATTTCAATGTCAATTGAGACATGTTAGATGGCAGACCACTTCATTTTTATCTGCTAAATTTTATCCCCAAACTAGTCAGCATTGCTTTATATAAAGCCTTTTATAGGTGACTACCACTGAATTTCTATCACAATATTCACTGAGAATCTCTTGAACATCTTAGCTCACACTCAAACCTAAGAAATACAAAGATTTAAACTCACAATCCAGATGAGACAGGGCATATACAGAAGGATAAATGACAATAAGATATGCTGAAGTGTCAAACACATTCCAATGACAATAACTGCAAAAAGAAATTCAAAGGAAAGACTTCTAATGGTCTTAATGGTGCAGGTCTCACTGAGGAGGTAGAATCGAAATCAAAGCCATAAGTAGAGGAAAGGAGGAGAAAAGCCATTCAGAATAGGAAAAAGGCACAAGAAAAGATGAGCAAAGATGAAAAATGAATAATAGTTGGGCTATTTCTATACAAATGTAATAGAGAATATCATAGAGGTGGGAGGGATACATTGTACAAGAATCTTAAATGCTGTAACTCAACAGTATTCAAGATTTATTAAGCACCTTCTGCATATAAAGTACCAAACAAAGTAGGAAACAACAATCACGGGTGTTAAATAAACAGGAGAACTCAAAAAAAGTTACAATACAGAATATAAGACGTCAAATACAAGTAATGAGAAAGGAAATTAGAGCTAAATAGACATGAAGTAATTGCGCAATGGGAACACAGCTTGAATGTATTCCTTCCATGGAATTAGAGTATATGTTTTGTAAAGTCTTTTATCAAAATAAGGGGTTACGAGGTAAAACGAAAGGGTACGTCTCTTTGATAAGAATCCATTTCAAACTTAAAGCCTTCAGCCTTAGCTTAAAAAATGTTTCCATAGCTCTTGTGAGTTTCCGTTAGATCATTTCCTTTCAAAAGCTAAATGGAATATTATCTCTTTAGCTCATCACAGAAGGGTTATATTTCTTCAATGTATCTTCAATAATACTGGCTTAGAGTCCAAAAACTTAAGTTCAAATCCCTGCTGTTTATGAGACCCTGAGCAAGTCATTTACCCTATTAAGGCTTTCGTTTCCTTACCTATGAACTGAAAACACAATATTACAGATTTGACACAAAAATTAAATGAAAGGAAAGTGAAAACACTAGTGGAGAGCTTGGCTCATAAAGATAATTTTCTTCTGTGTATAGCATTTATACTTCAGCATAAAAAAGTCTTTTTTTTACATTTATGAAAAGAGTTTTTTTAATGACTTTCTATGAACCCACAAATGCAATACTTTCAATATGGCAAATGCTAAAATGAATCAAGATGAAAAAATAACTAATATTTTTAAACTAATCTGAAACTGGTACAGGTAAAAAAGGAAACTTCTTTTTTTTCATGTTGCCTTTTTTCTTTTTTTATTTTTTAAATTTATTTTATTATTATTATACTTTAAGTTTTAGGGTACATGTGCACAATGTGAAGGTTTGTTACATATGTATACATGTGCCATGCTGGTGTACTGCACCCATTAACTCATCATTTAGCATTAGGTATACCTCTTAATGCTATCCCTCCCCCCTTCCCCCACCTCACAACAGTCCCCAGAGTGTGATGTTCCCCTTCCTGTGTCCATGTGCTCTCCTTGTTCAATTCCCACCTATGAATGAGAACATGTGGTGTTTGGTTTTTTGTCCTTGCGATAGTTTACTGAGAATGATGATTTCCAATTTCATCCATGTCCCTACAAAGGACATGAACTCATCATTTTTTATGGCTGCATAGTATTCCATGGTGTATATGTGCCACATTTTCTTAATCCAATCTATTGTTGTTGGACATTTGGGTTGGTTCCAAGTCTTTGCTATGGTGAATAGTGCCACAATAAACATACATGTGCATGTGTCTTTATAGAAGCATGATTTATATTCCTTTGGGTATATACCCAGTAATGGGATGGCTGGGTCAAATGGTACTTCTAGTTCTAGATCCCTGAGGAATCGCCACACTGACTTCCACAATGGTTGAACTAGTTTACAGTCCCACCAACAGTGTAAAAGTGTTCCTATTTCTACACATCCTCTCCAGCATCTGTTGTTTCCTAACTTTTTAATGATCGCCATTCTAACTGGTGTGAGATGGTATCTCATTGTGGTTTTGATTTGCATTTCTCTGATGGCCAGGGATGATGAGCATTTTTTCATGTGTTTTTTGGCTGCATAAATGTCTTCTTTTGAGACATGTCTGTTCATATCCTTTGCCAACTTTTTGATGGGGTTGTTTTTTTCTTGTAAATTTGTTTGAGTTCATTGTAGATTCTGGATGTTAGCCCTTTGGCAGATGAGTAGGTTGCGAAAATTTTCACCCATTTTGTAGGTTGCCTGTTCACTCTGATGGTAGTTTCTTTTGCTGTGCAGAAGCTCTTTAGTTTAATTAGATTCCATTTGTCAATTGTGGCTTTTGTTGCCACCGCTTTTGGTGTTTTAGACATGAAGTCCTTGCCCATGCCCATGTCCTGAATGGTATTGCCTAGGTTTTCTTCTAGGGTTTTTATGGTTTTAGGTCTTACATGTAAGTCTTTAATCCATCGTGAATTAGTTTTTGTATAAGGTGTAAGGAAAGGATCCAGTTTCAGCTTTCTACATATGGCTAGCCAGTTTTCCCAGCACCCTTTATTAAATAGGGAATCCTTTCCCCATTGCTTGTTTTTCTCAGGTTTGTCAAAGATCAGATAGTTGTAGATATGCGTCATTATTTCTGAGGGCTCTGTTCTGTTCCATTGATCTATATCTCTGTTTTGGTAACAGTACCATGCTGTTTTGGTTACTGTAGCCTTGTAGTATAGTTTGAAGTCAGGTAGCGTGGTGCCTCCGGGTTTGTTCTTTTGGCTTAGGATTGACTTGGCGATGCGGGCTCTTTTTTGGTTCCATATGAACTTTAAAGTAGTTTTTTCCAATTCTATGAAGAAAGTCATTAGCAGCTTGATGGGGGTGGCATTGAATCTGTAAATTACTTTGGGCAGTATGGCCATTTTCACGATATTGATTCTTCCTACCCATGAGCATGGAATGTTCTTCCATTTGTTTGTATCCTCTTTTATTTCCTTGAGCAGTGGTTTATAGTTCTCCTTGAAGAGGTCCTTCACATCCCTTGTAAGTTGGATTCCTAGGTATTTTATTCTCTTTGAAGCAATGGTGAATGGGAGTTCACTCATGATTTGGCTGTTTGTCTGTTATTGGTGTATAAGAATTCTTGTGATTTTTGTACATTGATTTTGTATCCTGAGACTGCTGGAGTTGCTTAACAGCTCAAGGAGATTTTGGGCTGAGATGATGGGGTTTTCTAGATATACAATCATGTCATCTGCAAACAGGGACAATTTGACTTCCTCTTTCCCTAACTGAATACCCTTTATTTCCTTCTCCTGCCTAATTGCCCTGGCCAGAACTTCCAACACTATGTTGAATAGGAGTGGTGAGAGAGGGCATCCCTGTCTTGTGCCAGTTTTCAAAGGGAATGTTCCCAGTTTTTGCCCATTCAGTATGATATTGGCTGTGGGTTTGTCATAGATAGCTCTTATTATTTTAAGATACGTCCCATCAATACCTAATCTATTGAGACTTTTTAGCATGAAGCGTTGTTGAATTTTATCAAAGTCTTTTTCTGCATCTATTGAGATAATCATACGGTATTTGTCTTTGGTTCTGTTTATATGCTGAATTACATTTATTGATTTGCGTATGTTGAACCAGCCTTGCATCCCAGGGATGAAGCCCACTTGATCATGGTGGATAAGCTTTTTGATGTGCTGCTGGATTCGGTTTGCCAGTATTTTATTGAGGATTTCTGCATCAATGTTCATCAAGGATATTGGTCTAAAATTCTCTTTTTTGGTTGTGTCTCTGCCCGGCTTTGGTATCAGGATGATGCTGGCCTCATAAAATGAGTTAGGGAGGATTCCCTCTTTTTCTATTGATTGGAATAGTTTCAGAAGGAATGGTAGTACCCGTTCCTCCTTGTACCTCTGGTAGAATTCGGCTGTGAATCCATCTGGTCATGGACTCTCTTTGGTTGGTAAGCTATTGATTATTGCCACAATTTCAGAGGCTGTTATTGGTCTATTCAGAGTCAACTTCTTCCTGGTTTACTCTTGGGAGGGTGTATGTGTCTACGAATTTATCCATTTCTTCTAGATTTTCTAGTTTATTTGCGTAGAGGTGTTTGTAGTATTCTCTGATGGTAGTTTGTATTTCTGTGTGATCGGTGGTGATATCCCCTTTATCATTTTTTATTGCATCTATCTGATTCTTCTCTCTTTTCTTCTTTATTAATGTTGCTAGCGGTCTATCAATTTTGTTGATCTTTTCAAAAAACCAGCTCCTGGATTCATTGATTTTTTGAAGGGTTTTTTGTGTCTCTATTTCCTTCAGTTCTGCTCTGATTTTAGTTATTTCTTGCCTTCTGCTAGCTTTTGAATGTGTTTGCTCTTGCTTTTCCAGTTCTTTTAATTGTGATGTTAGGGTGTCAATTTTGCATCTTTCCTGCTTTGTCTTGTGGGCATTCAGTGCTATAAATTTCCCTCTACACACTGCTTTGAATATGTCCCAGAGATTCTGGTATGTTGTGTCTTTGTTCTCGTTGGTTTCAAAGAACATCTTTATTTCTGCCTTCATTTCATTATGTACTCAGTAGTCATTCAGGAGCAGGTTGTTCAGTTTCCATGTAGTTGAGTGGTTTTGAGTGAGTTTCTTAATCCTGAGTTCTAGTTTGATTGCACTGTGGTCTGAGAGACAGTTTGTTATAATTTCTGTTCTTTTACATTTGCTGAGGAGTGCTTTACTTCCAACTATGTGGTCACTTTCGGAATAAGTGTGGTGTGGTGCTTAAAAGAATGTATATTCTGTTGATTTGGGGTGGAGAGTTCTGTAGATGTCTATTAGGTCTGCTTGGTGCAGAGCTGAGTTCAATTCCTGGGTATCCTTGTTAACTTTCTGTCTCGTTAATCTGTCTAATGTTGACAGTGGGGTGTTAAAGTCTCCCATTATTATTGTGTGGGAGTCTAAGTCTCTTTGTAGGTCACTCAGGACTTGCTTTATGAATCTGCATGCTCCTGTATTTGGTGCATATATATTTAGGATAGTTAACTCTTCTTGTTGAATTGATCCCTTTACCATTATGTAATGGCCTTCTTTGTCTCTTTTGATCTTTGTTGGTTTAAAGTCTGTTTTATCAGAGACTAGGATTGCAACCCCTGCCTTTTTTTGTTTTCCATTTGCTTGGTAGATCTTCCTCCATCCCTTTATTTTGAGCCTATGTGTGTCTCTGCACATGAGATGGGTCTCCTGAGTACAGCACACTGATGGGTCTTGACTCTTTATCCAATTTGCCAGTCTGTGTCTTTTAATTGGAGCATTTAGTCCATTTACATTTAAAGTTAATATTGTTATGTGTGAATTTGATCCTGTCATCTTGATGTTATCTGGTTATTTTGCTCATTAGTTCATGCAGTTTCTTCCAGCCTTCATGATCTTTATAATTTGGCATGTTTTTGCAGTGGCTGATACCAGTTGTTCCTTTCCATGTTTAGTGCTTCCTTCAGGAGCTCTTTTAGGGCAGGCGTGGTGGTGACAAAATCTCTCAGCATTTGCTTGTCTGTATAGTATTTTATTTCTCCTTCACTTATGAAGCTTAGTTTGGCTGGATATGAAATTCTGGGTTGAAAATTCTTTTCTTTAAGAATGTTGAATATTGGCCCCCACTCTCTCCTGGCTTGTAGAGTTTCTGCCAAGAGATCAGCTGTTAGTCTGATGGGCTTCCCTCTGTGGGTAACCCGACCTTTCTCTCTGGGTGCCCTTAACATTTTGCCTTCATTTAAACTTTGGTGAATCTGACAATTATGTGTCTTGGAGTTGCTCTTCTCGAGGAGTATCTTTGTGGCGTTCTCTGTATTTCCTGAATCTGAATGTTGGTCTGCCTTGCTAGATTGGGGAATTTCTCCTGGATAATATCCTGCAGAGTGTTTTTCAACTTGGTTTCATTCTCCCCGTCACTTTCAGGTACACCAATCAGACGTAGATTTGGTCTTTTCACATAGTCCCACATTTCTTGGAGACTTTGTTCGTTTCTTTTTATTCTTTTTCCTCTAAACTCCCCTTCTCGCTTCATTTCATTCATTTCATCTTCCATCACTGATACCCTTTCTTCCAGTTGATCACATCGGCTCCTGAGGCTTCTGCATTCTTCACGTAGTTCTCGAGCCTTGGCTTTCAGCTCCATTAGCTCCTTTAAGCACTTCTCTGCATTGGTTATTCTAGTTATACATTTGTCTAATTTTTTTTCAAAGTTGTTAACTTCTTTGCCATTGGTTTGAATTTCCTCCTGTAGCTCGGAGTAGTTTGATCGTCCGAAGACTTCTTCTCTCAACTCGTCAACATCATTCTCCGTCCAGCTTTGTTCCACTGCTGGTGAGGAACTGCATTCCTTTGGAGAAGGAGAGGCGTGCTGTTTTTTAGATTTCCAGTTTTTCTGCTCTGTTTTTTCCCCATCTTTGTGGTTTTATCTACTTTTGGTCTTTGATGATGGTGATGTACAGATGGGTTTTTGGTGTGGATGTCCTTTCTGTTTGTTAGTTTTCCTTCTGACAGACAGGACCCTCAGCTGCAGGTCTGTTGGAGTTTGCTAGAGGTCCACTCCACACTGTTTGCCTGGGTATCAGCAGTGGTGGCTGCAGAACAGCGGATTTTCGTGAACCGCGAATGCTGCTGCCTGATCGGTCCTCTGGAAGTTTTGTCTCAGAGGAGTACCCGGCCGTGTGAGGTGTCAGTCTGCCCCTACTGGGAGGTGCCTCCCAGTTAGGCTGCTCGGGTGTCAGGGACCCACTTAAGGAGGCAGTCTGCCAGTTCTCAGATCTCCAGCTGCGTGCTGGGAGAACCACTACCCTCTTCAAAGCTGTCAGACAGGGACATTTAAGTCTGCTGTCTTTTTGTTTGTCTGTGCCCTGCCCCCAGAGGTGGAGCCTACAGAGGCAGGCAGGCCTCCTTGAGCTGTGGTGGGCTCCACCCAGTTCGAGCTTCCTGGCTCCTTTGTTTACCTAAGCAAGCCTGGGCAATGGTAGGTGCCCCTCCCCCAGCCTGGCTGCCGCCTTGCAGTTTGATCTCAGACTGCTGTGCTAGCAATCAGCGAGACTCCGTGGGCGTAGGACCCTCCGAGCCATGTGTGGGATATAATCTCCTGGTGTGCCGTTTTTTAAGCCCGTCGGAAAAGCGCAGTAGTGGGGTGGGAGTGATTGGATTTTCCAGGTGCCGTCTGTCACCCCTTTCTTTGATTAGGAAAGGGAACTCCCTGACCCCTTGCACTTCCCGAGTGAGGCAATGCCTCGTCCTGCTTTGGCTTGCGCATGGTGCACTGCACCCACTGTCCTGCACCCACTGTCTGGCACTCTCTAGTGAGATGAACCCGGTACCTCAGATGGAAATGCAGAAATCACCCATTTTCTGCGTCGCTCACGCTGGGAGCTGTAGACCGGAGCTCCTCCTATTCGGCCATCTTGGCTCCACCCTCAAAAGGAAACTTCATATACTAAATTCATGTGATTAATGACATGCTCTTCAAATCTATGATATGCAGAGTTTTTATACCACACGTATGAAATAAGATTCCTGAAAAGTTGCTTACACAGTAAGTTGACAAATCATATTATTGGCCATAAAAATGTTACATTTACAAAAACCTCAAGGTCAAATTAGTGTGGGTGAGAATTAACTACTACAAATAATGGGAACTAGAAAATTCAGTTACTCAACAAATATTTGTTGTTAGCCTACATAGTGCCTAGTATCACACACTATTCTCTAAAGTTTCTCTTCTGTCATAGGGCAGAAGAGTTCAGAAATAAATACAAATAATTCAAATGGAATTAGCTGAGAAGTAGTTGAGAATAAGGACCATAGGACAGAAGCACAGTGCAGGTACAACTTGCAGGATGGCCAGAGGAAAGTATGGTTCTGAAAGGGGAAAAAGTAGATATGGGTAACTGAAATCACTTTCTCAATCTTGCCAAGAACATTCCTTAGTGAATCTTACATCAAGTAAAAGATCAATTCCTATCTTATCTGATTTAAACATTCATATGTGCACTATCTGATTTGGTTTAAGTAAGATGTACTTTTTTTACACTGAAGCTGAATTTGAAAGATATTCTAAAATAATACAATAAGAAAATAATTCCCAAATATATCAGATCTTGAGGGGAACCCCTCCCCTCTTAGACCACTGTTCTATTCACTTACATATAGAAAACTTTTTAAATCCTCACAACAACCTTATAAGGTAGACGTTTTTATTATCTGTACTTTATTGGTAAGAAAATAAAAGCAAAATCAAACAGCTGTTAAGCAGTGGGGGTTCCAGACCAATTATATATGAGGGATCTATGGCAGAAACAAATTGCAAACTCTCATAGCCCAAGCCTAACAGGATTTCTACAAGGAAAGTCCCACAAAGGATGGGCTCACGATATGATTTACCAATAATCCAATATACACAGCTAAGGAACAAACTGACAAACTTTCTGAGAAAGAAAGAAAACATTCCCAACTAAAGTTATAATGTGATCACAACAATGCTACCAAATCATTCAAGGACAGTACAAGAAAGGATAATTATAGGCCACCCTCAATTGTGGCCATATATGGAAAAATTATAACTAAAATATTTTAATTCAGGAATGTTAAAGAATAAGCTAGAAGAACACAACATGACAAGGCAGTTTATTCAAATAATACAAGGATGGATTATCATTAGAAAATTTATCAATTCACCATAAAAAAAATTATCATCTCAACAGGTGCTGGAAACAGCATTTGGTAATATTCAATATCCATTCATTGAATATGTATCTATATAGATAGATAGATAGATAGATAGATAGATAGATAGATAGATAGATATTCAAACAAGGAATTTCAAGGGAACTTCCTTAACTTGCTAAATGATAGCTAACAAAACCTTACTGCAAATAATATTTATTTTTTATTTACTGCATATAATATTTATATGTGTGGAAATTTATAGATGATCCTATCAAAGACAAGAATACACACTACATTAGTCTACACTACAGCATGTTAGGCAATACTGCAGTAGCAAATTAAGTTTGAAATCAGTGGCTGGACATCATAAACGTTCATTTTTCCTCCACTATATGGTAACACAGTTTAGCAAGAGAAATTATACAAAACTGCCCAAGGACTTATGCTGATAAAACATGCTAAACAAATTATAACTGTACTATCTAGAACCTGAAGCTTCATTGTCACTGTAACAAGAGTGTTTGCATTAGTCCATTTTCATGCTGCTGATAAAGACACACACGAGACTGGGAAGAAAATGAGGTTTAATTAGACTTACAGTTCCATATAGCTGGGGAGGTTTCGCAATCATGGCTGAGGGTGAAAGGCACTTCTTACAGGGTGGTGGCAAGAGAGAATGAGGAAGAAGCAAAAGCAGAAACCCCTGATAAACCCAACAGATCTCATGACACTTATTTACTATCATGAGAGCAGCATGGGAAAGACAGGCCCCCATGATTCAATTTCCTTCCCCTAGGTCCCTCCTACAACATGTGGGAATTCTGGGAGATACAATTCAAGTTAAGATTTGGATGGGAACACAGCCAAACCATATCATTCCACCCCTGGCACCTCCAAATATCATGTCCTCACATTTCAAAACCAATCATGCCTTCCCAACAGTCCCCCAAAGTCCGAACTCATTTTAGCATTAACCCAAAAGTCCACAGTCCAAAGTCTCATCTGAGACAAGGCAAGTCCCTTCTGCCTATGAGCCTGTAAAACCAAGAACAAGCTAGTTACTGCCTAGACACAATGGGGGTACAGGTATTGGGTAAATACAGCTGTTCTAAATGAGAGAAACTGGCCAAAACAAAGGGGTTACAGGGCCCATGTAAGTCTGAAATCCAGTGGAGCAGTCAAAGCTTAAAGCTCCAAAATGATCTCCTTTGACTCCATATCTCACATCCAGCTCACACTGATGCAAGATGTGGGTTCCCATGGTGTTAGGCAGCTCCACCCCTGTGGTTTTGCAGGATATAGTCTCTCTCCTGCTGCTTTCACGGGCTGGCATTGTGTCTGTGGCTTTTGCAGGCGCATGGTGCAAGCTGTCAGTAGATCTACCATTCTGGGATCTGGAGGATGGTGGCCCTCTTTTCACACTCCACCAGGCAGTGCCCCAGTAGGGACTCTGTGTGGGGGCTCCTCTGCACTGCCTTAGCACAAGTTCTCCATGAGGGCTCCGCCCCTGCAGCAAATTTCTGCCTGGGCATCCAGGAGTTTCCATACATCTTCTGAAAACTAGGCAGAGGTTCCCAAACCTCAATTCTTGACTTCTGTGCACTCACAGGCTCAACACCACATGGACGCTGCCAAGGCTTGGGGCTTCCACCCTCTGAAGCCAGAGCCCAACCTGTAAATTGGCCCCTTTAGCCATGGCTTTAGTGGCTGAGACACAGGGCACCAAGTCCCTAGACTGCACACAGCACAGGGACCCTGGGCCCAGTCCATGAAATCACTTTTTCCCACTGGACCTCTCGGCCTGTGATTGGGAGGGGCTGCCATGAAGGTCTCTGACATGACCTGGAGACATTTTCCCTGTGGTCTTGGGGATTAACACTAGGCTCCTTGCTACTTATGCAAATTTCTGCAGCTGGCTTGAATTTCTCCCCAAAAAACAGGTTTCTCTTTTCTATCGCATAGTCAGGCTACAAATTTTCCAAACTTTTATGCTCTGCTTCCCTTATAAAACAGAATGCCTTTAATAGCACCCAAGTCACCTCTTGAATGCTTTGCTGCTTAGAAGTTTATTCTGCCAGATACCTTAAATCATCTTTCTCAAGTTCAAAGTTCCACAAATCTCTAGGGCAGGGGCAAAATGCCGCCACTCTCTTTACAAGAGTCACCTTTATTCCAGTTCCCAAAAAGCTTCTCATCTCCATCTGAGACCACCTCAGTCTGGATTTTATTGCCCATATCGCTATCAGAATTTTTGCCAAAGCCATTCAACAAGTCACTAGGAAGTTCCAAACTTTCCCACATTTTCCTGTCTTCTTCTGAGCCTTCCAAACTGTTCCAACCTCTGCCTGTTACCCAGTTCCAAAGTCGCTTCCACATTTCCGGGTATCTTTTCAGCAACGCCCCACTCTACTGGTAACAATTTACTGTATTAATCTGTTTTCCACTGCTGATAAAGACATACACAAGACTGGGAAGAAAAGGAAGTTTGACTTACAGTTCCACATGGCTGGAGAGGTTTCACTTTCATGGCTGAGGGCAAAAGGCACTTCTTACATGGCGGCAGCAAGAGAGAATGAGGAAGAAGCAAAAGCAGAAACCCCTGATAAACCCCTCAGATCTCTTGACACTTACTTACTATTAGGAGAATAGCATGGGAAAGACCGGTCCCCATGATTCAATTACTTCCCCCTGGGTCCTTCCCACAACATAGGGGAATTCTGGGAGATACAATTCAAGTTGAAGTTTGGGTGGGGACACAGCCAAACATATCAATGTTTATATTAACTCTCTTATGCTTTGCTCTGGAACTGATCCACATAATTTCCATGCACAGTCTATTGGCTAGAACTAGGCCCCATCTACCTGCAATTAGGCTTAGAAGTATGGGAAAGTGTGTGTATAGCCGATAAGTAAGAAATGTCTCTGCCACATTCACTATTGCCACTTTTATTTGCAGTATTGAAGATCCTGGTAAGCTGAGACAAATATTATGAAAGGCAAAAATAAAATTCTTTATATGTAGATGATAAGTTTACCTCTATAAAAAAATCCAAGAACATCTATTACAAGATTATCATGCAAAAATCAATTCCAAACCTATACATCAGTAAAACAACAAAAATGTAATTTTATAAAAAAAAAAAAGAAGTCCATTCACAATAGGAACAAGCCATAAAGTTTCTAGGAATATGTCTAATAAACAATGTACAACACACTAATGGAAAAACATATAACTTTGGTGAGACATGAGAACTGAGACCATTTGCATTCATATGGCTTAACTATCAGAACAAAGAACTAAGACCTACCTACTACAACATGACATTCTCATGAGTTCCTCAATTCTTGCCCAGGAAAATAAAGCTATAAACCAGTAAATAACTTGGTTATTTTCTTCAAGACCTTCCCATAAATCATTTACCTGAGCAACAGACTGCTCAATCATCAATCACCTACCTTTTCCAAACAACAGATTCTGAATCCTGGCAAACAGTTCCCTTCTTATGACAATAGATCACTCAACTGAACAAATTCCTTCCTTATCAAAATAGTGTTTACTTGTCAAGACTTTCTTTAAGACTCATGCCTTAATTCCATTAATCCTAAACTTTTATATCACAAACTTTGCCTACTAGAATCCCACACTGAAAGCTCTCTTAAAACACTCAAGCCTAGTTCCCAAAACCATATAAATATCAGCCATTAACCTGCCTCTTTCAGAGACAACACTAAGACTGTCAAGGTAGTGCTCTCCCATACTGTATTATGTCATAAACTCAGCTTTGCATATCAACAGGTTATTCAGTTACTGTGATGTACTTCTGACCAGATGGCAGCTGACAATCCTAGAAGTCCAATAAGATCAAATAGGCCCTTTTGCTGCCACAGCTAAGATCTTCAACTTAGAAATACCAAATTCCTCTGTGACTTCTTTTAGCCTCTCTCTTCAGGGATCTCTCTGGCTATAATGGTGAACTGGGTCTTGGTACTGAGTCTCAGCTCCAATTTCCTTTGGTTAAGCTCTCAATCACTGAGTTTCCCTGTCTTTCAGAAATGCAGAAGACTTTCAGTAATCTATTAATTGCAAATTTGTATGCCAGGGAGAAATCTGTCTCATTACTAACAATACTAATATGTATCTCTTTGTCTTTGTCACTTTTTGAGGGGAGTCTATAAAAGAAAGTTCCTAGAGAAGTGAACAGATAAAAGCCACTAACCCATTTTTGAGCCAGGCCCAAAGACTCACAGGTTCAGTTGTTCTCATTGTACCAACATCCTTATAATAAAATCTTTGCCCTGGGTCACTTGTCAAAATATCATGAAAACGTTCCTCTGTTTTGTTTTGTATTTTTTTTTAATTGTTTTCTTCATGAGAGAAATTTCCTCTGGGAGAGACTGCCTCCAAATCTCCCATGTTTCTAGAATTGCAAATCTGTCCAGTCTTCAATTTGAAATAAGCAACTATTAAAATGAGGGCAAAGACAAAATGCACACAAGTAATATATTTGACCAACACCGCCAGACTCATGGATTTATTTCAGTCTAGGTCCATGCCCCTTCCAAGTTATATTCAAGCTTCCTACATGTATACATACTAGAACTTTAAATTATACACTTATTTTTCTAAACAGCATGATTTCACCAAGGATATTTTAGACTTGCAATGGCAACTTTGGATAATTTTTTATATAAATAAAACTGTTTGAAAGGTACCTTAAAATGGAAAGAAGCAAAATCTCATACATCCAATGGTCTATATTTCCTAATTGCTATGACAAAATTTATTTTTTAATCCAGATTCTAAAAATTCCTTCCTTAAAAGATTTGCTAGCCAAGGCAAATTAAAAATATAAAATGTTAAAACCATTTGCCTTTCAGATGCCTTCACATTCTAATTTGAAAGATACAGCATTTATCCCACTATTCCTTATCTCCTGTGTTATGTTCCTCCATCACCCTCAGGCCTCTATCCTTCCTCTTGCCTGCTTTCCTTTCCATCTGACCTGCTAGAAACAAAAGTTCAGTAACTTCTTAAAGGTAAATCCCCTTCAGAATGGGACAAGTGTCATGTGGTTGAGTTTTAAGCACTGGTCTGTTGATTTTTAAGCTTCTGGGATGAAAACCACTGCCAAAGACTCTCCAAAGCCTAAACAAGATAAACAGGAATTTGCAGAAAAATTTAGAGTTCTGTGAACTCCAACCTAGCCCTTGTACATTTTCCTATTTCAATAAATGGTATCATCAAACACTGAGTTGTGAAAATCAGAAATCTAACAATTTTTCTTAAGATTGCAGAGCTAAGTTCCTTTCAATGCCTTCCTGGCTATTTTTGCCTAGCTCCTGGAATTTAAAAAAAAAAAAAGCCTAGAGGTATTTTTACTGGGATCTTGCTAATTTTTAAATTACTCTAGGTAGAGAACATCTTCAAAACATCAAATTTTTCTCTATGAGAACACATTCAGTCATGTGTTCTCATTGTTAAGTATGCATTGCTTAACAATGGCGATACCTTCTGAGAAATACGTCATTAGGCGATTTTGTCACCATGCAAACATCATAGAGTGTACTTACATAAATCTAGATGGTATAGTCTACAACATACCTAGGCTATAATGGTATAGCCTATTGTACCTAGGCTACAAACCTGTACAACTTGTTACTGTACTGAATGCTGTAAGCAATTTTAACAGAATGATAAGGATTTGTATATCAGACCTAAACATAGAAAAAGTACAACAAAAATAGACATTATAATCTTACAAAACGACTGCCATATTTGTGGTCCATCGCTGACCAAAACATCATCACACACCACTTCTTTTCATTTTTCAGGTCTACTTTTCCAGCATTAATTCTAAATATCTGTCTAATATCTCTACGGCTATCACCCTCCATTACTACCACCCCAATCTAACCTATCACTTCTCACCTTGACTATTCAATGGCCTACTAACTTGGCTACCAGCATCCACTCTTTTCTCAGTCCATTCATTTTCCATACTGCAATTCAGAGTGATATTTTCAAAGTATAAATCTCGCCATGTCACCTTGCTATTTAAAATCATTTCATTTGCTCCCATTGTACTTAGGATAATTACCAAAATCTCCAATATGTCCTAAAAGATTTAATCCCTACCTGCTTCTACAGGCTCAATTTACACCATGTACCTATTCATGTCTTTACTTCCAGCAACACCAATATTTTAGTTGCTTAGCCACTGAACCTTAATGAATGCTATTTTCCCTTTTCTATTGCAGATGCTCTTCCCTCCCCTTTTCATAGCGTAAACTCCTATTCATCTTCAAAGCTCAACATCCTCAAAATACCTTTTCCATTCTCCTCAACCAGGTCAAACCATCTCAGTACATAATGTCAAAGCATTATGTATGTCCTCCATGATATGTATCACAGTTCCAAGTACATATGAATGTTTGTGATTTTCTTAGTATGTCTTCTTCCTTCACTACCATGAAATACCCATGAGTGCAGAGACGATTTCTAGTTTTGCTAATTTTCTATTTCTAGCATAATAGTGTCAGTCACATAATCTTTTTTAAAGAGATAAAGAGATATTAGCAGGGGAACGGAACAGAGTATTATAGGTGTAATAGAAATTGCTGGCTGCCCACAATTCAGCTTTCCCTCTTCCAGAGTAAAATTGTTGCTAAGAAGCAACCTTTACATCTAGGTAAGAGAATGTGATTAGTTATTGGCAATAGAAAGTAGGCAAGAATGGTGTGTCAATCCCAGGCCCAGGCATTTAAGAAACAGATTTGGCTTCTCCATATTTTCCATCATCTTCCACCATGTGAAGAAGACACCAAGGCCTCAGGGTGAGCCAAAGCCGTAAGATGGGTCACAGCATGGAGAAAATAGCATACAGATCGAAAGTATCCTCAATTTAACTGTTATGTAATTAAAAACTAAATTTCTATTATATTAAGTTTCCAACAGTTGGAGGCTTACTGGTATATCAAATAGCATTACCCCAATGAGTTTACCAGTTGTTATCTTAATGTACTAGCCTTATCAGAAATCAATATATGCACTGGCTTATCAGTTGGGGGCAGGCAGCATGGGGAACAGCTATTTTTGAATAGAAAATTTAAGATGTCTGTAATGCAGTGGCAAAATATTTAATAAAACTATAGCCTACAATAGCTTGAAAGGCAGATCACATGGTTTCCAAGCTTATATCTCTAGGGAAATAAATTGGAAGAACAGTACTTTGTGCTGGCTTTTATTTGTATTTAGCTAAGTGTATTAGTCTGTTTTCTCACTGCTGATAAAGACATACACAAGACTGGGAAGAAAAAGAGGTTTAATTGGACTTACAGTTCCACACGGCTGGGGAGGCCTCAGAATCATGGTGGGAGGTGAAAGGCACTTCTTACATGATGGTGGAAAGAGAAAAATGAGGAAGAAGCAAAAGCGGAAAGCCCTGATAAACCCATCAGATCTCATGAGACTTATTCACTGTCATGAGAATAACATGGGAAAGATAGACGCTTACAGTTCAATCATCTCCCCCTGGGTACCTCCCACAACATGTGGGAATTCTGGGAGATGCAATTCAATTTGAGATTTGGCTGGGGACACAGCCAAACCATATCACAAGGGATTTCAAGCAAGTGGTAAGCTCATATGGAATCAACCTAATTGCCTATCAATTGATAAATGGATAAAGAAAATGTAGTATATGCACACACATACAATGGTATACTATTCAGCCTTTAAAAAGAATAAAGTCGTGTCATTTATTATACAACAACATAAACCTGGAAGACATAATGTTAAGTTAAATAAGATAGGCACAGAAAGACAAATGTCACATGATTATGCTTACATGTTACATTAGTCTGTTTTCACACTGCTATAAAGACATACCCAAGACTGGTAATTTTTAAAGAAAAGAGGTTTAATTGACTCACAGTTCTGCATGGTTGGGGAGGTCTCAGGAAACTTACAATCATGGCAGAAGGAGAAACAGGCACATCTTACATGGTGGCAGGCAAGAGAGAGCAAGCAACAGTGGGGAAAACTGCTTATCAAACCATCAGAACTCGTGAGAACTCACTATCATGAAACAGCAAGGGGGAAATTGCCTTCATGATCCAGTCACCTCTCTCTCTCGACAGGTGGGAATTGTCCATCTCTTGACACGTGGGGATTACAATTCGAGATGAGATTTGGGTGGGGACACAGAGCCAAACAATATCACATGTAGAATCTAAAAAAGTCAAACTCATAGAAGCAGAAAACAGAATGGTGGTTGCCAGGGGGACATTGGGGTATGGTGGGCAGAATGCAGAGATGTTGGTCAAAGGGTACAAAGTTTCAAGTAGACAGGATGAAAAAATTCTGGAGATCTATTTTACAGCATGATGACTATAACTAATGATATATCATATACTTGAAAATTGCTAAGACAGATTTGTCTTAGCAGAGAAAATCAGTTGTTACATTCAGTAATACCTTATATGGTAGTATTTCCAAACTTCAGTCATTCACAGAGCACCCTCATAATCTTTGCAGTATTTGCATATATCTTATGCTCTTTTCCTTAAAGCCACTTTCTCTTCTTTATTTATTTATCATGGTGACATAATAAATGAAAATCCAGTATCATACGCTTTACATGCATGATAGCCTTTAAAAATACAATGGAAATAAAACTCACCATGATAAATGAAATTGCAGTATCATATGCTTTACGTGTATGATAGCCTTAAAAAATTGTGAAAATAAAACTCACCACAACAAATAAGTATGTGAAGTAATAGATACATTAAGTAGCTTAATTTAATCATTCCACAACATATACATATATGAAAACATCATGTTGTACCATAAGTACATAAAACTTTTGTCAATTATACCTTAATAAAGCTGGAGAAAAAAGAAAAAGTGAGAATCTCGGGAAAGAATTCTCTTGCCTATGCAAAGTACATTCATTCAAAGAACTCATGCAAGGTCCTACTTTTCTAGAAAATGTTCTGTGAGCACTCCTGGCTTCATGGCTCTTTTCCATATAGAAGTCCTAAAGTGTTCTATTACTTGAATATTTATTAACTAACTACTATGTACCTACATGAAAATAATCCTTTTTTATTTTCATGTTCAATGCTGCAGATATATTTATATGACAATCTACCTCTTGAATACAAAAATAATCCTGTGAACTTACCACCTACTATCCCCTAAGGGAAGCCCTGATATTAAGGAATCCAGCGATGAGAGTGGAAAGGAATTAAAGGGGTTGAAATGCAGTTTTTGGTGGAATTCATTTGGAAAAGAGGGCTCTTAATACCTGACTTTAAATGGACCAGCCAACTTATAGCAGGATTATAGCCACCTTAGGATAAAGATTAGTACTTGCTCTTCATTCTATATTTGTATAGATTTGGTTTACTTGTTTTCCCTTAATAGTCCACTCACATAATATGCATATGTTAGGAATTCCTACTATATGTCAGATAATATGCTAGGTACTACCAATTATTATCAATAAGCAAGATCAATAGGTCCTTGCCATACTGTGTACATTTGTGTGTAGAACAAATACCAATGTGCATGTGTATGTGTTTGCATAAATTTTAAATGTTAGGATGAGACTGGACTAAGTTAATTATTCCAGGCCTCCTCTCCTCTAGTGAGGGCCTTAAAAAAGGAACAACTCTATATATAAACACTATACAGCAGCAGTCCCCAACCTTTTCAGTACCAGGAACCAGTTTTGTGGAAGACAATTTTTCCACGAACTGGTGGGGGGCGGGGAGGATGTCTGGTTTCAGAATGAAACTGTTCCACCTCAGATCATCAGGCATTAGTTAGATTCTCACAAGGAGCACACAACCTAGATCCCTCATATGCACAGCACAGTAGGGTTCGTGCTCCTATGAGAATCTAATGCTGCCACTGATCTGACAGGAGGTGGAGCTCAGGCCATAATGCTCACTCACCTGCCACTCACCTCCTGTGGTGTGGCCCAGTTCCTAACAGGCCACAGACAACTACTCGTCTGTGGCCTGGGTTGGGGACTCCTGCTATACAGGAAGAGCCCTATCTATATAAGTGTTATATTCATAGTCTATACTAGTGGCTCTCAGTTATGAATCCTTAGATAGATGGCAAAAGAGATGCATAAGAATCACCCAGAAACTTGGTAAAAATAGAAAATTCCAGTCTCCATACTCAGCAATTTCAATTTAGTAGGCTTAGAATAAATATTTATAAAGCTTCACCTAGATGATTCTGTCACTGGTAGATCTGTGTCCCTAAACAGTGCCTTGATTGATTATTTAATTGTGCTATACTTCTTTTATCATAGTTAAAGTATGGCAAAGTATTGTGGTATTCAGTACCAGTAGCACAAAATAGTTTAATAGTAGCACAAAATCGTTTAAGAAAATAAATAGTTTAAGTAAGTACATAAACAATGATATTTTAAGAAAAGCTATGGTTTTTCTTTTTTTTTTTTTTTATATGAATAGTTAAATTTTTTTTCTTTTTTTTTTTAATTAATTTATTTATTTTTTATTGATCATTCTTGGGTGTTTCTCGCAGAGGGGGATTTAGCAGGGTCATAGGACAATAGTGGAGGGAAGGTCAGCAGATAAACAAGTGAACAAAGGTCTCTGGTTTTCCTAGGCAGAGGACCCTGCGGCCTTGGCCTTCCGCAGTGTTTGTGTCCCTGGGTACTTAAGATTAGGGAGTGGTGATGACTCTTAACGAGCATGCTGCCTTCAAGCATCTGTTTAACAAAGCACATCTTGCACCGCCCTTAATCCATTTAACCCTGAGTGGACACAGCACATGTTTCAGAGAGCACAGGGTTGGGGATAAGGTCACAGATCAACAGGATCCCAAGGCAGAAGAATTTTTCTTAGTACAGAACAAAATGAAAAGTCTCCCATGTCTACTTCTATCCACACAGACCCGGCAACCATCCGATTTCTCAATTTTTTCCCCACCCTTCCCGCCTTTCTATTCCACAAAACCGCCATTGTCATCATGGCCCATCCCCAGTGAGCCGCTGGGCACACCTCCCAGACGGGGTCGTGGCCGGGCAGAGGGGCTCCTCACTTCCCAGTAGGGGCGGCCGGGCAGAAGCGCCCCTCACCTCCCGGATGGGGCGGCTGGCCGGGCGGGGGGCTGACCCCCCCACCACCCTCCCGGACGGGGCGGCTGGCCAGGCAGAGGGGCTCCTCACTTCCCAGTAGGGGCGGCCGGGCAGAGGCACCCCTCACCTCCTGGATAGGGCGGCTGGCTGGGCGGGGGGCTGTCCCCCCCACCTCCCTCCCGGACGGGGCGGCTGGCCGGGCAGAGGGGTCCTCACTTCCCAGTAGGGGCGGCCGGGCAGAGGCGCCCCTCACCTCCCGGACGGGGCGGCCGGCCGGAAGGGGGGCTGACCCCCCCCACCTCCCTCCCGGACGGGGCGGCTGGCCGACCCCCCCCCCCCCGCCTCCCTCCCGGACGGGGCGGCTGGCCGGGCAGAGGGGCTCCTCACTTTCCAGTAGGGGCGGCCGGGCAGAGGCGCCCCTCACCTCCCGGACGGGGCGACTGGCCAGGCGGGGGGCTGATCCCCCCACCTCCCTCCCGGACGGGGCGGCTGGCCAGGCGGGGGGCTGACCCCCCCCACCTCCCTCCCGGACGGGGCGGCTGGCCGGGCAGGGGGCTGACCCCCCCTCCCCCCTCCCGGACGGGGCGGCTGGCCGGGCGGGGGGCTGACCCCCCCACCTCCCTCCCGGATGGGGCGGCTGGCCAGGTGGGGGGATGACCCCCCCACCTCCCTCCCGGGCGGGGCGGCTGGCCGGGCAGAGGGGCTCCTCACTTCCCAGTAGGGGCGGCCGGGCAGAGGCGCCCCTCACCTCCCGGATGGGGCGGCTGGCCAGGCGGGGGGCTGATCCCCCCACCTCCCTCCCAGACGGGGCGGCTGGCCGGGCGGGGGGCTGACCCCCCACCTCCCTCCCGGACTGGGCGGCTGGCCGGGCGGGGGGCTGACCCCCCCACCTCCCTCCTGGACGGGGCGTCTGGCCGGGCAGAGGGGCTCCTCACTTCCCAGTAGGGGCGGCCGGGCAGAGGAGCCCCTCACCTCCCGGACGGGGCGGCTGGCCGGGCGGGGGGCTGACCCCCCCACCTCCCTCCCGGACGGGGCGGCTGGCCGACCGCCCCCCCGCCACCTCCCTCCCGGATGGGGCGGCTGGCCAGGCAGAGGGGCTCCTCACTTCCCAGTAGGGGCGGCCGGGCAGAGGAGCCCCTCACCTCCCGGACGGGGCGGCTGGCCGGCGGGGGGCTGACCCCCCCCACCTCCCTCCCGGACGGGGTGGCTGCTGGGCGGAGACGCTCCTCACTTCCCAGACGGGGTGGTTGCCGGACGGAGGGGCTCCTCACTTCTCAGACGGGGCGGTTGCCAGGCAGAGGGTTTCCTCACTTCTCAGACGGAGCGGCCGGGCAGAGACGCTCCCCACCTCCCAGACAGGGCTGCGGCCCAGCAGAGGCGCTCCTCACATCCCAGACAGGGCGGCGGGGCAGAGGTGCTCCCCACATCTCAGACGATGGGCGGCCGGGCAGAGACGCTCCTCACTTCCTAGATGGGATGGCGGCGGGGAAGAGGCGCTCCTCGCTTCCCAGATGGGATGGCGGCCAGGCAGAGACGCTCCTCACTTTCCAGACTGGGCAGCCAGGCAGAGGGGCTCCTCACATCCCAGACGATGGGTGGCCAAGCAGAGACGCTCCTCACTTCCCAGACGGGGTGGCGGCCGGGCAGAGGCTGCAATCTCGGCTCTCCGGGAGGCCAAGGCAGGCGGCTGGGAGGTGGTTGCAGCGAGCGGAGATCACGCCACTGCACTCCAGCCTGGGCACCATTGAGCACTGAGTGAACGAGACTCCATCTGCAATCCCGGCACCTCGGGAGGCCGAGGCTGGCGGATCACTCGTGGCTAGGAGCTGGAGACCAGCCCGGCCAACACAGCGAAACCCCGTCTCCACCAAAAAAAAACGAAAACCAGTCAGGCGTGGCGGTGCGCGCCTGCAATCGCAGGCACTCGGCAGGCTGAGGCAGGAGAATCAGGCAGGGAGGTTGCAGTGAGCCGAGATGGCAGCAGTACCGTCCAGCCTTGGCTCGGCATCAGAGGGAGACCGTGGAGGGACAGGGACAGGGACAGGGACAGGGAGAGGGAGAGGGAGAGGGAGAGGGAGAGGGAGAGGGAGAGGGAGAGGGAGAGGGAGAGGGAGAGGGAGAGGGGTTTTTCTTTTGTTTTCCCACATATAATAACACTTACTATCAAGATACTTTCACTTAGGGACAGAAAAGATAAGCTATGAGACAGTTCTTCTCAAAATGTAGGACATGGACTACAAGTGATAGAGCAAATAATAATGGTACCCAAAATGATTTTAGAAGATATACAGATTTTACATGGCACATGAACATACATGAAATAATTCTGAATCACCAGAAAAAATATATTTTCAATTCTCTTTCAATAAGAAATGCTCAGTTAGCTATTGGTATATCTTTTACACCTCTCTACCATTACTTCTCATTTTAAGAAACAGAGAGCATGTCTCAGAGCCTTTAGCAAAACAGTATCTAGCCAAAATTTAGAAACATTGCTTTATTTTCACTGTATTTTCAAGGCTGTCATACATGTAAAGCATGTGATACTGGATTTTCATTTATCACAGTGAGTAAACAAACAGAAAGAAAGTGAATTTAAGGAAAAGAGCATAAAATATATGCAAATACTACAAAAGTTATACATACATATGCCTGCAAAAATTATGAGGGTGCTCTATGAATGACTGAAATTTGGAAATAATACCATGTAAGGTATTACTGAATATAACAACTGATTTCTCTCTCTCATGCACACACATAAACATAGACTAACATATTCAATAATTAATACAAATGAATAACCAAAAGCCAAAAAATACTTGTAGAAAGACATTAAATGTACTGCCTGACAAAGTAACCAAAATAACATTATATGACAATTATTGTTTTTACATTTTTTACTAAATGAATTTGATAATCCCTATCTGATATACATATATATGAAATAGACTCATGTTGTTGTCTGAAAGCCAGAACAATTATTATTCTACAATTCATTCTACACACCTTATAATCCTTGGGTCGGCAGCAGCCAAGATGAGAATGATCTGAAAAAGGAAGTACAAAACAATTAAAGTTTAAATTTGGTTTCATCTTTGATTTTTAATACTATCATTGTTTCTACAATTATAATTCACTCAGAATATTTCAGAGATACTTCAAAATCCTTCAACAGTGTTACATCAGAAAGGATAATAATCCATTAGTTAAAATTTGTATTAGTTCTTCAGCAATTAAATGATTTCACAAATACTATTTTCATTTGAAAATAGCAGGAAATATCTGAATACAGAAAGGAGTAACTTTTAGTCGATAAACCAATTTGTGTCTATGAAATGAATAGGGTTTAGTTGATAATCAATTTATGATGAAACATAATTTGTATTCACAGATTTGACAGATATTGTCAAACTATATGTTTCCTATTCTTATACTCCATTCTAGATTCAGGTGTAAAGAAACAGGACCAGCTTTAGAGGGTGGTGGCATACAGTAGTTTATAGATCTTGTTGACAAATAAATCTGCATTATACATTCCAGGCCCAAGCACCTTGGGCATATAACTTAATCTCTCTAAGTCTCAGATTCCTAATATGTCTGATGTGCCTCTTTCATAATATTGTTTTAAAGATTATATAAGATCTTACACGTAAGGCACTAAAATAGAAATCAACTATTATTACTAATACCATCATCAACAACAACATCATTACTATCAAATGTAAACTCAAACAAGCAGGGGTTCAATTTCAAATTCTGCCACTTATTAAACATAGTATTCTGGTCCAACTATATAAAGACAATTGATCTGTTTCATGCCTCATTTTTAAGAGTATGAAAACAATGCCTACCTTATATCAGAGAGTCAGAGTGATGATAACATGATACACTTCGTGAAAATCCCCAGAAAAGTATCTATCACATAGTGGATTTTAAAACTAATTCTAAATTTATCCGTAAGATAATAACCACTACATTCTACATGTAGATTTGGAGCTTTACTCATTACTTAAAGGAATAAGCTTTCAAGAATCAACTTTTATTATAACAACTTATAATATCTGTTACACTGACAGAAAAGAAAATAAGAACCAGAGACAATCAGTTTGCAGCTTCAAGATAGTTGACTAGGGGCATTTTGTACTCCCTTCCTCCACTAAGAAAAACCAAAAGAGCAGATAGATAATCATACATTGAATAGATCAGCCAATAGAGAATACTGGAATTCAAAAGGAAATTGGCAGACAACACCTAAAGCAAGGAAGGAGAAGGAAGCAAGATGGCCTGTACAGTGAGGACTGGCACCCAAGAGATACTTCTCAATACACAGAAAGGGTAAGTGAGAGACTCTCAGCTGTCCACATTATCACCATGGATCCCTACGATACCAGGCCACTGAAGAGCTCCTGAACCCTCGTGAGCCCTGAAACTAACACAAGGAGCTGCCGGGAGATTGTACCATGCACTGCCCAAGAGAGAACACTTCCCCTGGGTCCTTCATGTTCCCTGACACTTAAGTAGCTATGGCAAGGCACCACTTTAGAACTCCCTCCCCTACAGACTGTGAGCTGTCCTGGAGCCCAGTGGCAGCAGGGCTGCCCCCAGGACTTAGAAACAAGCTGTCACAAGCTACTGGATGTAGGGCTGTATTAGTCCATTTTTACACTGCCGATAAAGACATACCTGAGAATGGGCAATTTACAAAAGAAAGCAGTTTAATTGGACTTACAGTTCCACGTAGCTGGGGAAGCCTCACAATCATGGCAGAAGGCAAGGAAGAGCAAGTCACGTCTTACATGGATGGCAGCAGGCAAAGAGAGAGAACTTGTGCAGGGGAACTCCTCTTTTTAAAATCATTAGATCTCGTGAGACTTACTCACTCTCATGAGAACAGCATGGGAAAGACTTGCCCCCATGATTCAATTGCCTCCCACCAGGCTCCTCCCACAACACATGGGAATTCAAGATGAGATTTGGGTGGGGGCACAGCCAAACCATATCAAGGGCAGAGACATGACTGAGCCTTTGGGACTGCAGCACAAACGAGATGCCATTCTGGAACCATTCCCCCAAAAGACTGTGCACTATCCTGAAGCCCAGCAGCACTGGGGCTGAGGCATAAGTGCCACTGGGCTGAGGTACGAGTGGTATACATGCTCCCCACCTGCCAGCTAGGGTGCCATCACAGATGGCAGCATCATCTCCAGCCCCAAGTAGCAGGGCAGAAGTACAGATACTACCTTCCACAATCCAAGCATCCCACCAGTGGCCTGGCGACCACTCTGCCCCTGCCTACCACAGCCAGCACTTGTTCACATCATCAGGGAGCCTGAGGCAAGCAAGACAGGCCTGACTCTGCCCCTCCTCCTCCCATGCCAGACCATATAGTTTGAGGGCCAGAAGACTGCCCAGCCCAGTCCACCACTACTGGCACCTGAACGCTCCTCCCCAGGGAATGAGATTGGGCCTACACTCATAGCCACTACCACCAGAGCTGGCATTTACCTGTATACAACACCTTCAAGCCTGGGGACTGGCACACCTAGACGATCTCAGCCACTGTCAAAAACAATGCACACCGCTTGGGACCCAGAGGGTCATCCTGCCACTGTCACGGTCATCACCCATGCCACACTGGCTACCCAGAGGCTTGAGAACCTGTCCATCTGCCTGGCCCATGATGGCTACTACCAGCATCTGAGTAGGCCAACTAGAGGCCCATGAATCAGTCCACCAGGACCAGCTAAAATTGCTGCCAGTGCACACCACTCTGGAGCCCAAGGACAGGCATGGTCAGCTCAATACTGCCACCACTGCGACCCAAAGACTAGACTACCTAGTGTCCCAGTCCTCAGCAAAACTAGAACACAGCCTCCACTAGTAATTGCACACTAAGCCAATGAGCAAGTCTCAGATACCACGGATGCTGCTTATAAACAAAAAAAAAATCACACAGAGACTACACCACTGCATGCACCCAGAAAAAGGCCAAAGTGCCCTACCCAACCAGTAATGAGGATTCATCTGCAGGAAAAAGTCCCCCCAAAACAAAAGCAAATTCAAAAAATTGGAACAAACAACTGATATAACAGATGTTCAGATATCAATGTAAGGACAAAGAAAAAATGAAAAGCAAGAAAATATGACACCTCCAAAGGAACAAAATAATCCTCCAGAAACAGATCCCAATCAAAAACAAAGTCATGAAATCTCAGAAAAAGAATTTAAATTATTGATTCTAAAGACACTCAGTGAGATACAAGGCATTCTGAAAAACAATATAAAAGAATCAGAAAAATAATGCAGGACGTGAATGAAACTTTTACGAAGGAGATATATATCACAAAAAAAAGAACCAAACAGAAATTCTGGAGATGAATTAATTGACTGAACTACAAAATACATTTGATTTTTTTTTTTTTTTGAGATAGGGTCTCACTCTGCCACCCAGGCTGGAGTGCAGTGGCACGATTTTGGCTCACTGCAACCTCCGCCTCCTGGGTTCAAGCGCTTCTCCTGCCTCAGTCTCCAGAGTAGCTGGGATTAGAGGCATGTGCCACCACACCCACCTAATTTTTATTTTTATTTTTTATTTTTTTTGAGACAGAGTTTCGCTCTTCTTGCCCAGGCTGGAGTACAATGGTGTGATCTTTGCTCATTGCAATCTCTGTCTCCTGGGTTCAAGCAGCTCTCCTTCCTCAGCCTCCCAAGTAGCTATTTTTAGTAGAGATGGGGTTTCACCATGTTGGCCAGGCTGGTCTCGAAGTCCTGGCCTCAAGTGATCTGCCTGCCTCGGCCTCCCAAAGTGCTGGGATTACAGGCATAAGCCATCGTGCCTGGCCTACAAAATACGTTTGAAAGCATCAACAATAGACTAAACCAAGCATAAGAACCAGATGTCAGAACTTGGAGATAGGTATTTTGAAATAACCCAGTCAGGCAAAAATAAGAAATAAAAAATGAACAAAACCTTTGTGATCTATGGGACACAATAAAGCGACCAAATATACAAATCATCTGTATCCCCAAAGGAAGAGAATATAAGAGTTCCAAAAACTATTTAATGAAATAATAAACAAAAATTTCTGAAGTCTATCAAGAGACTAGACATTCAGATGCAGGGGGACCAGTAATCCCTAAGCAGATACAATGCAAAAAGTCTTTCCCATGGAATATTATAGCCAAAATGTCTAAAGTCAATGACAAAAAAAGAATCCTGAACAAGAGAAAAGTGACTAATCACCTATAAAGAAACCCCCATTAGACTAACAGCAGATTCCTAAATAGAAACCTTACAGACCAGGAATGGGATGATAAATTCAAAATGCTGAAAGAAAAAAACCTGCCAGTCAAGGACACTCACTATTAATATATCCAGAAAAAAAATCCTTCATAAATTTAGGAAAAATAAAGTATTTCCCAGGTAAGTAAAAGCTAAGGGAATTCATCACCAGTAAGCCAGCCCTACAAGATGTGATCAAGGGAACTCTAAACCTGAAAGCAAAAGAATGACCTTTACCATCTTGAAAACACACGAAAATACAAAACTCAACAATAAAGCAAACACACAAATGAGAAAGAGAAAAGATTCACGGTACAACCACAGATAACCACCAAACCACAATGACAAACAATAAGAGAAAAAGAAAGGACCAAAGAATATAGAAAAACACCAGAAAATAACAATATGGCAGGAACAAAACCACACATACCAATAATAAACTTGAATGTAAAACTAAAAATACAACTACCACACAATCAGCAATCTCAGTACTGGGTATCCATCCAAAGGAAAGGAAATTAGTATATTGAAGAGATATTGCAGCACTATTCACAGTCGCCAAAACATGGAATCAACCTAACTGTTCATCAATAGATGAATGGATAAAGAAAATGTTGTGTATATACACAATGGAATAATAAAGTAATTAGGGCATAAAATTAATGATATCATGTCATTTGCAGCAACATGAATGGAACTGGGGGGTCATTATTTTAAGTGAAATAAATCAGGCATACAAAGACAAATATTGCATGTTCTCATATGTGGAAGCTAAAAATATTCTCTCATAGAAAGTAGAATAATCGATACTAGAGGCTGGGAAGGATGGGTTGGTAGGGGTGGACGATGAAGAGCGGTAGCTTAACAGGTACAAACATAAGATTAGAAAACAGGTATACTCTGTTGTCAAAGGAGAGCATAGTAACTATTGTTAACAACATTGTATTATATATTTCAAAGTAGCTGGAAGACAGGACTTAAATTGTTCCCAACATAAAGAAATGACAAATACACAAAATGGTAGATAATTTAACCACTCTTAATTGATCATCACACATTCCACACAATGTAACAAAATATCACATGTACCCAATAAATATGTAAAATATTATGTATCAATTTTTAGAACAGAAAATCAGAACCATAAAATTCTACTTTCTCACTCACACATATCACTCAAAAGCATTCTATGGTTCTACATTCTACTTTCCCAAACCACCTAATCCAGAAAATAAATAAAGACATATAATAGTCTGTATTCAGCATTTTTTATGGCACAAGATATTTTCTAGGTACCCTGAACCATACCAGAAATCAGCTGAAATATTAATACATTTTACACGAGGTCAACTTCTCCACATAATGTAAGATTCAATTTACTTCAAATGCTTTTCAAAAATTAAAAATAAGAATAAATCACAGTCCAACTTCTCTTCTGTACAAGTCTAATATATAGCATGATCACAAGTAGTTGAAAAAATAAAAAAGTGAGAAGGACATCCGGACACGGTGCCTGATACTTGTAATCCCAGCACTTTGGGAGACCAAGACAGGAGGATCTCCTGAGTTCAGGAGTTCAAGACCAGCCTAGGCAACATGGTGAAACCCAATCTCTACAGAAAAAAAAAAAAAAAAAAAATTAGTTGGGCATGGTGGTGCATGCATGCCTGTAGTCCCAGCTACTAAGGAAGCTGAGGTGGGAAGATCATTTGAACCAGGGAAGTCGAGGTTGCAGTGAGCCATGTTACACCACGCCCACCAGCCTGGATAACAAAGCAAGATCCTGTCTCAAAAAAAAAAAGGACAAGGATATGCTAACTTTGAAAATTAAGGTAATAATTTCTGGAAATAGTATGTATTTCCTGGAAGCTAGCATTATATTAAAAGTTTCTGTATGTTAAAGCACTCGTATGGCTTCTGCATTCCACAAACCATTTATAAACTTACCCTGATTTGCACAGGTTTATAATTTTATTCCTACAAATTAATCTATTACTTTGATCTGAGGTTTCCCAATGTTCATATTTAATCACCCTCACCACCAATTAGTCACAAACTATATTTCAAATGTAAGAAATCAAGGAGATGAAAGTCATGGCCCATGGCTGTGAAGTACTTATAATCTATTTTGGTTAAGTTATAACCAAAGTTGAACAACAGCAGTATAAAGAACAAACTAAGTCAGAATGGTATAATAATTATAATATAAAAAAGTTATACCAGAGAGTAATCTCTCAAGGTAAGGCAAACAGGAAAAACTTCCTAAAGGCAAAGAAACTTGAGATGGACATAATCATTTAGAAACGTAGGAAGAAAAAAAAATTAGGTCAAATCTTGTGTGTATGACTTGGCGCAACTTACTATCCTTCTTTAAACCTCAGGTTTCTTCATCCATAAGAAATTCAAACAAGAGGGACATGTTTAAAAGCAAACAAATTAATGAGGTATTTACTAATGAGGCTGTCCATGATGACTACATGCTATTTTATTCAGAAAATATTAAAACATTACCAGTTACTGTTGTCTACTCAAGATATGACATACTAGGATTTGAAATGTTATTTCTATTTTACTTTGTGACAGTTAATCATCTGATAAGGGATTAATGGAAGTTCATAAAATATTACGATCTTATATAGAAATGAGACTCATAAAAGAATCTTCAAATGAAGAGAAGAAAAGAAGTTTCCTCTAAGAGGAGAGACAGAGTCTAACATATTTCCTAAATTACTAAGCAAAATGTAAAAAGAGGCCAGGATGGATGTACTTGATTTCCTCTTCAAATATGCAAATAACTAGATAAAGCTTACAAAAAGTCTCATATTACAAGAGATATTGAGTTTCTTCAAAAGGACTGCACAAATTACAATTAGAATTATATAACATGGCAGTAACAGCTACAATGTGCTTGAAAATTTTATTTTAAAAAATATACCTTAATGAAAGTAGAGAAAGTAGTATGAGACTGGTAGAAAAGAAGGAGCTAGAAGCTAGAAGACCTGGATTCTAGATTTGTAACTATCAAGCCACATAACTTCTCTAAACCGCTGCCATTTTTCTCAAATATAATTAAATCCATCTTCACTTGATTATTTTGAGGACTAAAGCAGTAAATGTTGGTGAAAATGGCATCCTATAAAAACTTAATAAATATTAGGCAAGATAATTTGGCAAGAAAATGTTCAAGAAGAATTTCTATTAAAGTAAAATCAAAAGTGAAAATTCACTATGTGTAAGAGATCCTACCATAAGAAATTCCCATATGTATTTAAATGGTTGATGAGAACCCAGAAGTTGGTAAGTACTGCTCAGTTGTCAGCCAGGGGAAAAAATATAGTAAAAAAAAAAAGTTGAGGGGGGACATTAAGATCAGAAAAACAAGAAGGAAAAGCTCTAGAAATCCAGTTATTAAATGTACAAAGAAGAATAGAATTTTTAAAAATCACTATTTGGCAAAAATCACAGTAAGAAATTGTTTCAGGCAACAGTAATCAATATATGCGAAAGGAGTCAAAGTTGAGGTTTAATAGGATATTACATAGTTTCAAAGTATTTCTCTGCACAATTACAAAAGACAGAAATAGCACCTTTTTGATGGAGAAAACCAGCACATCCATCTTAATCAAATGAGTAAAATTAACATCCCCAGTAGTGGAGAAATACCACATACCTCCTAGTGTGATGCACTGAGAGTAACACATCACTTCTGTTGTATTCTGGAGGAAAATAAATAATCTGAATCTAATCATGAGGAAAAATCAAACAAACCCAAACTGAGGAACATTCTACAAAATAGCTGGCTTATGCACTTCAAAATTATCAATGTCATTAAGCACAATGAAAGACTAAGGAACTAATCCATATTAAAGAAAACAAAAGAGGCATGGCAGCTGAATGCTATGTATGATGATATTTCTTTTGCTATAAAGATATTATTAGGACAACTGGCAAAATCTGATTTAGCTTTATAGATTAGTTAATATTATTATATCATTGTTAATCTGCTATATTGTTAATTAACTGGCGTTAATCACATAAAATATTGTCTGAATTAGTCTGCTCAGGCTGCCATAACAAAATATCATGGACTGGGTAGCTTAAAGAACAGAATTTTATTTCTCACAGTTCTGAAGACTGAAAATTAGAAATCAGGGTGCCAGCATGGTCAGGTTCTGGTAAGTTCTCTCTTCCTCTCTTGTAGATGGCTGCCTTCTAGTTGGGTCCTCAAATGGCAGCGAGAGAAGGAGAGCCCAAGCTCTCTGGTATATTTGCTTGTAAGGACAATAATGTCATCATGAAGGCCCTGTTCTCAGGACCTCATCTAAACCTAATCACTCCCAAAGCCTCCATCTCCAAACCACCATATTAGGGGCTAGGGCTTCAACATATTAAGTTTTAGGGCATACAAATTCAGTCCATAATAATATCCCTGTCAAAAAATTCTATACACAGACTCATATACAGACAGAGGAAAGAGAAAAAGAGAAAGAAAAAGCAAATATTATTGTTATGGATTCTGAGTGAAAGCTATATGGCAATCCTTTGTACTACTATTACTTTTCCATAAGTCTGAAATTATGCCAAAATCAAAATAAAAAGTTAAAAGAAAACAACTCATTATTGATCTCTCTGATTATACCTCTACATAGGCAACTGACTGCTTTGATTAAAAGTTATTAGAAACCACAACAGTTCTGCTGGCAAATATGTAATCGTCAAGAAAAATCAGATGCTTAAGTGTTGACAAAAAATCTTCCAAAGAAACATCTATATTGAAGTTACTTTACAGTGGCTTGTTCCTAAAGCTCATTTTCCATGTCCATAAACTTCTTCCAAGAGAGAAAACAGTATGTAACATCTGTTTCTAATTTCACATAATCTGCTATTGTGGATATAAAAGACCTGTTGATTATCACATCTATCTCCCTGCTTGTGCTAAAAAACAAAAGCAAGCAAAAACTCTGCACCTTTTCAGAAAAGAATGTTTAATCTCATCATTAAAAAATAAGAGATTACACACAACAGGTTAGAAATAGAGATGAAGCTCACTCAATGTAATGATTCTATTAATGATTTTATTTTTTTTCACTCAATCTCATTTTTCTTCCTCTATGACTTTCTCAGTATGTAGTAAATTAACTTTAAAGGCTGCTAGGGAATACTTGTTGAACTCACTAGCCAATGTCTACAGATATTAACACTCAATACCCTTAATTATACAATACTATTTAACCTTCATAAAAATTATCTTCATATTGAACTTAAGAAGCAACTTATCTAACCATAGCACTACTAGGGCTAAAGATGAAAAACCATTCCTAACAACGTAATTAAAATTACTTGGTGAGAAAAGGGTTCCACAGTCAAGTTTATAAAATGTTGAGTAAAAGTAAATTAATCAAGTCATTTTTTACTAGAATATATCACATTTTTTAACATGTTAATATATATATTCTAAGTCTCAAGGTGGGAAATGATTTATAGTAGCACAGAAATCCTAATATCTTAGAGAGTATATAGTTACTTTTTACTCTTTACAACATACAAGTTGTAAAAAGCTACATTATACAATATTATCCAATAATGTAACAAAGATTCTGTTTTTGTTAATTGATGCCAAATTAAAGGCTTGATTGTAGCTCAGGCAACTACAGCAATGAATAAAGACAACTTCTAGCTTACCATTGTGCACCCTTGACCATCCATCTCTTTCACAGTCTCTTCCAGAAGATCCCAATAAAGTATCAGCCCTGGGACTTGGGGGATCAACCTAGAGGAAGCAGGATTTTTATGTAAAAGAGAGTTTAAACATTCCTAGACTTTCAATCTCATGGTACCAGAAAAACTACTAGAGTACAGAGAGCATATATAATCAGGGAAACATGATGGTGCCCATGAGAGTCAGACATGTTCCAAAGAGTTTATTCAAGTATTTTGTTGTTCGTTGCAAAATAAAATTGAAATTTAACTTCAAAAATTTTTAATTCTATATATATGTGCCTACTTTAAAATGAACAGACTTGGAATTGAAATGTTTATTACTCCAGTGCCTAGTTTGCTTTCCATCACAAGGTTAAAAAAAGAGCAATATACTTTGCCATATTTTTAAAAGTCTAGCCATTTGCTTCTTAGCTCCTTAGCATGCACATTTTGAATTCAAACAGTCTTTATTTGGCTGCTTTCAGAGCCCAGCATGCTCAGTGATCTATAGCTTAATATAATAATAGTTAACCACATTTCCTAACAAAAAGTAAAAAGAATGATACAAATGTATAAAAAAAATTCCTATTGATCAAAATTTAAAATTTTCATGCATCAAAAAATAATATCAACAGAATGAAAAGGCAACCCATTGAATCAGCCACAATATTTACAAATCATTTATCTGATAAGGGGTTATTATCCAGAATAAAGAACCCCTACAACTCAATAACAAAAACAAATAGATTTAAAAATGAACTTGAATAGACATTTATCCAAAGAAGTTATACAAATGGCCAATAAGAACATGAAAAGAAAAAAATTCAACAACCCTAATCATTAAGGAGACAGAAATCAAAATCATAGTGAGATACTACTTCACTGTAATTTTGAGATACCACAAAATCATAGTGACGTACCCATTAGGATGGCTATTATGAAAATAAAGTGTGGGAGAAGATGTGAATAACTTTGAACACTTGGAATTTATTGGTGTGCAGTGCAAAATGGTACACCTGCTATAAAAAACACTATGTCAGGGTCTCAAACAATTTAAAACAGAATTACCATATGACTCAGCAATTTTTCATCTAGGTATATACCCAAAAGAGTTGAAAGCAGGGCCTCAAAAATATATTTGTACACCTATGTTTACAGCAGCGTTATTCACACTGTACACACTGTGACACAGCAACATTACTCATAATATCCAAAAGATGGAAGCAACCCAAGTGTCTATCAAGAGAAGAATGAACAAACAAATGTAGTACATACATATAAGAGAATATTATTCAACGGTAAAAGGGAAAGAAATTCTCACATATGCTATAACATAGATGAACCTTTATGAATATTATACTAAGTTAAACAAGCCAATCGAAATAGGACACATGATGTATAATCACACTTAATATGAGGTACCAAGAGTAGTCAAATTCATAGAAATAGTAGAATGGTAGTGGTTGTCAGGGGTTGGGGGAGACAGGAATGGAAAGTTATTGCTTAATGGGCACAGAGTTTCAGTTTAGCAAGATGAAAAAAGTTCTAGAGATAGATGGTGGTATGGTTGTATAACAACATGAATATATTTAATGTTTCTAAACTACACACTTAAAGATGGTTAAAATGGTAAATTTTATAATATATATAACCACAATTTAAAAAAACAAATTTTTTTAAAAGACAGCCCACACAATGGGTAAAATGTGGTATATAGTCTTACAACAGGATATAATTAAGCCATAAAAAGGAATCAAGTACTGATATATGCAACATGGATGAACCTCAAAAACACTGTGCTAAGTGAAAAAAGCCAGACACAAAAGGCCAAATGTTGTATAATTATATTTATATGAAATGGTAGAATAGGCAAATTCATAGAGACAGAAAGCAGATTAGTGATTGCCAAGACTATGGGAAGGAAGGAATGCAGAGTGAATACTTAATAAGTACAGAGTTTCCATTTAGGAGATGAAGAAATTCTGGAACCAGATAGCTGCATAACACTGTGAACATCCTTAAAACAACTGAATTGTACACTTTAAATTCGAAATGGTAAACTTACGTATATTCTACCACAATAGAAAAAGAAAAGATCTTATTCTGCATAAATGGAAAATAAAAAGGCTGTTTTACTCGTCTAGGATAATTGCACCAGTTTTTTTTGGAAGCATGTTAATTGATTTCTTAAAACTGTTTCCTTATTCTTTAAGATGAAAGAATCTTGGAAGCACGCTAATTGATTTCTTAAAACTGTTTCCTTATTCTTTAAGATCACTTTTCATACCATGTACATTGACTACAATGTCTTTCCTAAAAGTGTTACATTTTGCATATGCATGTATTAAGTTAAAACTGTGTTTGGTTACCTATTTGCTAAGTGCTTCTAAAACCATGAATGGCTATGGAGGAAAAAAAATCTCTATGTTTACAAACACAATCGGAAAATCCACTTTCCTATTTAATAATGTAAGCAATCTAAGTATAGACTTAGGAGTAGGCATTTCTGTTTATTGAAAAGCTAGGGAGGGAAACCATTTAAATACAAACTTCAAAGTTTGTATCAAGCAATATTAGAATTATTCCATTCTAAACACTGACATAAAAAGTAATAATAAAACAAACATTTAAAGAAAAGCAGTTATTTTTCCAAAGAATTTTAATGTGGCTTACCCCTAAAATATTTCAGTTTATTTTTGTACATAGCATTTTAATTAAAATGTTACTATTCCTTCAGATGAAAATATAGTATATCCTTTCTTTTCAATTTAATTTGTAATTGTGGGAAGACTTAAAATTAAAGGCATTCTAAAACTGTCACCAAATATGCAACTAAAATATTATCTGAATATTGGTCAAACAACAACAAAAAAGTGACCAAAAGTTAAAATCAAATTCTGTAGAAATGAGAAAAGTAGTCACAATAACTTCAATAAAATGTTGCCACTTAAAAGTATCCATTATACTATAAATTTTCTTTTATGATAAAACAATCTGTTACTTAAGAGTTAAAAAAAACGACTCATAGTCAAAATACAGGTGGAATGAAATGTTGCTTAAGACAATATTTAAATTGTTTTAAAAAGGTATCATAAAGAAAATCTGAACTTTCAGATTGTGTATGTTCAAAAAGTTATTAGACCACCAAAGGGGCATATTTACATGTTGGATGAATTCATTTTACAATTTAGAAAAAATGAATTAAAGACATTAGTCAGAAATATTTTTATAGATATCCCAAAAAGTTATTTTGCTTCTATCAGCACTTAAATCTTGAGGTTTAGTATTATTATATATGTACATATAACATTAATCCATATTTTTATTAGTCTGAAAGCTTTCAGTAAAGAATTGCTTTTAAGGTAAAAATACTTCATAGAAATTCAGGAAACTATGAAGATTCTGAGGGAGTCCTTTCCTAAACATTCTGATTATAAACCCTTAAATTTAGCCAAAGTCTACTTGATAATCATATAAACACAAGACTCTAAATTTCAACTATATCAAAAGCACAGTTCAGTACAGAGACTAGAACTAGGTTACCCTTAAATGAACTTTTTTCATTTTCAAAGGCCTTCCCATAACCATCAAACAATAATTTGCTTTGAAGATCCATCATACAAAGTTTACCCAAGGGATGTAATTTAAAAGGAAACTTACTTTCCATTTTAATTTTTATAATTTAAAAAAGGAGGGTCTTCCTTTTCATAAAGAATATTTGGTTCTCTTTTAAAGCCCTACTCTGCCATTTTAGTACTAATGTCAATTACAACCAAGTTCAATTGGTAGCGTTATTATGCTATCTATTGTATAAGAAAGGAAACCGGTACTGAGAGGATTTAACATGGCATTCATAACACAGCTTGATCTCTGTCAGGTCTGAAGACTGAAAAAAAGCAAGTTCTTTCATTCTAAATTAATTTCCCATCTTAGACTGCTAGGGTAGCAGTCAGAAGAGAAAAGTATTATTAATATAAGCTAGAAGTTGAAAGATATTTCAGAATAACAGTTTTTTTGGGAAAAAAGCTGATCAGTTTCAAATAGAAATGCTTAAGAGAACACATACATGTCTAATCACAAATGGAGGTTTATCTGTTTCTTTTTTGAACTCATAGGGTCCCAGATTTAAATGGGCCAGCCGCCGCCTGGTGTCTTCAGATAGCTCACACATGCGTCTTTTTGTGTAGGGAGATGGAGAGTGTGATTTTGAAGAAATTGTAGGCTGTTCGTAGTTTTTTGCATTTATACAGTATTTACTTCTCTCAGGTGACTTGGATTTTTTCTTTTGTGATCTTGATGTTCTGTTTTGCAGTCTGCCATGTGATTTTTCAACTGGAGCCAAATGGTAAATAAATTTATCCTAAACATAAAAAATAAAAATTAACTTGGTCAAAGGGGATTTTTAAAATTCCTGTTGGTGGGGAAAAAATTAAAAAGTAATTTAAATAAGACGCAAAATCTATCAAAGCCAACTAGATCAGTCCTTCCTATCTGTGCTGATCCTGGGATAAGTCAAATCCACATTCTCCTAGATAACTCTTTCTGCAGTAGTTATTAAAGTACACTGTCTCAAACTTCCTTAAGTCCAACAAGGACTTTATAAAAATTAAAGCCCGATACTTAATCACTTGAAAAATTAAAGAAACAAAGTCAAAAAAATTATTTTTCAGTATACTAAAAAAGTGCAAACATTGGTTACATATATATTTAAATATTCGTGTAATTGGCTATATAAGAGAACTATGTTTAGTAATGTTAAAAATACATGCCAGATTAGTTGATTACAAAATCTTTAAAGATAAAACTATAAAAATAAGTTTCATCCCTTCTGCTATAATTATATATATATCTGTACAACACAAAAATATAAAGAACTCTATACATATTTTAATGAAATGTGTTATTTGGATTGTAATACACACTTTTAAGCTCCCTTCCGAGCTGTAACTTCACAATGACAGATAAACATACCATCTTAATTCTGGTCCCATATTTTTATAAAATTAGGAATATAAAAAGCATTATAAACTTAGTAACATTTTATCTAATAAAACTGGTTAGCAGTCTAAAAGTTTTGAGGCTAAAATTTAATAATTCTAACTTTTTTATTATTAGAATAACATCTTATTCAAATAATCTCTGCCTTATAAAGGCCTTAATAGTTGGATTACAAGCAAGTAATATAATATTTCTTCCTACTTTATCCAGAGTTATAAGAAGCTTTTCAATTCAAGAAAATGGACTGCGGAGAATTTTTAAATGTCTTCCTAACTTTAATCACTTTTAAAAGCCACCAATCCTACCTCCAGCTCTATTTCCTCAACACCTCTCTTGACTTGCTAAGGGTAACTAAGTGAATAAAATACAAATGTGAATAGGATGAAGAAGAGTCAAATTTTTTAAGTGGATACACAGAAAAGAAAATTAATTTTCCTAATTGGAAAAGTGAGTTTCAGCTAGGGCAATGGTCTATGCATTTCATACAGACCAGTTGCATCAGATTACTCCATCTTTCCTTCTTCTGTAGTTCATGGTATGCTTCTGGACCTTCTCCACCTTGTTCAATGATTTCAAAAAGTAATTCAGAATTTTTCTACCATATCCATTTCACCCATCTCTGTGACATCACAGACTTACAGAAGCAAAGAATGTCAGCACTAGAAATGATCTTTGAGTTTACTAAAACATTCAAGCAATGAATCTTTCTAAGACCTTGGAATCATGAGTTTCTGTCTTTCAGTTTTAATTATCTAATTCTACTCCATCTTGGATTTAATAAATATGCAGATCCCTTGCATTCCAATTCTGAAAATCCCTTGCTGACCAAAACCTCTTTTCCTCAACCTACTTCTTGACTCACTGAATCTGTTACTTGCCCTTCTCATCTCCTCAGTCCCTAGAACTCTTCCCCCAAGTTCTTTACACATTTTTAATATCTCTTACCTCCAGACCCAACTAAACTCATAATCATCCATTTCAGCAATGCTGTAAAGTTCTTTCTTATATATATACCTCTGATTATATCAAACCTTAATTAACCTCATCTTTATTAAAGCTTTTAATACTGCATACTACTAGAGAAAGTTATAAATTACATACTATCTACTACAAATGCATGCTGTCTAACCCTACTTATTCCTTAATGGATCCTGTTCATGCCTAGTAAAACTTTTAAAAAGTGACTGTGTTATACCATTTATAAAATGGACTGACCATGTGACTTGCTTTGGACAACAGGAAAATAGCACATGCAGCACAAGGAGAGACACTTCAAAAGTGCTTATCCTCTCTTATTCCTAAAACCTTCCTGCCATCACATGAATGAGCTGGAATTCTTAGCCTGATAGATGATGGGACTATCTCATCCCAGCTGAAATGAAGCTCATCACTAGAAATTTAAGATCCTTCCCTGGGCAAAACATCTGCCACTGTTCAACATGTGAGTAAAGCCATCCTAAACCATTCATCCCTAGCCAACCATTCTAGACTAAAGAAATCAACCAGCAGATCCACAGAACTGTGAGAAACACTTGCTGTTTTAAGTCACTAAGTTAATGAGGTCTGTAATACAACCAAAGCTATGTGATACAGCAGATTAACAAATTTATATTCATAAAGTTACTACTGATATTTAACTATTTAATAATGAATTCCACTTTGCAATAGGTAAAAACATTTTAATAATGTTACATGCTAGGCATATTGCATATATTCCCTAATCTTTACAGCAGCCTTATGAGGAACTCGAACCCAGATCTGTCTGTTTCTAGAAAGAATATTTAAAGAAAATGTATTTCCTTAAATACTGACACCAATGCCTTTTCTCTCATATCTCTGTTCAATAAAGATCCCAAGTCAAAAAGTAAAAATAAAAATAAAAATAAAATGGAAGACTCTTGTTAAAAGTTTACAGAGGGAAATGTTAGTTCATAAGTACAATTAAACTATGAATGGGTAATGGTTTTACATTTAGAAATGGCTTTCACCAAGCTGTACCCTGAGAATGTATGTACTTTTCTATGTGTATGCTATATTTCAGACAAAAAGTTAAAAAGAAAAAAAAGACTTCTCTATCCATCTATTGGAAGAACATACTCCAGCGTGAAGAAAAAAAAACTGTCTGAGTCCAGGCAAAGCATATCTAACCATTTACAATGTGCACAGTGCACATCTCTAAAACAAGTCAATAACATAGCTCTGCATTTGGCAAGCATAGGTTTTTAGAGCTCTAAAAGCTGTGTTTCAGCTTGCATCTAAAAGATAAATAACTACAGCCTGACTCTGAATTATTAAATATCTTTCTAAATAAAATAAGAATGTTCCCCTCAATAATTCTATATTTTACCTTTCTTGGCTTAAGTCACAGTTATCATCTTCAGCAAATTTACTTGAATACTGATAATGCAGTAAATGAACAATCCACTCCTTCCACGATAAGCCCAGTCCTGCCCTTTGAGCCCTCTGGGCTTTACATATTATTGGCTCTTCATCACAGATAGGTCACTGTTACCCTATCACAATGCAACTGCACATGAATGATATCTGGACATTATTAGATAACCTGTGGACAAAGAAGTAAGCCACCCTGGTGACTCAGTAATAAGTCAGACTAGGCCAGGCAGATAAGTGCACACCTGTAATCCCAGAATTTTGGGAGGCTGAGGTGGGCAGATTGCTTGAGCTCCAGAGTTCGAGACCAGCCTGGGCAACATGGCAAATTCTATCTCAAAAAAATACAAAAGTTAGCCGCGTATTGTGGCATGTACCTGTAGTCTCAACTACTAAGGGGACTGATGCAGAAGGATTGCTTGAGCCCAAGAGGTCAAAGCTGCATGCCACTGCACTCTACCCTGGGCAACAGAGTGAGGCCCTGTCTCAAAAATATATTTAAAAAAAGGAAAAACAAGAAGTCAGACAAATGGAGTATTAGATCCAGATATCTCAGCTTACTAAAAGCTGTTTTCAAAAACATAGATGATCCTTAGGCTGGAATGTCCAAGATTCTCTTGATCTGGCAGTACCAGTATGGCCACCAAACTGAGCAACAGTCCCTCAAGAAATCAGAGACAGTCAAGAAACCATACTCACTAAACACCAGTATCCCAGTCTGATAACTCTGGTAACATCTGCTTAAAAGGTATCCTTTGAACTTTTTGCAGTATTCTGTAACTTCCATAACATTTAAAGAAGCCTAGATCTCTGTGAGACTACTTGATCCTAACATCTTTATGGCAGCTTGATTTCTGTGCGCTAAAATCAAAAAGTCCAAGAAGTAAAAAAATAGTAGTAATAATAATCACAAGATGACATCCTCTATCATACACACCAAGCTCTTCATTCTCACATTTACTAACATGTAACCAAACTGCTAAATACCTATATTGTTTCACTTCAACTAAAAATTGACCCCCCAAAAAGTGAAAAGAGCTGCAGCCAAAATAAATAACGCTTGCCAAAAGGCCACAAATATGACCAAATAAATTAAACCATTAAATACTTTATACAAATAATTTTAACCTGAGTGTGGCATTTCCTTGAACTTATCAGACATTCAGTAATCACTGAAGTCGTAGAAAATTCCAGCCTTGGAGCATTTCCCTGAGAAGAAAAAAGAGGGTATTATTACACATTTCCATTTAAATAGAGATAATTATTAATGATAAGAATATGACCTAAAGTAACAAACACCTGTCAAAGTTCAGCTGTTTCACTGTTAGTTTGAACTTTTCATTAAAGATAAAGACAACATAGTATGGCTAAATGTTAGCAAGTAACAATGTCTCTGCTGATGATTCCATCATGAGTGATTATATTACTTTTATAAAATAATTAGTCTATTTTTTCATTTTTAAGTATTTCCCTGTCAAATTGTTTTAAATTTTTAAATTATGATATATTATAGCCATAAATATATAAACATACTTAATAAATTTCAGCTTTTTACTTTTACAACTTACGACATATTTAACCATATAGTCAAGAAACAAATGTTAGTTTGATTTAGCCATTCCACAACGTATACATATATCAAACATCATGTTGTATATCATAAATATATACAATTAGTATTACTCAATTAATTTTTTTTCTTAGAGACAAGGTCTCTGGAGTATAGTGGTGCCATCACAGCTCACTGCAGACTCTAACTCTTGGACTTAAGTGATCCTTTCCCCTCAGCCTTCCAAGTAGCTAGGACTACAGGATACACCACCACATTCAGCTAATTTTTTCATTATTTTGTAGATACAGGATCTCACTATGTCATGCAGGCTGGTGTCAAACTCCTGGCCTCAAGCAATCCTCCTGCCTCAGCCTCCCAAAGCACTGGAATTACAGGCATGAGCCACTGGGTCTGGCCTGTCCATTAAAATTTAAAAAAAACAAAACAAAAAACCCAGTTCCTCGGCATGTAGTTCTTGAAAACAGAAAAGATAAGTCTCTACTAATTCTGCCAACATTTTTTCCTATAATGTATCTTACATTCATATCTAGAAATGAATGTGGCTTATATTTCTAACATTTCAATCACCACCTTGAACACTGTTTGAAATAATAGAGATAAATGGTAAAATTCAAAAGGACAGTCACAAAGTATCTGTGAAAATATTTGGAAGCACACAATTACGCATTCACCAAAACATTAAAGAATACAGTCTATGCCCAGGGCAGTTTCATTCTAAAACAGTAAAAATCAGACATTGACCAAAGTATTAGGTTGGTGCACAAGCAATTGTGATTCAATACCTACATTTGGCCTCAACAAATCAAGTCTGTGACCAGCTAAGTTTAAAAACATCATACACATTAAAGAAAAGGTAAATCGGAGTTGCCTAACAATTGACTGAACTGATGTACTCTCGAAAATATAACACTGTCAATCTTACCACATTCTATTCATTAGCATCACTACAGTCTACACTCAAGAAGAGTAGTTAGGCTACATTTTCAATGTGTGTTCTTCTGCAAACGTATCTTCATAGTGATATCTGTGATATCCACTATATCTACTTGTTAATTACCTAGTACTACAAAACAAATTACCTTGAAACTTAGCGGTTTAAAGCATCAGTACACATTTATTATCTCACGTAATTTCTATGGGTCAGAAATCTGAGAGAGGTTGAGCTATGTGTTTCTGTGTTGAAATTTCTCGTGAAATTGTGGTCAAGATGTCATTTAGGCTGCAGTCAACTGAAAACTTGACTGGAGTTTGAGAATCTGCTTCTCAAGAAGGTTCATTCCCAGGGCTGTTGGCTGGAAGCCTCAGTTCCTTTCTAGCTTTTGGCAAGAACATTCAGCAACTCATAAACCTCTCCAAAAGGCTACTGAGTGTTCTCATGATGTGGTTCTAGTTAATCAAAGGGGATGATCCAAGAGCAAAGCAAGAAGGAAGCCACAATGATGTAGTCTCAGAATCTGACACTGTCATCCCTACCACATTCTATTCATCAGACTCACTAAGTATAATCCAAACTCAATGACAGAGTAGTTAGGCTACCTTTTCAATGAAGGAGTAGCAAAAATTTTGTGCACAGGTTTAAAACCACCAGTCTGCTCTCTGACCACAAATTACTTACATTCCTCTCACATGCAAAATACATTCATGCTCTACCAAAAAAAAGAAAAGAATTAAAGTCTCATCCTTGTACAACTTCAGCTTGAAATCCAGGATGTTGGCATCTAAATAAAATCCTGGTATAGATAGGGCTGCTGAGGTGTAGTTCCTTATGTACAGCTCCTAAAATGCAGTTTCTCACAATCAGAAGACATATGACCTAAAGAGAAAAGTTATCTGCCTCACACATGCCCAAGGTGCACATGTGCAGCAGGGACAGGACAATCACTATAGACATTCCTGTTTGAGCGTGGGAGGTCAAGGCTGCAGTAAGCCATGATCTCGCAACTGCACTCCAGCCTGGGTGACAAAGAAAGACCCTGTCTCAAAAACAAAACAAAACAAAAGAATCCCTTGTTCATCAGTAAACCTCAGATTTTCCTCTTCAGGTCTTCAATTTATTAGATCAGGCCCACTCAAATTGCCAAAGTAATCTCAAAGTTATCTCCTTTATTTAAAGTCAAGTGATTGTAAATATTAATCACAACTATCAAATACTTTTTAGAATAACATCTAGACTTGTGTTTGATCAAATAACTTAGCACCATAATCTAGCCAAATTGAAACATAAGATTAATCATCACACCATTTTAAATGTCAGTTCATCTATGAAGTCTACAAGATGCAATTCATTCATTCAATTTAATTAAGAGACATTTATTAAGTACCTACTCCAGGCAAGGTACTGTGTTAAGAGTTAAATTCAAAGATGAGAAAGTCAAAGATTCTGTTTTTATGGAGTTCACAATCTAGAACAGGAGATATTATCATCATCTCTACTCCATCATCACCATCATGATATTCACAGCTATCATCATATCACTAACATTTATTGAGTGTTTACTTGCCAGACACTGCTATAACCATTTACAAGTTTACATTAATCTACCCAAAAACCCTATGATATCGCCATGTTATGGTGCTTTGCCAAAGGTTACTCAGTTCATCCATGAAAGTGCCAGAATTTAATCCCAAATGTTGTCTGAATCCTTGCCATAGTAAAGGCTTCAGGAGCATAGCCTGGGACTTACAGATGATTATGCAGAATCACAAGAATTCCCAGAAGGAGTGCGCTGTTTTCTGCCAGGGCAACAAACTACTGATTGAAGCATTTTTCCTATTCGTATTTAAATATAATGATAGATATGGCTAGATTTAGAACTGCCAATTTGGTGTTCAGTTTATATATGTTCTATGTATTTCTATTCTTTGATTCTTTCTAGGAGTCTCACCTGCATATGCATAGGTAAGTGGTCATCCAGTGAACCCATAGGAGTCCTACCCTCTGCTGATGACCTGTGTATAGATTAGGAAATCATTCAAAATTGCAGCCAGGACTCCAGTCTCCCTTGGCTTTCACTTTTGGCTGGGCTCTCACTGTCTCCCCTTGATATGCAGTTTCACAGTCAGCCAAGAATAGGTGGAGAGTTTATCTCAGCCCTTTATTGTTACCTTACTCCCAGGACCTTCCTGTCAACTTTCTGGCAGGTAATCCTTGCCCCAGTTAGAGCTCTGCCTAGCAAAGCTGTGGGGTTTCTTCATCTGCTCCAACTGAATCCACCACAGTTAGCTGGCAAAGCTGTGCTATTTGTGCCACTGCCCAAAACTGATTCTGTTCCCTCTGGTAGCAAAGCTGTTGATTTTTGCACTAGCTCCAGAATAGATAAACTTTAGTTCTCACTTACCAAACAGAATATAAGAGCATCCCAGGCAAGAATGTTAATAGTCTCGCCAGTTTTTCCCAAAGCTTTAGCAGTTTTTCAAGCATGAAAACTTCTTCGTCTTACCTTGTCAGTTTCCAGTATCCTGAATTCATTGTTTGTGAAAATTTTGTCTAGTTTTATAAGAACTCTCAATCTCTTCAAACTGCCATTCGTAGAAGTCCTAATTTTTATATATTTTTGTTTTAATAATCCATCATCTTCCAAATAAATGCAAAAGTAACTCAAATTAAATGATGAAAAGTAAATCCCTCTTAATGTTCCATACTCTTGAGTTTATATTACCACATTGGTATAATACAGAATTTTAAATTACATTAAAGAGACCATAATTTTAAAATGTGATTATTTGTTCATTGTATGTTTCCACACAGATCTTGAAATACTCTTTGAAGACTTTCATAGTACAGAAGCATGCTAATGGACACTGAAATATCCCCAAAGAAAGTATAGTTTTATAGACTTGCTACTTAGTCAACTTTTATACTTTCATAAAGATGAAGCTGCTTTTTCTTGGAATAGGGCATATCATAAATCTATAGGAGAAATTACTTAGTTAACTATATTTGTTCATATATCAACACTCTCCTTATTCGGACTACTCTAATATTTTATACAATTAGTTTTAAAGGTCTATCCAAATAATTTCAAGCTGGACAATTTTTGCTTTTCCTCTTTTGAAATGGCATGGGCTTCTCTCAGTTTCTCTGCATGGAAGACTTACTTTCAGCAATAAAATATTTTCAAATCATCCACAGAACTTGAAGGAAGTTATAGTAAAGGATAGAGAGTAAGCTGTCACTTGATGCAGCTTTTAATTTTAGGTGTATGAATATATATTTCCATTATATACATATTTTACAATTAATCTATCTAAACTCCTACTAACAGACATATCAATTATTTCAATTTTTCACTATTATGAACCAACAGGTAAACATTCTTAAGAAGGCTCTTAGTGTACCAGAGAGAATACATCTTTAAGATAGATATTGTATTAGTTCATTTTTAATGGTACTGATAAAGACATACCTGAGAATGGGCAATTTACAAAAGAAAGAGGTTTACTGGACTTACACTTCCACATGGTGGAATGCAGGGAGGAGCAAGTCACATCTTACATGGATGGTGGCAGACAAAGAGAGAGCTTGTGCAAAGAAATTCCCATTTTTTAAACCATCAGATCTCATGAGACCCATTCACTATCATGAGAACAGCGTGAGAAAGACCCATCCCCATGATTCAATCATCTCCCACCAGGTCCCTCCCATAGCACATGAGAATTATGGGAGCTGCAAGATGAGATCTGGGTAGGGACCCAGAACCACACCACATCATTCAGTCCCTGGACCCTCCCAAATCTCTTATCTTCACATTTCAAAACCAATCATGCCTTCCCAACAGTCCCCCAAAGTCTTAACTCATTTCAGCATTAACTCAAAAGTCCACAGTCCAAAGTTTCATCAAGACAAGGCAAGTGCCTTCCACTTTTGAGCCTGTAAAATCAAAAACAAGTTAGTACTTCCTAGATACAACGGGGGTATAGGCATTGAGTAAATACAACAACTCCAAATGGGAGAAATTGACCAAAACAAAGGGGCTACAGGCCCCATGCAAGTCCAAAATCCAGCAGGGCAATCAAATCTTAAAGCTCCAAAATGATCTCCTTTGACTCCATATCTCACATCCAGGTCACACTGATACAAGAGGTACGTTCCCATGGTCTTGGGCAGCTCCGCCCCTGTGGCTTTGCAGGGTATAGCCTCCCTAATGGCTGCCTTCACTGGTTGGCACTGAGTGTCTGCAGTTTTTTCCAGGCACATGGTGCAAGCTGTCAGTAGATCTACCATTCTGGGATCTGGAGAATGGTGGCCCTCTTCTCACAGCTCCACTAGGCAGTGCCCCAGTAGGGACTCTGTGTGGAGGCTCTGACCCCACATTTCCCTTCTAGGCTGCCCTAGCAGAGGTTCTCCATGAGCACCTCGCCCCTGCAGCAAACTTCTGCCTGGGCATCCAGGCGTTTCCACACATCTTCTGAAATCTAGGCAGAAGTTCCCAAACCTCAATTCTTGATTTCTGTGCACTTGCAGGCTCAACACCACATGGAAGCTGCCAAGGCTTGAGGCCTGCACCCTCTGAAGCCACGACCCAAGCTCTATGTTAGCCCCTTTCAGCCATGGCTGGAGTGGCTGAGACACAGCACCAAGTCCCTAGGCTGCACACAGCACAGGGACCCTGGGCCTAGCCCACAAAACCACCTTTTCCTCTTAGGCCTCAAGGCCTGTGATGGGAAGGGCTGCTACAAAGGTCTCTGACATGCCCTGGAGACATCTGCCCCACTGTCTTGGTGATTAACATTCAGCTCCTTGTTACTTATGCAAATTTCTACAGCTGGCTTGAATTTCTACTCAGAAAATTGAATTTTCTTTTCTATCCCATTGTCAGGCTGCAAATTTTCCAAACTTTTATGTTCCATTTCCCTTTTGAAATTGAATGCCTTTAACAGCACCCAAGTCACCTCTTGAATGCTTTGCTGCTTAGAAATTTCTTCCACCAGATACCCTAAATCATCTCTCTCAAGTTCAAAGTTCCACAGATCTCTAGCACAGGGGCAAAATGCTGCCACTCTCTTTGCTAAAGCATAGCAAGAGTCACCCTTATTCCAGTTCCCAACAAATTTCTCATCTTCATCTGAAACAACCTCCGTCTGGACTTCATTGTCTATATCACTAACAGCATTATAGTCAAAGCCATTCAACAAGTCTCTAGGAAGTTCCAAACTTTCCCACATCTTCCTGCTTTCTGAGCCCTCCAAACTGTTCCTCCATCTGCCCATTACCCAGTTCCAAATTCACTTCCACATTCTCGGGTATCTTATAGCAATGCCACACTACCTCGGTACCAATGTACTGTATTAATCCATTGTCATATTGCTAGCAAGAAATATCTGAGACTGGGTAATTTATCAGGAAAGAGGTTTAACTGACTCACAGTTTTACATGGCTGGGAAGGCCTCAGGAAACTTACAATCACAGTGGAAGGGGAAGAGGCAAATCATCTTACATGGCAGCAGGCGAGAGAGAAAATGTGTGTGCAGCAGGAAATGTCAAACACTTATAAAACCATCAGATTTCGTGAGAACTCACTTGCTATCATGAGAACAGCACGGGGGAAACCACCCTCATGATCCAATCACCTCCCACCAGGTCCCACCCCTGACACACAAGGATTACAGGGATTACAATTCAAGATGAGATTTGGGTGGGGACACAGAGCCTAACCATATCACATGGTATAGCAGCATATGAAAGATTCTAAGTTTTTCACTTTTATCAGATTTATTAAATTTTCCCAATCTTATAGCTATATAAATGAAATCATATGGTTGTTTTAACTTGGATTTCTCTGAATACTAATGAGTTAGAGTATTTTTTCAAATGTTTATTATCATCCCTTAGAGAGAAAAATAAAGAGAAGAAAGAGACAGAGAGACAGAGATGGGATGGGGAGAGAAGGGGATGACAGAGATTTGAAGAATGTCAATTACAATTTAAAAAATTTTTAATGGCACTTTTTATTAAATTATTTTCATTTAGATTTCAATATGTTTAAGTAACCAATTTACTGTATTAGTCTGTTTTTACATTGCTGTAAATAAATATCTTTATATGTTTAAGTAACATATTGAAATCTAAAACAATTAAGATTTAAACTACAAAACAATTAAGTAAACTAAATTACACTTTGAATTTGTTCTTCACATTTAAGATGGCGAGCACTATGCGGTGGTTTCTGACAATGATTTTCCATCAAAAACTGATTCAGAAAATTGCAAGCACTTACTCGAAGGCCAGAAATCCTCCTCATGGTAACCTGGCGGTTTGAATCATGGTGTCCAGACATTTGGTTTGGACCCGGAAACATGAAATCTCGTGTATTTTCGTCATACGTAGACAGTGTTTCACCCACTACAAGAAAGATACCCTATGATTCAAATTATAATAAAATATTCTATTTAGAAACAAAATCATCAAGTATGATATATCTACTGCCTGATGCCTTATTGAAATACCTGTTTTGGGTCATGTTTATTTTCTATGAAAGGAAAATTAAAATAAAGATATGTTAAAAATATTAACACATTTTCCTTTTTCAGAAACATACTACAAAAATATGAAGTTGGTCCAACATTTATATGTCAGTTACCATCTCCACATTGGTTTTTGTTTGTTTGTTTTTGAGACAGACTTTTTTTTTTTTGAGATGGAGTTTCACTCTTTTTGCCCAGGCTGGAGTGCAATGGTGCCATCTCAGCTCACTGCAACCTCCACCCCACCCTGGGTTCAAGTGATTCTCCTCCTGCAGCCTCCTGAGTAGCTGGGACTACAGGCATGCGCCACCACACCTAGCTATATATTTTTAGTAGAGATGGGGTTTCAACATGGTGGCCAGGATGGTCTCAATCTCCTGACCTCATGATCTGCCCACCTTGGCCCCACAAAGTGCTGGGATTACAAGCATGAGCCACCGCGCCCAGCCAGCACTCTATTTTTCACATAAAATAAAAATTTGATTAATATAGATGTCATCTATAATCACAGAAATCAATATCAGAAATGAAACTAGCCTCTATATTTTAACTCTGCCTTCTCCAGGGAACTGTAACATTTACTACATAAGTAAGGTTTTATTCTCTTCCCTTCCCTAATAATATGCAACACACAAAAACAATGATAATTAACTACTTTATCAATAAAAATATATAGTTTTAGAAAAATCACAAAAACTTAAAAGTCAATTTTTATGACTGTCACAAAATATTTTAGAATGATAAGTTAGTTTCCATTTTCAATTATTACTATTCAATTTTAGAACAATGTATTAAAGTGACATTTATGACAATCTTTCTGTATATATTATTTTGGTCTACTGACATTTTACACATAGTAGATCAACAATAGAAATCTGACACTGTTCTCAACTTGGGAAGAGGAGGATAGATGAGATTTTTTTTTTGAGACGGAGTCTCGCTCTGTCACCCAGGCTGGAGTGCAATGGCATGATCTTGGCTCACTGCAACCTCTGCCTCCCGGGTTCAAGTGATTCTTCTGTCTCAGCCTCCCGAGTAGTTGGGATTACAGATGCCCACCACCACACCTGGATAATTTTTCTATTTTTAGTAGAGACGGGGTTTCACCATGTTGGTCAGGCTAGTCTTGAACTCCTGACCTCAGGTGATCCGCCTGCCTCAGCCTCCCAAAGTGCTGGGATTGCAGGCATGAGCCACTATGCCCGGCCTGAAAAGATGAGATTTTGAAGTAAAAAAAAATGTCACTCACATGAGTTCCCAAGTCAATTTACTTTATCAGTATATAATACACTATATTATATCCTTATCAAATAATATAGTATAATCAATATATAATATATTATATATTACATCAATTTATGATATCTTATATTGTATATATTACATCAATATATATTACCTGGTGGAACTAGCTGTATCAACTCGAACACTGCTGTATCATCTAAAAGTTTAAAGAAAAATTTCCTTAAATAAACAAATTAATAACAAAAAAATTACTTAATTTACCATGGGAGTGTCTAAAAGCCAAAGTAATCACTAGGTAGACTACATATATGTTTATATATTAGTATATAATGTACACTTCTTTTTTTTTTTTTGAGACAGGGTCTCACTCTGTCGCCAGGCTGGAGTGCAGTGGCGCAATCTTGGCTCACTGCAACCTCCGCCTCCCGGATTCGAGCAATTCCCCTGCCTCAGCCTCCCGAGTAGCTGGGACTACAGGTATGCGCCACCACGCCCGGATACTTTTTTTTTTTTTTTTTTTTGCATTTTAGTAGAAACGAGGTTTCACCATGTTGGCCAGGATGGTCTCGATCTCCTGACCTTGTGATCCACCCACCTCGGCCTTCCAAAGTGCTGGGATTACAGGTGTGAGCCACCGTGCCCAGCCTAATGTATACTTTTATAAATATAAGTTATGTCTATTTCTTAAGCAGAGTGGTGAGTACAGTGAGATACATTGACTCTTGAACAACTTGAGCGTTAGGGGCACCAACACCTGTGCCATCAAAAATCCATGTATAATTTTTGACTTCCCAGAATCTTAACTTGATAGCCTATTGTTGACCAGAAGCATTACTAGGAACATAGTTGATTAGCATATATTTTATGCTATATGTATTACATACTGTATTCTTACAATAAAGTAAGCTAGAGAAAAGAAAATGTTATTAAGAAAATCCTAAGGATGAGAAAACACATTTATGGTACTGTATTTATTTATACCATAAGTTTATATTGTCTGCTTACAAGATAAATTGTCTGTTTGAAACGGAATGCAACCACAGCTGTAGACCTCTATGTATGGTACATATCAAGCAATTCAACTTTTTCTTGTAATGTCATGAGTTTTCTCTGCTTCTTGAGAGCACTTCCAGCATGACTAGTGAAACTTTGTGTGGGTCGCCTGAACTGATGAATTGCTGGAAGCTCAGTGCGGACAAGTGTGAGAGATTAAAACTCCAGAGAAATCCAATCATTGGGCTCTCAAGTTTTTGTTAAGTTTTACTTCCAGGAGTTCTACTAGGTTCTCACTATAAATACTGGAGAAAAATCCCCTCATATTTCCACCAGCAGGGAGAAGAGAAAAGAAACCATTTTGAAGTACGTCAGAGCATTCCATTCTTAACAAAACCTGACCTCAGGAGAAATTCTTTTTTCTACAGCCTCATCTACTGGGCTCATATCAGAGCCTAACCTATCTGAGAGAAAGAAAATACTTAACTCCAGCCAGCTCTGAACTTGACTTGTAGGAAGAAAATAACCCAACTCCAGCTCCCTCTAGCCTTCTATGTGAGAGAAGGGAAATACCCAACTACAGCCATATCTAGCATTCCACACAGGGGAAGGGAAAAACTCACTGCACCTCCCTCCAGCCATCCTGTCCAAACTAAGAGGGGAAAATCAGAAGCACCGGTGAAGGTCACAATTTAGGGGCATAGGCTCACCAAAAGACTGCAACCTGATCATAGGACTGTAGAACACCTCCCTCTCCTCACACCTTACATTACTAAAAGCTCTTTACCACAGTTCTATTCACTCAGTATAGCTTTCAGCAAATAAGTACATACTAAGTACAAATACTTACATAAGGCATACTACACAGCAAAAAAACAGTTTGAAGAGACTGAACAAGCATCAGACCCAGAGTCAGATATGGCAGGAATATTGGAATTACTAAATCATGAATTTTGAAAAACTATAACATGCCATGGGATCTAATGGAAAAAGGAAACAACATGTAAGAACAGCTGGATAATATAAGCAGAAAGAGACAGAAATTCTAAAAAAAAAAAACTGTCAACCTAAATAACAAACAGCAAGAGATTCTTTAAAGAAAATAATATTTATTCAGGAATAGGGCACTGAAATGGGAATAAAGGTGCCATAGTAAACTATATGTGCGTTCAGGGAAGCAAAGGAAGACAAATGGTTTTAAAGGGAATGTGAGGAAAATTACATAATTGTTTTGAAATGATTAGTCTTGGCTACAAGTATCAATAACAAGGGTGATGACAGTCCAAGGTTGGACAGGACGTTGCTGGGCAGATGTGCTCACGCAAGTAGTTTTTGGGTTAGGTTGCGATGGCCTTTGTGCAAGGCTTAGATTTTTGTAGAGTCTTTTATGATAGTTTTGTTATCAGGCATATAAGTGTGAGAATCCTCCCTTCATAGCCTTTCCCCATATTTGTCAGGGGTTTTTTGGTGTTTTTGGTTTTTGTTTTTGTTTTTAACACAGACAACTTGATTTTGATTCTGACAATTTTCACAAATAAAAAAGAAATAGTATAGATTGAAAACACTGTAATGGAAATGAAGAATGCCTTTGATGAACTCACTATTAGATGGGACATGGCTGAAGAAAGAATCTTAAAGCTTAAAGATATGACAACAAAAATTTCCAAAACTGAAAAGCAAACAGAAAAAAAGACTGAAAAAAAAAACCACAACAGAATATTCAAGAACTCTGAGATGACAACAAAAGGTATAAATACACGTGATGAGAATACCAGAAAGAGAAGAAACAGAAAAAAAAAAACACAAAAGTGCCTGAAGCAATAATGAAAACAAATTTCCTTAAATTAATATCAGATGCCAAACCAAAATACAGGAAGGTCAGAGAAGAGCAAGGAGAATAAATGCCCCCCAAAATATCCCTAGGCATGTCATATTCAAACTTCTGAAAATCAAAGACAAAAGAAAACTCTTGCGCCAGGCACGGTGGCTCACACCTATAATCCCAGCACTTTTCAAGGCTGAGGAGCGTGGATTGCTTGAGCTCAGGAGTTCAAGACCAGCCTGGGCAACGTGGCGAAACCCTGTCTCTACAGAAAATACAAAAATTAGCTGGGCATGGTGGCACGCACCTCTAGTCCCAGCTACTCGGGAGGCTGAGGTAGGAGATCACTTGAGCCAGGGAGGTAGAGGTGGCAGTGAACCAAAATCATACCCCTGCACTCCAGCCTGGGTGAAGCAGCGAGACTCTCTCAAAACAAAGTTTGAAAAGAAATGAAAAATCCTGAAAGAAGCCAAAGGGAAAAAATACTGAACCTATAGAAAAGCAAAGATAAGAAATACATCTGACTTGTCTCAGAAACCATTCAAGCAAGAAGAGAGTAGAGTGAAATATCCATATATATATAGATAAAAGGATATATGAGATTTGCTTCAAAATAATGATGTATGAAAAAATCAAATTCCTACAAAAAGAAAACATTTACATAACATATAGGAAAAAGTGAATACTCACATATGTATGTGTGCATGTGTGTGTATATTTATGTATGTGTATATATGTACACACAAATACACACAAATAAATAATATTTTATTTAAAACCTTACAACAAATAAAACACGTAAGCCAGATGACTGCACTGGTGAATTTATTTTCAAAATGCCAGTGATGTGCATACTCCTAGGAAACAGTAAAAGAAAGAATACTTCTCAACTTATTTATGAGCCCTGCAAAATCTTGATACTAAAACCTGACAAGGACCTTATAAGCAAAGAAAAACGACAGGCAATCTATTTCAGGAACAGAGATGCAAAAATCCTAAACAAAATATTATCAACTCAAATCAACTAATATACAAATATGGTTTAATATTAAAAAATAATGCAGCATAATTCACCAAATGAACAGAATAAAAGAGAAAAAAAGGTGTTTCATAAAATTTAACCACTATTTATGCTTTTAAAAAATCTCAGCAAACTAAGACTAGAAGGGACCTTTTTTAATGTGATACAGGCTTTCTACCAAAAACCTATAGCAAACATCATACCAAGTGGTGAAAGTTAAAACTTTCCCTCTGAGATAAAGAGTAAGACATACACTTCATTCATGGCTATCATTTACTTCAACATTTTACTGGAGTTCTGAGCCACTGCAATAAAGCAATAAAAATAAATTAAAAGATTTAACAACAAGAAAAGAGAAACTATGATGTTCATTATTTAAAGACAATGCAAACACAAAATGTTCAAAGTAATCTAAAGACACATTTCTTTTAAATTAACGTATATAGCAAAGTTGCTAAAACAAAGATAATATGCCAAAGTCAAATGTATTTTTATGTAACAGCAACAATTAGAAACAATGTTATAATCTGTTTTTTAAATGTGAAATACCTAGAACAATACTGAATGAAAGATGCTTAGACTGCGACACAGAAAAGTATCTACATTATCATGTATAATTAAAGAAGTTGAAAATTAATAGAGAAATATATATATTTGAGAGACATCAACAAATCACAATGTATGGAATTTATCTGAGTCTCAATTCAAACACAAGACTATTTTAAAAATTATAAAACAGGGAGGCCGGATGAGGTGGCTCATACCTGTAATCCCAGCACTTTGGGAGGCTGAGGTGGGCAGATCACAAGGTCAGGAGTTCGAGTCCAGCCTGGCCAATATGGTGAAACCCTGTCTCTACTACAAATACAAAAAAATTAGCCAGGCATGGTGGCACATGCCTGTAATCCCAGCTACCCAGCTACTTGGGAGGCTGAAGCAGGAGAATCGCTTGAACCTGGGAGACGGAGGTTGCAGTGACCCGAGATCTCACCACTGCACTCCAGCCTGGGCAACAGACAGAGCGAGACTCCATCTCAAAAACAAAAAAACAAAACAAAACAAAAAAACATTTTTGTTTTTTGTTGTTGTTGTTTGGTTTTTTTTGTTTGATTTTGAACAACATCAACATCCATGTGAATGACTCATCCAATAGTTCTCTGACCTCCTCAAAGCCAGGACACCTATGGAAGGATTCTGATTATATAGTTACATACCTGATTCTTCTTTTACTAAAATGGATGTTCTTTTAAACAAAGGGTCTGTATTTTATGCATTTCTTAATTCTCTATATTGTCTTTTAGTAATTGTGTCTGTACAGGTAATTTAAAAACATTTAAACTAATCTTAGTTATTATCATAGATCACTGGATAAGCAACTTTTGCTTAAAAAGACTTTTCTATCAACCCTCAAATAACACAATATATCCTATGAATACATCATGCTTCTTCTAATCTCATTATCAATAAATGGAAGAACAAAAAAGGGAAAATGCTGAAGTGGTACTAATATGAGTTTGGCTTCTATGAAACTTGACTGACCTTACAATAATTATAATGATTAAGCACAAAGCAAAATCCTGTCTTCTAGAAAATATCTGAGCATACAATAAAATTTCATTAGAAATCAAATGAATTTCTGGGCATGGTAGCTCACTCCTATAATCCCAGCACTTTGGGAGGCCAAGTTGGGAGGGTTGCTTGAGCCCCGGAGTTCGAGACCAGCCTGGGCAACATGGCAAGAACCCATCCCTACAAAAAAAAAAAAAAAAAAAAAAAAAAAAAAAAAATTAGCTGGGCCTGGTGGCATGTGCCTGTGGTCCCAGATACTTGGGAGGCTGAGGTAGATCACTTGAGCCTGGGAGGCAGAGGTCACAGTGAGCTGAGACTGCCACCGCACTCCAGCCTGGGCAACAAAACAAGACCCAGAAAAAAGCAAGAAAGCAAGAGAGGAAGGAAGGAAGGAGGGAAGGAAGGAAGAAGGGAAGGAAGGAAGAAGGGAAGGAAGGAAGGAGGGAAGGAGGGAAGGAGGGAGGGAGGGAAAGAGAGAGAGAGGAGAGGAGAGGGGAGGGGAAGGAGAGGGAGGAAGGAAAAGGAGAGAGAAGAAAGGGAAGGAGAAAGAGGAAAGGGAAAGGGAAGGGAAGAAGAAATCAAATGAGTTAAACAATCTTAGGATACGCTCAGTTTCTTAATTTTCCATATATACTAACACTATATTTTTCCTGAGGTCAATTACTCTGCAACCTCAACTATTTGAAAAACATGATTACAAACTAGAAAATACTTTAAAAACAAAAAACTTATGAGTAATCAAAACAGTGGTATTTACTACCATTTAAACAGTATCTTCTGTGTGTCAAGACTAAGCTTCTATTAGCTTCAAACAAATCCTCAAAACAACCCTAACAAGGTAAGTACTACCTCTATTTTACAGATAAAAAACAGAGACTAAAGGCTAATGTTATCAAAGATAACAGTTCCTGACCTCAGGTATTACTGTCTTCAAACCTGTGTTCTTTTCACTAACAACTCGACTAGAACTAGAAAATAGTGATTTACAAAATATACGTGGTATTTGAATGAGGAGTAGAATAAAGAAATAAGACAGTTGCTAGAGGGAGACAAGGATGAAGACAGGAAATATTTCTTTTTAGGGTGGAAATGCACAACATGTTTATATAGGGTAAGAAAGCAGCAACGAGAAAGACACTAAGGAAATGGGGCTTACGGGATACATCTAATGAACAAGCTCCTAGAGATGGCATGAGGAGATAAATAAAGAAGACATGTAAACAGAATAACTTTAAACAGAACAGAGAAACCTCATCCTGTAAGACTGGGCAAAGATAAGTATGGGTAAGGGTAGGTTACTTTTAGGACAGAGCACAATAAACTTAGGCACATCACTACTATTATCTCAATTTTGGTCAGTGAAATGGGAAGTAATCATCTCTTCATCTTAAGAATACTAGAGTTTAAACAAGGGGACACCTGATATGAAAAATGAATATGTTTACAATATCAATGATAGAAATTAAAGAGAAAGTTTTCCAAGAAGTAAAAGGAGTCCAAGGTAGTAATGAGAAGCAATTTATGATGGTACTGATTTGAAGGTCATGAGAATCTATCCATCTGATACTATGAAATATATATTTGGTCTTCATCCCCCTCCAAAGGACTGTCTTTTTGTATGCCAATACTGACTGATAGCTTCAGGATGGGCCTGGTCACTGGAAAGACAAGAGTATGATTAGAGTTGGGACTTGCAGCACCCCCCACAAACTCTAGGAGGAGAGAGGAGTGGAGGGTCAAGTTGATCACCAATGGCCAATGGTTTAAACAATCATGCCTATGTAATGATGCCTCTGTAAAAACCCAAGAAGACAGTTTCTGAATAGCTAGCATGTGGAGGTTCCTGGAGGGTGGCTCATCCAGGGTGGGCATGGAAGCTCCGTGCCCCTTCTACTATACGTCATGCTATATATCTCTTCATCCATATTCTTTATACTAGCCTTTATAATAAACTGGTAAACATAGGTTTAAGTGTTCCTCTGAGCTTCGTAAGCTGCTCTAGCAAATTAGTCAAAGAGAGGATCACGGGAACCCCAACTTCAAGCCAGTCAGGAGGAAGTTCCAGCCTGGACTTGGGCCTGCTGTCTTTAGGGGCTGCAGGATATGAGGGACTAAACCCCTCAATCTGTGGGATCTGACACTATCTCCAAGTAGAAAGGGTCAAAATTAAATTGGAGGACACTCAATTGGTATCTGCTGAAGAAGTTTATTGCTTGCTTGGTGGTGGGGAGAACCCCTACCACTTTGGTCACAGAAGTCTTCTTCTGTGTTGATGATTGTTGTGGTAAAAGAGAATAGAGAAAAACATGGCTTGAAGCAACAACAAACTAACCTAGTATAAGAGCCAGGGAGGCAAGTTGCAGCATTGACCCAGTAATAGACGCTTATTAAGAATCTTCTACATGTTAGCTTTGATGTGACATTTGATATAATGAAATAAATAAGGTAAAATAAGATGTAGAAAGAAAGTTTCACAGCAGAATACTATTGAGCCATGAAAAAGAATGAAATCTTATCATTTGCAATAACATGCATAAACCTAGAGGACATTATGTTAAGTGAAATAAGCACAACACAGAAAGAAAAAATGATGCATTATCTCACTCATTGATGAAATCTAAAAAAAACTATGATATAACAGAAGTAGAGAGCAGGATAGTAATAACCAGAGCTTGGGTAGGTTAAGAGGAAGAGAGGATGAGGAAATACTGATTGATGAGTACAAGATTACAGTTAGATAGGATGGACTAATGCTGGTGATCTATTGCACAGTAGGGTGACCATAGTTATCAACAATGTATGGTATATTTCAAAATGGCTAGAAGAGAGGCCTCTGAATAGTCTCAGCAAAAAGAAACAATAAATGTTTGAGGTGCTAGATATGCCAATTATCCTAATTTGATCATTACACAATGTATAAATGTATTAAAATTTCATATGATGCCCTATATATATGCACAATTATTATGTCAATTAAAAATAAAATAAAACTTGAAAAAAAAAGAAAGCTTCAATGTAACCAACACAAAAAGAACAAATCCTTTTAAGTAGCCATGTTATATTTGATCTCTATCTTATATGTTCAAGGAAAAAGTCAATAAATTCCAAGAACCAGTAGTATTATAAGCCACATCTTATGGTTATATTGCAAACTAATAATATTTTTAAGATCATTAAGCCAATCGTAAATAAATATTTGAAATAGACTGAAAAGACTTAAGACATAATATGAAAGTACAGTAGAATGACTGAATATAAGATAAATATATTTTTGTCACTTTACTATATATCAACCCCACCTTCCCTTAAAAACAGAAAAGAGAAAAAAAGAAAACAAATTGGGTGAAGAATCTTACTCTCAAAAGCAGCAAGAAAAATATAATAGTTAAAAACAAATATAGTCAGAAATATACAGCAAATATACACATACACACAGTCCCCAAAACATTAGTAGTAACAAGCTGGAAGAAAACAAGTTTAAATAAATCAATATTCATCACATATCTGGATGGGAAGAATGGAAATGTAAAAATGGCAATTCTCCCAAAATAAAATTAAAGAGATTTATCTTAGACCTTCAAAAATGATTCAAAGTTCATCTAGAAAAATAAATATGCAGGAATATGAATGTGTGTATCAAATGGAAAGAATATACATCATAGAAAGCTGTAATGCTTAACTATGCATTATCAGTCCAATACAGATTTGGAATAATGAAACAGGCATAATGGGGGGAAAGGAGGATGGGAGAGTATAGAAAGGGTGAGAGAAGAAAATATATTAATGAGAAACAGATTTCTGCTTCTATAATGACAATTTACACAAAGCAGACCAATCATTCTAAAAAGATTAAGAAAATCTGGACAAATTATTTTTTAAAATCTGCCTGTATTCACAGAGATGCTAATAAGGCAGTGACGAATGACAAAGCCAAGATCTGGGAGAAGGCAAAGCCAGGGAGATGAACCAGACATTGAAGCTGCTTTCTCCCTAAGAGCATCTGCTAATTCTGGAAAAGAGAAATGAAAGACTGGAAAAGCTGAGCTGAGATTTTTATGGTCTCACAGACTAGAAGCAGAATATGAGTGCAGGGTCTACCAAGAAGAGGAAGCCTTTATAAAGTCTCTTCAATTTGGATAGGGCCCCCAGAAGACAGGATCATAGGAATAAGGATTAACTCAAAAGAACCTGGTCTTTACAAGGACTGAAGTCCATCTTCAAATAATCTCAATGCCTGACACTGGATTGATATCATCAAGGATTGCTAGTACTACTAGCAACCTACTATAAACAAATAAAAAGCAAACATAAAGCCTATCTGGAGAAAGAGAACAAGATACTACACCTTCAATTATTTTTACAATTTTTCACATACAATGCCACATATTCAAAATTAACCATGAATGGTACAGTTAATTTTGGGGAAGTATTCAGCAATGTCAACTAAAAACAGGCATACGTCTACCCTATGATTCAGAAATTTCACCCATAAGAATATACCAAAAGAACTAAGTATATCTCTTTACCAAAAGATATTTATAAGAATGCTCACAATAGTTTTATTCATAATAATCCAAAATTTAAAACAATTGTCATCAATAGAAAAATGAATGGTAGTATACTCATACAATGTAATACTAAACAGCATTAAAGAATGAACTACTGGGACATAACAACATAGATAATTCTAACAGACACTAGGTTTAGTTAAAAAAATTAAAATAACATATTCAAATAAATACCTATTACATGATTTCATTTATATGAAGTCCAAGAATAAAATTAATCAATGCTGATAAAAAGTCAGAAAAGTAGGCCGGGCATGGTGGCTCACACCTGTAATCCCAGCACTTTGGGAGGCTGAGGCAGGCAGACCACTTGAGGTCAGGAGTTCAAGACCAGCCTGACCAACATGGAGAAACCCCACCTCTACTAAAAATACAAAATTAGCCAGGCATGGTGGTGCATGCTGGTAATCCCAGCTACTCGGGAAGCTGAGGCAGGAGAACTGCTGGAACCCAGGAGGTGGAGGTTGCCTTGAGCAGAGATTGCACCATTGCACTCCAGCCTGGGCAACAAAAGCGAAACTCCATCTCAAAAAGAAAAAAAAAAAAAACAGAAAAATGACTATCCTGGGGAGAGGTATTGACTGGTAGGGGCAAAACAGAACTTTTATTTAATGTTTAATTTTCTTTCTTTCTTTCTTTTTTTTTTTTTTTTTTTGTCACACAGGCTGGAGAGCAATGGCACAATCTCGGCTCACTGCAAACTCCACCTCCCGAATTCAAGTGATTCTCCAGTCTCAGCCTCCCGAGTAGCTGGAATTATAGGCATCCGCCACCATGCCCGGCTAATGTTTGTATTTAGTAGAGATGGGGTTTCCACCATGGTGCCCAGGCTGGTCTCAAACTCCTGACCTCAGGTGATCCGCCTGCCTCAGCCTTCCAAAGTGCTGAGATTACAGGCATGAGCCACTGCATCCTGCTTTAATTATTTTTTAAAATTGTGTAGGTACATACATAGTACATGTATATATTTATGGGGTACATGAGATGTTTTAATACAGACAGCAATGTAAAATAAGCACATCATGAAGAATGGGGTATCCATCTCCTCAAGCATTTATCCTTTGAGTTACAAACAATCCAATTACATTCTTTATTTTAAAATATACAATTAAAGTATTACTGACTATAGTCACCCAATTGTGCTATCAAATAGTAGGTCTTATTCATTCTTTCTCTATTTTTTGTACCCATTAACCATTCCCACCTCCCCATAAACCTGCTACTATCCTTCCCAGCCTCTGGGAGCCATCCTTCTACTCTTATCTCCATGAGTTCAACTGATTTGATTTTTAGATCCTACAAATAAGTGAGAACATGTGATGTTTGTCTTTCTGTGCCTGGCATATTTTACTTAACATAATGATCTACAGTTCCATCCATGTTGTTGCATATGACTGGATCTTATTCTTTCTTACGGTTGAATAATACTCTATTGAGTAAATGTATACTTTATTAATTCATCTGTTGATGGACGCTAAGTCCAAATCTTAGCTACTGTAAACAGTGCTGCAACAAATGTAGAAGTGTAGATATCTCTTTGACATACTGTTAGCCTTTCTTTTGGGTATATACTCAGCAGTGGGATTGCTGGATCATATGGTAACTCTTATTTTTAGTTTTCTGAGGAACCTCCACACTGTTCTCCACAGTGGTTGTACTAATTTACATTCCCAGAAACAGTGTGCAAGGGTTCCCTCTTCTCCACATCCTTACCAGCATTTGTTATTTCTTGTCTTTTGGATAAAAGCCATTTTAACTACGGTGAGACAATAATCACATTGTAGTTTTGATCTGCATTTCTCTGATGATCAATGATGTTGAGCACATTTTCATATGCCAGTCTGCCATTTGTAAGTCTTCTTTTGAAAAATGTCTATTCAATCTTTTGCCCATATTTTGATCAGATTATTAGATATTTTCCTATAGAGTTGTTTGAAGCTCCTTATATATTCTGGTTATTAATCCCTTATCAGAGGGGCAGTTTGTAAATATTTTCTCCCATTCTGTGGGTTGTCTCTTCACTTTGCTGTTTGTATTCTTTGCTGTGCAGAAGCTTTTTAACTTGATGTGATCCCAGTTGTCCACATTTACTTTGGTTACCTGTGCTTGAGGGGTAGTGCTCAAGAAGTCTTTGCCCTGACCCATGTACTGGAGACTTTCCCCAATGTTTTCCTGTAGTAGTTTCATAATTTGAGGTCTTAGATTTAAGTCTTCAATACATTTTGGTTTGGTTTTTGTATATGGTGAGAGATAGGGAACTAGTTTCACTCTTTTGCATATAGATACCCAGTTTCTCCAGTACTATTTATTAAAGAGACTATCTTTCCCCAGTGTTATGTTTTTGACACCTCTGTCAAAAATGAGTTCACTGTAGGTGTATGGATTTGTTTCTGGGTTCTCTGATTCTGTTCCACTGGTCTATGTGTCTGCAGAAGGGAACCTTTTAGATGCTGCAAGTATTTTGTATTTCAGTGAGTGGTGGTTATATGGTTATATACAAATGTCAATAGTCATTGAAGTGTATTCATAAGAGGAGTGTAGTTTGCTTTAGACACTTTAGTATACAAAGACTAGCTAAGGCAATCTTCAAAAAGAAGAATAAACTTGGAGGCTTAAACTACCAGATAGCAAAACTTAAGCTACAGTAATTAAGAAAGTATAATATTTATGCAAGGATGGACAAACAGACCCAAGAAACAGAACAGAATCTAGAAAAAAGTTCCACATGCCTACATGTGCCCTAGCAGGCACTTAATTTATGACAAAATAAACACTATGAAGCAATGGGAATAAGTCTTTTCAACAAATCGTATTGTTTAATTAGAGATTATATATGAATAAAACAAATTTTATCCCTACTTTATACTATATATAAAAATTAAATCCAGGTGGACTATAAATCAAAATGTAAAAGGTAAAAAAAATGCTTCTTGAAGATTATGTAGAATGATATTTTCATAACTGGTGTAAGCAAAGATTTCTTTAAAATGAAAAAAAAACAAGCAGTAGGCACAAAGGAAAATATTAATAAATCAAACTACATTACTAAGTCAGATTGTGTTAAAAATAACTTGCTCATCAAAAGAACAAGAATCGCTAATGGATTAAAAATGTAAGCCACAGAGTGGGACAAGATACTTGAAACATATAACTGGCAAATGGCTTGTAATGAGAAAATGTAGGGAATTCCTACAAATTAATAAGAACAGAACAAACAACCCAATGGAAAAACGGGCAAAAGACAGGCACTTCACAAGGAGAAGGAAGAGTGTATCTAAAGGACCTGGAAAGATAATCCCTAAACAGCCAATACACACATACTAGGAAGCACAGTCAATCAATTTGAAAAAGAGCAGTTGAAACTGGAAAGGGGTTTGTTCATTTCAATAGCAGGTAAATTCAAAAGTTGTACAATAGAGTCTGAAGACGGTAGATTAGTCCTGGTAGCCCATAAGAACTACAGAAACTGACCACCCAGGGTTCCTGTGCAGGATAAAACCCAAGACACTAGGAAAAACTATAGGGAATAGAATAAAACTTGAGCAGGACAAAAATAAAAATATCAGGAAAAAAATGGACTAGCAAAAGTGAAATGGAACAGAGACAGAATACCCTAGAAAGCAAGTCACCACACTTTGAACACTACATACGGAAGCTCTTTGAAGTTAAAATGTTGTCCTGAATCAATCTTCCTTCTAAGAGATAAGAAAAAAAAAATTTTTTTAATTTAAATTCAATTAAAAATGAACAAAGAAAAGGATCAAGGTCAAATATTTTACCAAGTTCTTGTTTAAATAATAATAGGCAAAAGAAGAAAATTCCTACAATGACAGCAGCCAAAAAACATGTTAGCAAAATAGAGCAAAATTATAATCTATTGAAAAATTAAGGAAGTAATACAAGAAACTGAAGAACTACATTAATCAAAATTAGAAAAACATAGATGTAAGATGATATAAATCAGGAAAAAAGTAAAAACAGAGAAAAAAGTCAGTTCAATCTTTTTTTTTTTTAAGAGATAGGGTCTCACTCTGTAACCCAGGCTGGAGTACAGTAGCATAATCATAGCTCACTGTACCCTCAAACTCCTGGGCTCAAGTGATCCTCTGACCTCAGCCTTCTGAGCAGCTGGGACTATAGGCATGTACCATCACAACTGACTAATTTTTAATTTTTTTTGTAGAGATGGGGGTCTCACTATGTTGCCCAGGCTGATCTTCAACTCCCAGCCTCAAGCAATTCTCCAGCCTACGCTTCCCAAAGTGCTGGGATTATATTTATGAGCTACCACACACCCAATCAGAAATCATTTCATAACTGAATATGAATTAAAATAAACAGGAGAGGAAATAATACGACAGATATAATGCCTTAAAATACAAGAAAATGAGAATATTTTAATCAAAAAGAAACCAAAGAATTTTAAATAGCACAGAAAGTAAACACTAAACAGGCAAAATGATCCAAAATACTATAATAGTAGTTCCTAATTAAGAAAATTGAGGCAAAAAAAAAAAAAAAAGAAAATGAATACTACAAACTATCGTTCAGGAAACTTTGCTGAAATGGATACATTATTGCTGTTTTCTATAATAAGACTTATAGAATATATACAACGAATTTAAAGAAAAACAACCTAATTTTATAACCAATTAAAAATGACATAATTTTGATATAAGTAAAAACCAAATTTTAAAAGTTAAGACACTGATATTTACATATACAGGTGACCCTTAAACAACATGGGGGCTAGGGCCATCAAACCCACACACTGTTGAAAACCTCCATATAACTTTTTTTTAACTTAGAGGGTACATGTGCAGGTTTGTTACATGGATAAAAACTGCATGATGCTGAGGTATGGGTTTCTATTAATCATAATTCCATTGCCCAGGTAGTGCACATAGCACCTGTGACAGCTATTAATAGCTTTTCAACCCTTTCCCCTTTCCTTCCCTTCACCTTTTTGAAATCTCCAGTGTTTATTGTTCCCATCTTTGTGTCCATGTATACCCAGTGTTTAGCTCCTACTTGTAAGAGAGAACACACTGTATTTGGTTTTCTGCTTTTGCATTAATTCACTTAGGATAATGGCCTCCAGCTGCATCCATGCTGCTGCAAAAGACATGATTTTATTCTTTCTTGTAGCTCCATGCATATGGAACCATATGCATCTGGCTCCCTAAAAACTTAACTACTAATAGCCTACCACTGACCCAAAGCCTTAATAATAACATAAAAACAGGCCGGGCACAGTGGCTTATGCCTGTAATCCCAGCACTTTGGGAGACTGAGCCAGGCAGATCACCTGAAGTCAGGAATTCGAGACCAGCCTGACCAACATGGAGAAACCCCGTCTCTACCAAAAATACAAAAATAGCTGGGCGTGGTGGCACATGCCTGTAATTCCAGCTACTCTGAAGCCTGAGGCAGGAGAATCGCTGAACCCAGGAGGTGGATGTTGCGGTGAGCTGAGATCATGCCATTGCACTCCAGCCTGGGCAACAAGAGCGAAACTCCGTCTCTAATAATAATAATAACATAAAAACATAGTCAACATGTTTTGTGCATTGCACATATATTATATTAAGAAACTAGGGAAAAACATTAATAAGAAAATCATAAGGGAGAGAAAATATGTTTACTATTTATTAAGTGGAAATATGTATGAACATAAACATATTCATCATGAAGTTCTTCATCCTTGTCTTCACATTGAGCAGGCTGAGGTAAAGGAGGAAGAAGTGGGGGTTGGTCTTGCTGTCTCAGGAGCGGCAGAGACAGAAGAAAATGGATCCAAACAGTTCAAATTCACTTAGTTCACGGTCAACTGTATAGGTGTATATATGTGTGTGTGTGTGTGTGTGTGTGTGTGTGTGTGTATATGTATATATATGTGTGTATATATATGTGTATATATATGTGTGTATATATATATACACGTGTGTGTGTGTGTGTGTGTGTTTGTGTGTGTGTGTGACAGATCTATTTAATAGATCTATTTGATGTAACTATTTTGGAAGACTAGAGTCTATCAAAGGTTTGCAACTTCCAGGGGAAGGCTTCAACTATAAACCGTGATCAATTTCAGTCAATTTCAGCTCTTAGTACAATAACAGCTACCCAACCCTCAAACTCCAACCCACTGCAGGCAGATAAGTACTTTTTTTAGGAGCAACCTGCACACAGGTTTGCCAGGATGGGCAAAAAAAAAAAAATCCTGTCCTCCAAATATTGGAGATTTATACTCTGCTCCCCAATAACAGAGATGCAGATAAAGAGCCTTATGGCCATGTTGTTGCACCTCACCCCATTGTTGCAAGCCCCTCCCAAGGACCAGAATTCTTCTTCCCTCTTTTATTTTTCTTTTTCCCTTTTTGGGAGCCTTAAAGAATAAGACATTGAAAAACAACTGCATATACAGAGAAAATTATAAAGTGACCATACATGCTCAGGGGAAGGCTCCGAAAATACTTAAGGAGACATTACATTTATACTTTAGGCTGATCTTCAACACAAAGACAGCCCATAACAATGAAAAAATCGAAAACAATAACAAAAAACTAGGGAAACAGGAAAAACTAGAGAAGACAAAAAATCTGGATTCCAGAGTTACCACATCATCAGAATCAAATGCCCAGTTTTCAACAAAAAATAATCATAAGGGATAAAAGAAACAAGAAATATGCTGCAGTCAAAGGAAGAAAATAAATCGGCAGAAACTACCTGTGGAAAAGACCTTATGGCAGATACACTAGAAAAAGACTTTAAAATCACTGTCAAAGAGATGCTCAAAAAGAAAAGAAAGATGAAGAGAAGGTCAGAGAAACAATGTATGAACAAAATGGAAATATCAATAAAAATATTTAAAAGGAACCAAAAGAAAATGTTGCAGCTGAAACATACAATAACTAAAATGAAAAATTTACTAGATTGACTCAAAAGAGGATTTCCCCAGGAAGAAGAATGAATCAGTGAACTTGAAGATAGGACAGTACAAATTATTGAGTCTGAGTAACAGAAAGAAAAATAATTGAAGAAAAGTGAGCAGCCTAAGGAATGTGTAGGACACCATCAAAAGGACCAATGGACACACTGGGGAAATCCATGAAGGAGGAAAGAGAGAGAAAGGAGCAAAGAATATATTTAAAGAAACAATGGCTGAAAACTTCTCAAATTTGATGAATGAAATAAATGTAAATATTCAAGAAGCTCAACAAACTCCAAGAAAGATGAATATAAAAGTACCACAATGAGACACATTATAAATTTCTAAAGACAAAGTGAGAATCTTGAAAATAGCACAAAAGACAAGCCACACATCACTTACAAAAGGTCTTCAAAAAGATTATTAGCAGATATCGCATCAGAAACTGGAGGTCAGAAGGCAGTAGGCTCGTATATACAAAATATTTAAAGAAAAAACTAACAAGAATTCTATATCAAGCAAAACTCTCCTTCAAAACTGAAGGAGAAACTATGATGTCCCCCGATAAATAAAAACTGACAAAGTTTATTACCACTAGACCTGTCCTGCAAGAAATGTTTAAGAGAGTCCTAAAGGGTGAAATGAAAGGACCCTAGACAGTAACACAAAGTCATACAAAGAAATAAAGATCTCAATAAAGGTAAATATGCGGGAAGTTATAAAAGCTAGTATTACTATAACAATGGGTTGTAACTCCACATTTTTGTTTGCAATGTATTTTCAAATACTAGTATATTTTTTCAATTATTAGTTTATGTTTTGGAGCACACAAAGTATAAACATGTAATTAGTGTTACAACATAGGTGTGTTAAATGTAATCCTCATGGTAACCACAATGAAAACAGACACAGAATACACACAAAAGGAAATGAGACAGAAACTTAAACAATTCATTACCAAAAATAGCAACTAAACACAAAAGAAGACAGTAATGCAGAAAATGAGTGACAAAAAAGTTGTAAGGCATATAGAAAACCAATAGCAAAATGAAATAAGTCTCTATCAGTAATTACTTTAAATGTAAATGAATTAAAGCATCTCAGCAAAAGACAAAGAATGGTAGAATGGATAAAAACATATGACCTGGGGATATGCTGTCTACAAGGCGCTCATTTTAGGTCTAAAGATGCACACATTTTAAAAGTGAAAGGATGGGAAAAGATATTCCATGCAAAAAGTAACTAAAAGAGAGCAGGGGTGGTTATACTAATATCAGACAAAATAGACTTAAAATCAAAAAAGATTACAAGCAAAAAAGAGCATTACATATTAATAAAAGGTTCAATGTGGCAAAAAGATGTAACAATTGTAAACATTTATACATCTATAAAGAGATCATAAAAATACATGAAACAAAAACTGACAGAATTGAAGAGAGAAACAAATGGTTCTACAATAATAGTAAGACATCAATAACCACTCTAAATAATGGTTAAAACAACCACACAGAAGTTAAGAAAGAAAACAGAGAACCTAAAAAAACACACACACAATAAACCAAATAGCTCTAACAGATATTTACCAAACACTCTACCCACCCACAACAACACACATATTTTTCTCAAGTATATATGGGGTATATATGGGGCATTTTCTAGGATAGACCATATGGTAGACCACAAATTAAATTTTAATAGATTTAGGAAGATGGATATACAAAGTATATTCTCTAACCACAATGGGATAAGGATCAACAACAGAAGTAAACTTGGAAAATTCACCAATTTATGGAAATAAAACAACACACTCTTAAATAATCAATGGATTAAAGAAGAAATCATGAAGGAAATTAGAAAATACTTGGAGATAAATAAAAATGAAAATACAATACCAAAACTTATGGGATACAGGGAAAGCAGTACTAAGAGAGAAATCTACAGCTATCAATGCTTACATTAAAAAATAAGAAAGGGCAGGGTGTAGCGACTCACGCATGTAATCCCAGCACTTTGGGAGGCCAAGGTGGGTGGATTGTTTGAGTTCACGAGCTCGAGACAGCCTGGGCAACATGGTGAAACACTGTCTCTACAAAAAATATGAAAATTAGCTGGGCATGGTGGTGCATGCCTGTAGCCCCAGCTATGTGGGAGCCTGAGGTGGGAGAATGGCTTAAGCCTGGGAGGCAGAGGCTGCAGTGAGCTGAGAACACACCACTGCACTCCAGCCTGGGCAATAGAGCCAGACCTTGTCTCAAAAATAAATAAATAAATAATAAAAAAGACCTCAAATCAACAAACTAACTTTACAATTTAAGGACCTAGAAAAGCATAAAACTCCTAAAAATATATAGAACAAAGGCTTCAGGACACTGGATTTAGCAATGATTTCTTGGATAACACAACCAAGGCAAAAGCAATTTAAAAAAATACACAAATAGGACTCCATGAAAATGTTAAAATTTCGTGCATAAAAAGGCAGTTATCAATGCAGTAAAAAGGCAATCCAAACAATGGGAGAAAACATTTGCAAATAATATATCTGATAAAAAATTACAATCTAGAATACACAGAAAATTCCTAAAACGAAACCAAAAAAAAATTCAAAAATGGGTAAAATACTTAAATAGACATTTCTCCATAGAGGATACATAAATGGCTAATAAGCACAAGAAAAGATGCTCAAGATCACTAATAATTAGGAAAATGCAAATTACAACTAAAATGAGATACCATCTCACACTCATTGAAAGGGCTATCAAAACAACAGAAAACAACAAGTGTTGGTGAGGATGTGAAGAAATTGGAATCCTTGTGCAGTTGAAGAAAATGTAAAATGATACAGCTACAATGGAACAGTATGGTAATTTCTGAAAAAAATTAAAAGTATAATTACCATATGATCCAGCAATTCCACATCTGGATATATATTCAAAAGCATGGAAAGTAGGATCACAAACAGATATCTGTACTCCCATGTTCATAGCAGCATTAGTCACAATAACTAAAACGTGGAAGCAACCCAAGTGTCTATCAACACATGAAGTGATAGGCTAAATGTGATGTATGCATACAATGGAATATCATTCATCTTTAAAAAGAAATGAAATTCTGACACGTTACAACATGGATGAACCTAGAAAACATTACGCTATGTAAAATAAGCCAGTTTTTTAAAAAACACATAAATACAGCATGATTGTGCTTATCTGAGATACTCAGAGTACTCAAAATCATAGAGACAGAAAACAGAATGGTAGTTGCAAGAGACTGCAGGGAGGGGAAAATGGGTGTTATTGTTTAATGGGTATAGTTTCAGTTTTACAAGATGAAAAGAGTTATGGAGCTGCATGGTGGTAATGGGTGCACAACATTATAAATGTATTTAATACCACTAAACTGTATACTTAAAATGATTAAGATAGTAAATTTCATTATGTATGTTTTACTGTAATAAAAATTACTTCAAGGAGAAAGACTATAAATTATTTAAAGAAAAGCTTTATGGAGAACTAATGCTGCTGGAACACAAATATTAAGTTAATGTAAACTACATCTACTGGAACATACAATATAATCTTATTTTGTAACTGTCTACTATCTTATAGCTAAAAATAATTTTCCTTCTTCTTCTGTAAAACTTCTCATTTTCACATGTACTTTTACTGTGAGTTACAAATTAAATGTACTATGATACTCCAGAAATATTATAGCAAAATAGTAAATCAAAAGGCTATAGGAAATAACTTACGTGCCAGACTACTATTAAACCTCTGTACCAGCACAAACAGCTGCTATAATAATTTTTTCTGAATACCTATTTACCTCCCCAAACTATAAAGATAAATTGGTTTGAATATATTTGTTATATAAATCCTTAGTCCTACAAGCTCTCCTGAGGACTGAGCCAGAAATATTCTCATGCACAGACTTAGAGGAATTTATTCTTAGCCTCAAAACTTCACCTGAAATCAGTTTAAAGGGGCTTCAAAAAAGACTTTACCTGATATTCCAGATATCAGGTAAGAACTAATTCCTAGAAACTGAGAAGCAGGAGCTCTAATAAAACTGCTATTTTAGCTCCCTATAGGGAAGAGAAATCAACAGAAACACCCAGTAACATACTGCAATATAAATAAATATCATATCTTCTCTTTATCCAAGTGGTGGAAAAAGGAGACCGAAACAGCTATTCTATTATAAATTTTCAAATACAAAATACATTTCCTAATCACAAGATTGTAACACTACAAACAGGTGTCTTTAAATAGGACAGTTCCAACAGTCATAAAAATGGTAATGAGAGGCAGTTATATGAAGCATTTTATGATATTTTGTTTAACTCCTTGGATATCAAACGCATAGTAGGTGCCAGGCACTATGCACTAGAGATACAGCAGTGAAAGAAAAAAAAAAAAAAAAAAACAGGAAAAATCTCTACTCCTATAAAACTGTTATTCTAGTGAGATAAAAAATTTAAAAATAAATAATATGTCAGTGCTAGAAAGAAAAACAGTAGAACCATTCATTCCATTTGCCCTGAGTGGTACCTTTTCACACATTTTGTTTTGGCAAAAATATTATTAGCATACCCCTTTACTCTCAAAACATACTGGTGTACAAGATACAGATCTAAAGATAATAGAACAGAATTGAGACATTGACCAAAGAGGGGTGCTGTTTTATATATGTTGGTAAGAGAAGGCCTCTCTGATTATGACAAATCTGAGGAGTGACTGGAAATAAGTGAGAGAGCAAGCCATATACACATCTGGAGGAAGAGCTTTTCAGGCAGTACATTTGTGGCAGTATAGTGAGAGAACATCTGTGGTGCACTTACGGGGGTGTGTGTGTGTGTGTGTCTGTAGATGAAAATCTGCAAACCTTCAGTGAAAGAAGATGAAAATCCAGTTTCAACAGAAACTCTATGAAATAGAAAACTTTTTCATTCTCTTTCTTGCCTAAAAGTGGTTCCCAGGGTATACATTAGGCATAACTTATTTTGTTCTGGTAGATTCCAGAATTAAAACCATTTCCTTGAAGAGGAAACCTTCTCTATGAATGTAAAATTGCCCTATTATGGCTTTTAATATCATGGGCATTTAATATAATTGTATTAATTTATGTAATATAATTATATAACTAATTTATTAAATTATAATACATATAGTTAATATATATCTCCCTAGAGCCTGAGGTGATTCTGGGTCCCTGGAGATTCCTTAGAGGGGCATATAGGGTATGAAATAGAATTGGAAAGTTCTATAATAATACTAATGTACTGACACTAATAATACATCACCAATAATAATAAACAAGGAACATTTTAAGTAATTAGTATGTCCAAGTGAGAGGTGAAGCCAGCTGGACTCCCTGGGTCAAGTGGGGACTTGGAGAACTTTTGTGTCTAACTAAAGGATTGTAAATGCACCAAGCAGCACTCTGTAAAAACGCACCAATCAGCGCTGTGTCTAGCTAAAGGATTGTAAATGCACCAATCAGCACTCTGTAAAGACACACCAATCAGCACTCTGTCTAGCTAAAGGACTGCGAATGCACCAATCAGCACTCTAAAATCGCACCAATCAGCACTCTGTGTCTAGCTAAAGGATTGTGAATGCACCAATCAGCACTCTGTAAAAATGCACCAATCAGCACTCTTGGTCTAGCTAAAGCATTGTAAACACACCAATCAGCACTCTGTAAAAACACACCGCTCAGTGCTCTGCATCTAGCTGAAGGATTGTGAATGCATCAAGCAGCACTCTGTAAAAACGCACCAATCAGCACTCTGGGTCTAGCTAAAGGATCGTAAATGCACCAATCAGCACTCTGTAAAAACGCACCGAGAGTTCCAAGCCCACGGCCCCGGTCGCGGCCTCGCCGCCCTCCCGCGCCCCGCACCGGGAGCGGGCCTAGAGCACTCGCCTCGCCCCTCCGCGAGCAGGGCTCTGGCGCCCGCCCCTGTCCGCACCGCTGGCAGCCTGAAGAGAGTCGCTGGCCATGGTCGCTGCTAGGTAGGATATATCTGCATCTTGAAAGGAAGATAAAACAAAAGCCTTCTTTGGAATAGATGGATTTTTGTCACTTTCTGTGTGAACTAAAGTGATTCAATGTCTCTTTTGGATTGCTTCTGCACTTCAAGAACACAAGATGAATCACTCAGACCTGAAAAACAGTCTGAAACCAGTATCCATCAATACTTGGTTGATGAGCCAACCCTTTCCTGGTCACCTCCATCCACTAGAGCCAGTGAAGTACTATGTTCCACCAACGTTTCTCACTACGAGCTCCAAGTAGAAACAGGAAGAGGATTTGACAACTTGACTTCTGTCCATCTTGCATGGCATACTCCCACGGGAACACTGGTAACTATAAAAATTACAAATCTGGAAAACTGCAATGAAGAACGCCTGAAAGCTTTACAGAAAGCCGTGATTCTATCCCACTTTTTCCGGCATCCCAATATTACAACTTACTGGACAGTTTTCACTGTTGGCAGCTGGCTTTGGGTTATTTCTCCATTTATGGCCTATGGTTCAGCAAGTCAACTCTTGAGGACCTGTTTTCCTGAAGGAATGAGTGAAACTTTAATAAGAAACATTATCTTTGGAGCTGTGAGAGGGTTGAACTATCTGTACCAAAATGGCTGTATTCACAGGAGTATTAAAGCCAGCCATATCCTCATTTCTGGTGATGGCCTAGTGACCCTCTCTGGCCTGTCCCATCTGCATAGTTTGGTTAAGCATGGACAGAGGCATAGGGCTGTGTATGATTTCCCACAGTTCAGCACATCAGTGCAGCCGTGGCTGAGTCCAGAACTACTGAGACAGGATTTACATGGGTATAATGTGAAGTCAGATATTTACAGTGTTGGGATTACAGCATGTGAATTAGCCAGTGGGCAGGTGCCTTTCCAGGACATGCATAGAACTCAGATGCTGTTACAGAAACTGAAAGGTCCTCCTTATAGCCCATTGGATATCAGTATTTTCCCTCAATCAGAATCCAGAATGAAAAATTCCCGGTCAGGTGTAGACTCTGGAATTGGAGAAAGTGTGCTTGTCTCCAGTGGAACTCACACAGTAAATAGTGACCGATTACACACACCATCCTCAAAAACTTTCTCTCCTGCCTTCTTTAGCTTGGTACAGCTCTGTTTGCAACAAGATCCTGAGAAAAGGCCATCAGCAAGCAGTTTATTGTCCCATGTTTTCTTCAAACAGATGAAAGAAGAAAGCCAGGATTCAATACTTTCACGGTTGCCTCCTGCTTATAACAAGCCATCAATACCATTGCCTCCAGTGTTACCTTGGACTGAGCCAGAATGTGATTTTCCTGATGAAAAAGACTCATACTTGGAATTCTAGGGCTGCCAAATCATTTCATGTCCTATATACTTGACACTTTCTCCTTGCTGCTTTTTCTTCTGTATTTCTAGGTACAAATACGAGAATTATACTTGAAAATACAGTTGGTGCACTGGAGAATCTATTATTTAAAACCACTCTGTTCAAAGGGGCACCAGTTTGTAGTCCCTCTGTTTTGCACAGAGTACTATGACAAGGAAACATCAGAATTACCAATCTAGCTAGTGTCATTTATTCTGGAATTTTTTTCTAAGCTGTGACTAACTCTTTTTATCTCTCAATATAATTTTTGAGCCAGTTAATTTTTTTCAGTATTTTGCTGTTCCTTGGGAATGAGCCCTCAGAGGACAGTGCTTCCAAGTACATCTTCTTCTCCCAGATTCTCTGGCCTTTTTAATGAGCTATTGTTAAACCAACAGGCTAGTTTATCTTACATCAGACCCTTTTCTGGTAGAGGGAAAATGTTTGTGCTTTCCTTTTTTCTTCTGTTAATACTTATGGTAACACCTAACTGAGCCTCACTCACATTAAATGATTCACTTGAAATATATACAGAAATTGTAATTTGCTTTTTTTTAAAAAAGGGGGCTAAAGTAACACTTTCCTACTTTGTAAATTATAGATCTTAAATTCATGCACCCCGTGGGAGCTCAATAAAGATATACTGAATTGAGAAAAAAAAAAAAACACACCAATCAGCGCTCTGTGTCTAGCTAAAGGTTTGTAAACACACCAATCAGCACTCTGTAAAATGGACCAATCAGTGCTCTGTAAAATGGACCAATCAGAAGGATGTGGGCGGGGACAAATAAAGGAACAAAAGGTGGCCACCCCAGCCAGCAGCGGCAACCCGCTCAGGTCCCCTTCCACGCTGTGGAAGCTTTGTTCTTTTGCTCTTCACAATAAATCTTGCTGCTGCTCACTCTTTGGGTCCATGCCACCTTTAAGAGCTGTAACACTCCCCGCAAAGGTCCACAGCTTCATTCTTGAAGTCAGCAAGACCAAGAACCCACCAGAAGGAACCAACTCTGGACACATCTTGGCAACCACAAAGGGACCATCGCCAAGCAGTGAGTACCATCGGACCCCTTTTGCTTACTATTCTGTCCTATTTTTCCTTAGAATTTGGGGGCTAAATACCAGGCACCTGTTGGCCAGTTAAAAGCGACTAGCGCAGCCGCCGGACTAAAGACCCAGTTGTCAGGCTTTCTGGGAAAGAGCTTTCTAACAACCCCCAACTCTTCAAAGTTGGCAGCACTGGTTTGCTTGGAACCAGCTTCCGCTTTTCCTGTACTTCCAGGCTGAGCCGACGGTCAACAGAGAGGAAAGACATTCAGCTCCAGGGTCCTGACAAAAAGTTGGTTGGCCCTGTAGCCATGATCGGAACTCTCAAAGTTACATCACCCAAGCGAGACTCGCCCATCTATCCTATCTATCCTGACCCTTGCCTCCTGGGTTCTAACGCCTGTCAGACAAACTTCCTCTCGCCTCTTTTCTCCGAGACTAGTCCCGCTTCTAAAAACCACTCCCTGTCTCTGGTGCTTTTCTAGTTTCTCCTATAAGAGTGATTTCTAGTATAAACTTCAGGACTCTGTTATCTTCTTTAGGCACCTGAGCTCACCAATCATAAAGACATAATTTTTGCCCAAAGCCCCATCAGGTGGGGGGGACTATCTGGAATTTTAGGATCCTTCCTCAGACTAGCAGGCCTAACAAAAGCTATTACTGAAACTAGGCTATGGGGAGCCTCAGAAATGATATCCTTCCTATTCATATGATGAGAAATGAGGACAAAAGGCATCACCCTTCCAACCCTGGAGATCCCTTCCCTCCCTCAGGGTATGGCCCTCCACTTCATTTTTGGGGCATAACATCTTTATAAGACAGGAGAAAGGTCCCAATACTAACAAGAGAACACTTAGGACTCTAACAGGTTTTTGAGAATGAGTCAGTAAGAGCCACTAAATCCAATTTTTCTCGGTACTCTTTGTGGTCTAGGAGGACAGGCAAGGGTGCAGGTTTTCAAGAATGCGTCGGTAAGGGCCACTAAATCTGACCTTCCTCAGTCCTCCTTGTGGTCTAAGGAGGAAAACTAGTGTTTCTGCTGCTGCGATGCTGAGCGCAACTTTTCCAATCAGCAGGGTCCAGGGACCATTGCGGGTTCTTGGGCAAGAGGGGTTTCTGCTGCTGCGTCAGTGAGCGCAACTATTCCGATCAGCAGGGTCCAGGGACCATTGCAGGTTCTTGGGCAAGAGTGATTTCTGCTGCTGCATCAGTGAGTGCAACTAGTCCGATCAGCAGGGTCCAGGGACCATTTGGGTTCTTGGGCAAGAAGAGTTTCTGCTGCTGCATCGGTGAGCACAACTATTCCAGTCAGCAGGGTCCAGGGACCGTTGTAGGTTCTTGGGCAAGAGGGGAAAACAAACAAACCAAAACCACCGGCGTTTTTTTCTTTCAGATAGTAAACACTCAGGCATTAACAGGCTCACCCTTGAAATGCATCCTAAGCCATTGGGACAGGCATTAACAGGCTCACCCTTGAAATGCATCCTAAGCCACTGGGACCAATTTGACCCGCAAACCCTGAAAAAGCAGCAGCTTATTTTTTTCTGCACTATGGCCTGGCCCCAATATTCTCTGTCTGATGGGGAAAAAATGACCACCTGAGGAATGTATAAATTAAAATACTATACTACAGTTTGACCTTTTCTGTAAGAGGGAAGGCAAATGGAGTGAAACACCTTATGTCCAAGCTTTCTTTTCATTGAAGGAGAATCCACAACTATGCAAAGCTTGCAATTTACATCCCACAAGAGGACCTCTCAGCTTACCCCCATATCCTAGCCTCCCCATAGCTCCCCTTCCTATTAAAGATAAGCCTCCTCTAATCTCCCCCACCCAGAAGGAAACAAGCAAAGACATCTCCAAGGGACCACAAAAACCCTCTGGCTATCGGTTATGTCCCCTTCAAGCTGTAGGGGGAGGGTAATCTGGCCCAATCCGGGTACATGTCCCCTTCTCCCTCTGATTTACAGCAGATCAAGGCAGACCTGGGGAAGTTTTCAGATGATCCTGATAGGTATACAGATGTCCTACAGGGTCTAGGGCAAACCTTCTATCTCACTTGGAGAGATGTTATACTATTGTTAGATCAAACCCTGGCCTTTAACAAAAAGAATGTGGCTTTAGCTGCAGCCCAAGAGTTTGGAGATACCTGGTATCTTAGTCAAGTAAATGACAGAATGACAGCTGAAGAAAGGGACAAATTCCCTACCAGTCAGCAACCCATCCCCAGTATGAATCCCCACTGGGACGTCGACTCCGATCATGGGGACTGCAATCACAAACATCTGTTGACCTGTGTTCTAGAAGGACTAAGGAAAATTAGGGAAAAGCCCATGAATTATTCAATGATGTCCACCATAACTCAGGGAAAGGAAGAAAATCCTTCTGCCTTCCTCGAGTGGCTATGGGAGGCCTTAAAAAAATATACTGCCCTGTCACCCAACTCACTTGAGGATCAACTGATCCTAAAAGATAAGTTTATTACCCAATCAGTCACAGATATCAGGAGAAAGCTCGAAAAGCGAGCCCTGGGCTCTGAACAAAATCTGGAGGCATTATTAAACCTGGCAACCTTGGTGTTCTATAATAGGGACCAAGAGAACAGGCCAAAAAGGAAAAGAGAGATCAGACAAAGGCCACAGCCTTAGTCATGGCCCTCAGACAAACAAACCTTGGCAGTTCAGAGAGGACAGAAAATGGAGCAGGCCAGTCACCTGGTTGGGCTTGTTACCAGTGTGGTTTGCAAGGACACCGTAAAAAAGATTGTCCAACAAGAAACAAGCTGCCCACCCTGCCATGTCCACTACACCAAGGCAATCACTGGAAGGCACACTGCCCCAGAGGACAAAGGTTCTCTGGGCCAGAAGCCCCCAACCAGATGATCCAACAACAGGACTGAGGGTGCCCAGGGCAAGTGCCAGCTCATGTCATCACCCTCACTGAGCCCCGGGTATGTTTAACCATTGAGGGCCAGGAAATTGACTTCCTGCTGGACACTGGCACAGCTTTCTCAGTGTTAATTTCCTGTCCCGGACAGCTGTCCTCAAGGTCCGTTACCATCCGAGGAATCCTGGGACAGCCTGTAATCAGGTATTTCTCCCACCTCCTCAGTTGTAATTGGGAGACTTTGCTCTTTTCACATGCCTTTCTTGTTATGCCTGAAAGTCCCATACCCTTATTAAGGAGGGACATATTAGCCAAAGCTGGAGCTATTATCTACATGAATATGGGAAACAAGTTACCCATTTGTTGTCCCCTGCTTGAGGAGGGAATCAACCCTGAAGTCTGGGCACTGGAAGGAACAAACTCAAGCTCCAGCCCTAAGCCTTCCCATAGGACAAAACTTCTCTTTACACGTCACAGAGAGGGCAGGAATAGCTCTTGGGGTCCTTACTCAGACTCGTGGGACAACCTCACAACCAGTGGCATACCTAAGTAAGGAAACTGATATAGTAGCAAAACGCTGGCCTCACTGTTTATGGGTAGTTGCAGCGGTGGCCGTCTTAGTGTCAGAGGCTATTAAAATAATACAAGGAAAGGATCTTACTATCTGGACTACTCATAATGTAAATGGCATACTAGGTGCCAAAGGAAGTTTATGGCTATCAGACAACCGCCTGCTTAGATACCAGGAGCTACTCCTTGAGGGACTGGTGTTTCAAATATGCAGGTGTGTGGCCCTCAACCCTGCTACTTTTCTCCCAGAGGATGGGGAACCAATCGAGCATGACTGCCAACAAATTATAGTCCAGACTTACGCTGCCCAAGAGGATCTCTTAGAAGTCCCCTTAGCTAATCATGACCTTAACCTATATAACGATGGAAGTTCATTTGTGGAGAATGGGATACAAAGGGCAGGTTATGCCATAGTTAGTGATGTAACAGTACTTGAAAGTAAGCCTCTTCCCCCAGGGACTGGCGCCCAGTTAGCAGAACTAGTGGCACTTCCCTAAGCCTTAGAACTGGGAAAGGGAAAAAGAATAAAAGTGTACACGGATAGCAAATATCCTTATCTAATCCTACATGCCCATGCTGCAATATGGAAAGAAACGGAGTTCCTAACCACTGGGGGAACCACCATTAAATACCACAAGGAAATCATGGAGTTACTGCATGCAGTGCAAAAACCCAAAGAGGTGGCAGTCTTACACTGCCGAAGCCATCAAAAAAGGGAAGGAGAGAGGAGAACAGCAGCATAAGCGGCTGGCAGAGGCAGGGAAAGACCAGCAGAAAGGAGAGAGAAAGGGACAGAAAGTCAGAGAGACTGAGAGAGAGGAAGAGACAGAGACAAAGAGGGAGTCAGAGAAAGAGAGAGAGAGAGAAAGAGAGAGACAGAAAGTCAAAGAGAGAAAGGAAGAAACAGACAAAGAGGGAGTCAGAAAGAGAGAAAGAGAAAGACAAGTCAAAGAGAAAGAGAGATGGAAGTAGTAAAAAAAAAAAAAAAAAAAAAAAAAAAACAGTGTACCCTATTCCTTTAAAAGCCAGGGTAAATTTAAAACCTATAATGATAATTGAAGGTCTTCTCTGCAACCCTGTAACACTCCAATACCACCTTGTTGTCAGTGTAAACAAGGGCGTAGCCTGAAAGCACTGAGGCCACTGACAACCCATAGCCTTCCTATCAAAAATCCTTAACCCAGCAGGTTTCCTAGCAGGGAATCTAAATCTTAACTAATTACCATACAAAAGTCCAACCAGACCTAGAAGGAACTCCCTTCAGGACAGTTCCTCCCAGGCAATTAAGGAAAAAAGACACAATGGTATTCAGTAAGTGATAAGGAAGCAGACTTAGGAAAATCGCCTAACAATTGGTCTGCTCCAACGTGCCACTTGTTGGCACTCAGCCAAACCTTAAAGTACTTACAGAATCAGGAGGGAGCCATCCATACCACTTCTAAGTGAATATGGACTGAACGAGGTTTTATTAATAGCAAAGAAAAATTAAAATCCCAAACTTAGAAGGTTTTCAACGAAAGTAAAGTTTGCTAAAAGTTAACAGTGTAACACGTATTATCCTACCTTCAAATCTTATAGAAATCAGACCCTATCAGTGCCCCACAAAGCTCAAGTCTGTCAGCACAGGGCCATACAACTAATATCCCTACTTATAGGGTTAGAAATGGCCACTGCTACAGGAACCAGAAAAGCAGGTTTATCTACTTCATTATCCTCCTACCACACACTCTCAAAGGATTTCTCAGACAGTTTGCAAGAAATAACAAAATCTATCCAGTAAGGATACAATCCCAAATACACTCTTTGGCAGCAGTGACTCTCCAAAACTGCCAAGGCCTAGACCTCCTCACTGCTGAGAAAGGAGGACTTTGCACCTTCTTAGGGGAAGAGTGCTGCTTTTACACTAACCAGTCAGGGATAGTATGAGATGCCACCCGGCGTTTACAGGAAAAGGCTTCTGAAATCAGACAACGCCTGTCAAACTCTTATAACAACCTCTGGAGTTGGGCGACATGACTTCTTCCCTTTCTAGGTCCCGTGACAGCCATCTTGCTATTACTCGCCTTCAGGCCCTGTATTTTTAACCTCCTTGTCAAATTTGTTTCCTCTAGGATCCAGGCCATCAAGCTACAGATGGTCTTACAAATGGAACCCCAAATGAGCTCAACCAACAACTTCTACCGAGGACCCCTGGACCGACCCACTGGCCTTTTGACTGGCCTAAAGAGCTTCCCTCTGGAGGACACTACAACTGCAGGGTCCTTTCTTCACCCCATCCAGCAGGAAGTAGCTAGAGCAGTCATCGCCCAATTCCCAATAGGAGTTGGGTTGTCCTGTTTAGAGAGGGGACTGAGAGGTGAAGCCAGCTGGATTTCCTGGGTCAAGTGGGGACTTGGAGAACTTTTGTGTCTAGCTAAAGGATTGTAAATGCACCAAGCAGCACTCTGTAAAAACGCACCAATCAGCGCTCTATGTATAGCTAAAGGATTGTAAATGCACCAATCAGCACTCTGTAAAAACACACCAATCAGCACTCTGTCTACCAAAAGGATTGTGAATGCACCAATCAGCACTCTGTAAAAACGCACCAATCAGCACTCTGGGTCCAGCTGAAGGACTGTAAATGCACCAATCAGCACTCTTTAAAAATGCACCAATCAGCACTCTGTAAAAACGCACCAATCAGCACTGAGTCTAGCTAAAGGACTGTAAATGCACCAATCGGCACTCTGTAAAAACATACCAATCAGCGCTCTGTGTCTAGCTAAAGGTTTGTAAACACACCAATCAGCACTCTGTAAAACGGACCAATCAGCACTCTGTAAAATGGACCAATCAGCACTCTGTAACATGGACCAAACAGAAGGACATAGGCGGGGACAAATAAGAGAATAAAAGCTGGCCAACCCAGCCAGCAGCAGCAACCCGCTCAGGTCCCCTTCCATGCTGTGGAAGCTTTGTTCTTTCATTCTTCACAATAAATCTTGCTGCTGCTCACTCTTTCGGTCCGTGCCACCTTTAAGAGCTGTTAACACTCACCACGAAGGTCTGCAGCTTCATTCTTGAAGTCAGCGAGACCAAGAACCCACCAGAAGAAACCAACTCCAGACACACAAGGACTGTCAGAATCATTTGATCTGGGGTTACTCAAGGATCTGACCATTTATAGGCTTTCCAGTTAAAGGGGTGCTAGGGTCCCCTTGACAATCTGGAGCATGTTCAATTTGTTTTTTAATAACATTTTTAATTAATAAATTTTTGATTTTAGGCAGACAGATAAGCATATATTAGTTTTGTATTTTAGACAATAGGAAATGTATATATGACTCAATTCCAGTACTAGAATAGGTAGCTGAAAATTCTAGAAGATTCCACATTGGTTCAATAATTTTCCTTACTTGAAATTCTTCTCTTTGCTTCCACTGACATACAGCCAAACTGATTATTTTGGCTTGACTTTATATTTTATTTAAATGGGTTATTTCTGTCATTTCTGCTATCATTCTGTGTTTAAATTTAAAGGCTCAGTACTATGGAGACACATTGTAGGAACATCTATGAGGTGCTGCCAGGGCATCTATTCCCCTCCTTTCCCCTTCCATTACAGATCTACGTAGTTCTTAAAAAGCTAACACATGGCTGGGCGTGGTGGCTCACGCCTGTAATCCCAGCACTTTGGGAGGCCAAGGCGGGTGAATCACGAGGTCAGATCGAGACCATCCTGGCTAACATGGTAAAACCCCGTCTCTACTAAAAATACAAAAAATTAGCCGGGCGTGGTGGCAGGCGCCTGTAGTCCCAGCTACTCGGGAGGCTGAGGCAGGAGAATGGCGTGAACCCAGGAGGCGGAGCTTGCAGTGAGCCGAGATCACGCCGCTGCACTCCAGACTGGGAGAGAGAGTGAGACTCTGTCTCAAAAAAAAAAAAAAAAAAAAAAAAAAAAGCTAACACATGTACCACCTGAACGAAAGGTAGAACATGTGTACATAGGCTATGCCAACAGCATACTACATCCCCTTTTCTACTTTGATTAGAATAAACCTCAAGACTTGATGAAAAGTATGGAACACAGACCTCTTATTTATTCTTAAGGATATGGTGGGGAAGATGTGAGGCCTGAGACCACTGCAATTTTGCTACTATAAATTTTGCTGCCATAAATTAGGTTAAGATTCAAGAAAATATAACAATTATAAATGTATAAGCAATCAAGACCGAGCCTCAAAATAAATACATCACGCTAGGTCCAATTAGGAGAGAGAAGCCACATAGGAAAAGTTTAATATAAAGAACAGTTAACTAAAACAGGGTATTCAAGGAGGAAGAGACTGTCAAGGAAGATGTAAAAAGAATTTAAAATAATATAGGAATAGCAGGTAGAAAAGCAGCCATTACCCCTAGGGCTCAGAGTACCAACAAAGAAACTCTACATAAGCCCTCTTCCCCAGTGTTGAGATCAGACCTTGTTGGAGAGGGTACAGTCTGGGCTCACTGAAAAAGAAATCACTCTACTGCCGTGCCAGTGGTATATACTGAAAATCTGCCCTCTGGAACTTGCCAGAAATTCTCCCTCTAGGATAGCAGGGAGGCTATTTACGGGGAGGTATTTCATCAGAAGCTTCACTATAGAACCATCCAAAGAGAGGCCAGCTGGGGAAAAACACTGCAGACCACCATGTATTGCAATACCTGGCCACTTGAGAAGCTACAAGGGCTTCAGAAGCCTGGTGCTGGAAAAAGTCAAATGAATACATTGGTACCTGGAAGCAAAATCTGTTCCCCTGCAGTATTTCTTCAGGGTCCTCTAATATACAAAGCTTCAGTGCCAGGTAGAGAAAAAAAATTTAAGGGTTTAAGTCAATTTCCACAGAACAGGAAAGAAGATTGAATTTGGTTAGGTGCAATAAATTGATAACCATCAGATTATATGAAGCAAAACCTGATATTAATGAAAGAAGAAATAATTCAATAATTATAATTAGACATTTAAATACCTTTCTCTTAGTAATCAGTAAAACAACCAACCCTCCCAAAAGAATACAATCAGAATGCACAAGACTTGAACATTATCAACTTAAATGACAGAAATAGATTGACATAGATTAACACAATCAATGACAGCAAAATACAGTTGACCTTGAACCACATGTTTGAACTGCATAGGTCCATTTATACACGAATTTTCTTCTACCTCTGCTACCACTGAGACGCGAGACCAACCTCTTCTCTTTCTCTTCCTCCTCAGCCTGCTAACATGAGGATGATGATGAAGACTTTTATGATGAACTTCTACTTAATGAAGAGTAAATATATTTTCTTTTTTCATGGTTTTCTTAATAACATTTGCTTTTCTCTAGCTTACTTTATTATAAGAATATAGTATATAATATAACAAAAAATATGTTAATTGACTGCTTATGTTATTGGTAACGCTTCTGGTCAAGAATAGGTTATTAGTAGGTAAGCTTTTGGGGGAGTCAAAAGTTATACGTGGCCAGGCACGGTGGCTCATGCCTGTAATCCCAGCACTTTGTGAGGCCAAGGTGGGCGGATCACCTGAGGTCAGGAGTTCCAGACAAGACTGGGCAACATTGTGAAACCCCATGTCTACTAAAAATACAAAAATTAGCCGGGCATGGTGTCACGCACCTGTAGTCCCAGCCACTCAGGAGGCTGAGGCAGGAGAATCACTTGAACCTGAGAGATGGAGCTTGCAGTGAGCCAACATCGCACCACTGTACTCCGGCCTTGGTGACAGGGTGAGACTCCATCTCAAAACAAAAAAACATTATACATGAATTTTCGATTACATGGGGAGACGGCACCCCTAACTCCCATCTTGTTCAAAGGTCAACTGCACACAATCTTTTCAAGTGCACTGGAACATCCTCAAGATCATAGGATAGGCCACAAACAAGTCTCAATAAATGTAAAAAAGTTAAAATCCTACAAATTATGTTCTCTCACCACAACAGAATTAAATTAGAATTAACTTTAGAAAGAAATATAGGAAATCCCCAAATATTTGGAAATAAGTTATTTCAAAAGAACCCATGGTCAAAGAAGAAATCAAACCAAAAAAATTAGACAATATCTTAAAATTAATGGTAACAAAAAATAACATCAAAACTCATGAAATAGGGCAAAGTCAGTGGGAAGATGGAAATTTACACCTTTAAAAGCTTGTATTAAGCTTTGCACATTGGCAGTATCGCAGCCAATGAGATTTATCCAAGGCATGATTATTGCTAATAAAAAGCTTATATTAGGAAAAAATATCTGTAATCAATCATCTATGCTTCCATCTCAAGAAGCTGCCAGCCTGGGCAAAATGGTAAAACCCCATCTCTACAAAAAAATAAAAAAAATTAGCTGGCATGGTGGCACATGCCTGTGGTCCCAGCTACTTGGGAGGCTAAGGTGGAAAAATCGCTTGAACCTAGGATGTAGAGGCTGCAGTCGGCCATGTTCATGCTACTGTACTCCAGCCTGGGTGACAGAGGAAGATCCTGTCTCAAAAAAAAAAAAAAAGGAGAAGCTGAAAAAGGAAGAGCAAAGCATAGGCAAAGTAGGTACAGGTTGAATATCCCTAATCCAAAAACATGAAATCTGAAATGTCCCAAAATCTAAAACTTTTTGAATGCTGACATTATGCCACAAGTGGAAAATTCCACACTTAACGTCATATGATGGGTCACAGTCAAAATGCAGGCACACAACAAACAAGTTTATTCAGTGTCCCCACAGGAAAAAAAAAAAAAAAGACGTTCTCCATCCCCATCAGCTGCAATATATCTTTTCTGAGCACACCCATATTCCCAGCACATATCCACATACTCATACCAACATGGTTCATAATTGCCCAAAACATAATTGCCCAAAACAGTCCAAATGTCCATCAAATAGTCAATAGTCAATGTGGAAGGGAAACATTCCATACAACAGAATACTATTCAGCAATAAAAAGGAATGAACTACTTAGATGTGGAACAACATGAATGATTCTGAAAAACATTACTCTAAATGAAAAGAAGCCAGAGAAAAAAGATTACATATTATATAACTCTTTAGATGAAATTTCTAGAAATGGCAAATATAGAGACAGAAAATACATTGGTTTCTGGGGACTGGGAGGTGGGCACAGGGACTGACTGCAAATAGGTATCAGGGACTTTTTGGGGTGGTAGAGACATTCTAAATTAGAAAATGATGATGATACACAATTGTATAAATTTTCTAGAAATCATTTAACTATAGTTACTTACAATGGGTGAATTTTATGATATATAAATTATACCTCACTAAAGCTGTTAAATAAAGTAAGGGAAGGAGGGAATGAAGGATTTGCCCTGCCTTTCTTCTAGGAACTATATTTCAAAGTAACAAAATTGCTGATTAGGAAAATTTCTTCTATAGAAAAATTCTAGCTAATAAATACAAAAGAATGACAATATTAGAAAAATAGTAATGTGCAACCCCTAAGGAAAAAATGGATCTCAAGGGATACTACAGCTATTAGATGAAAAGCTGATGGGCGCCTTATAATGGAGGAATCAGGCTGATGCTGCCTGGAGCCAAATTATCATTCTTAGCATCACTAAACGTAAAACAATCAGATATTTTATGCAACTTGACATAATGCTGTTAAGTACACAGCACCAACTATGAAGATTTCTTGCCAAAGTAACAAAATAAGCCAGAATCTAATCAAACCTCTATGTCTAATTATCAGTTTATAAAACAAGTAATAAACAATCCAAACAACATTTTAAGGAAGCAATCAGCCAAACCCAAACTGTATGACATGCTAAATGAGCTAGTTTTTCTAACAAATCCACAGTATTAAAAACAAAAAAGGTAGGACACTACTATAGGAAAAAAGAGAGAAATCGACATATATGGTGTGTGAACCACACCTTGATTGGATCCTGATTTTAACAAATCGATTGCAAAAAGACACTTTGAGGATAACTAGGGAAATCTGAATTATGACTGTTTGATCTTATTAAGAAATTACTGATTTTGTTAGGTGTGATACCAGCATGGTGGTTCTGTATTTTTTAAAGCCTTTATCTGTTAGAGGCCATACCAAAGTATTTGTGGTGAAATGACATAATGCATAGAATTTGCTTTTAAATATTCCAGCAATGCTCTTCAGGTGGCAGAGTGAACATGTAATAAGATTGGCAAAATGTCAAAAAATATTGAAGCTGGGTGACAGATACACAGGACTTCATCACATTCTATTCTCTCCACTGTTAGTGTGGGTATTATAAACTCGCTCATTTTTTTTTTAATTAAGGAACTGAAAAAGACTGCAAAACAGTACAGTAAGGGAGGAGTAAAAGACAAAAGAGCCCAAAGCACATTAGAGAGGTCAGGGATAAAGACTAACATGGAAGTAATTGGAGGATAGGTAATACATGAAGCCAAGTCTTTGGAGAGTATTATATAAGGAGAGACCATAAACAAAGTATAAAAAGAGATCAGAGAAGAAAGCCAGTGAAATATTAATATTTGAAGATAGGGCAGAGAAAGATGAATTTAAAAAGGGTACCAAAAAATGGAATACTAGTGGTTGGGAAGAGAGCCCAAGAAAAAAAAAAAAAAATCAGGGAAATCAAAGAAAGAAAATTTCCAAAAAATAATAACCACTAAGTACTCTTCTTATAGCCTCAAAATTTCAAATCAAATGGGACAAAAAAGGCATTGTTTTTTAACAGAAGAATTTCAAAATGAGAGAAATGTGTATCTTCATTTTTTTCTAAGATACACAATTTCCCAGATACTGAACAAGATGTTCAGTAAATATTAAAATTCATATATCCATTAGCACCACACTGCCACCTAGCTAGTCTGCAACAGTGGAAAATATAACACCAAGGGCTAGAACAGCTATACAAAATAAATAAGATATTGACATTGGCCATAAAGAGTTATTTGGAGAAGAGTCACTAAACTATAAGCTCCATGAGACAGACAATGGGCCAGACTCTTCTTCCCTCTAATACTCAGATTCTTGCATGTTCCAGGCTACATGTTTCTACATTGCTGAAGTCGCAATGGGGCCAGCAGGGGAGGCCAAATGGAAAGGAAAGTTAATAATGATTATGCTCAATTTTACTGGCCTTTTGAGCCACATTTATACATTAGATCAATCTGTTGATCCCAGAGCCCTTTCAAATTACAAAGATAAATTAACGGAGCTTTTCATTTAACACTCAGAGCTTAAAAAGTGTACACTTTTGCATTGCTGCTCTCACAAATAGTTGTATCTTTTTATAGTTATTCTAAGTAGTTTGAAGAATTTACTTGTTATGCAGAGCCTTGAAAAAATGTGTTTTTCAAATAATTTATTAATGTAATGAATGCAATGTAAAGTGCAAAAGCATATATTTTAAGCTACCATTACTTTGATCTGTTATTCACTCTCTTGACTTGAAATACACTGAAGTAGAAGACATATTTCTGTTTGCAGGGGAAAATCTCAACTAACATAAATTTCTGTCACTATATCACAAACACCCCATATCATTTTAATCAATAAAAAGCTTAAATAAGTCTCTGTTTTCCACAGACCAAACACACAAAAAAAGAAAGAATTCTCAGCCTCTCTGCAGCATATATATCTTTTATTATTTCCAGGAATATTCTGAAATTCTAAAAAGTATTAAAAAGTCTCAGCTCAAGATTTTTAAAGTTCTACTAACCCCTTTTAAACTTTTATTTAACCCAAGATTAAAGATCATAAGGATAATAAATCCTAAAATGTCTTAGAATCAGGAATTAAAAAGTTAAAAAACTTACATTCAAGCTGTGTAACCACATCTCCAGGATCTACTGCGTCCGGGAACACCTATAGTGAGACGATACAGGGAGAGGCAGGAAGGAAGATATATATTTTTTTTCTCCCTTCATCCCCAAAATATCATTCCTTTCACAATCACAGAAACTTTTGACATTATTGAGAACTGTCAGTTCCTCTCTCCTTCCCATCACTACAAAAGATTCTACAAATAACCTTTATAGCTTGTGCTGCCTCCGTCTCCAACTTCCTCTGCTAGCATTCTTCCTCTTGTTACCATGATCATACCAGGCCTTCTTGGTGTTCCTCCAACCCATCAAGATTATTTTCAACTACAAGCCTTTATATTTGTTTTTCCTCTGCTTAAAATGCTCTTCTCCTAGACCTTCAAATAAGAGTAATATAGTCTCATAATTCAGGCTCAGCTTAAATGTTATTGCCTTCTCTGACCACCTTTTAAAATAGACAATCCCCCAAATCCCCTTACCCGCCCATTATTCTCTTCATGCACTTACCACTATCTAAAATTATTCACATATTTATTTGGTTATTGTCTGTTTCCCCCATTACAATGAAAGCTCCCAGAGGGGAGGATTTTCCCTTGTTTACCATGTGTCCTCAGTGCCTAGAAAAGTCCACAGAATAGAGTAGGTTCTGGAGAAAAAGAAGAAAAGAAAGACGGAAAAAGGGAAGGAAGGAAGGCGAGAAGGAAGGAAAGAAAGTGAGAAAGAAGGAAATTAAAAAGTAAGAAACACAATTGGTCATAATTAACCAAAAGCTGCAAAGACTTATAGGAAGAAGTACCAAGAAACAGTCATAAGTAAAATATCATATATTCTTTTTTTTTTTTTTTAGATGGAGTCTTGTTCTGTCACCCAGGCTGGAGTGCAGTGGCGCTATCTCCTCTCACTACAACCTCCACCTCCCAGGTTCAAGCAATTCTCCTGCCTCAGCCTCCCGAGTAAGTGGGATTATAGGCAGGTGCCACCACAGCTGGCTATTTTTTGTATTTTTAGAACAGACAGGGTTTCCCCATGTTGACCAGACTGGTCTCGAACTCCTGACCTCAGGTGATCCACCCGCCTCGGCCTCCCAAAGTGCTGGGATTGCAGGCATGAGCCACCGCACACGGCTGATATATTCTTATCTATTAATGACTTTGCTCTCTTTTAATGAAAATCATTATTTAGAAATCAAGATTCTATGTTACATAAAGTCCACTAAATCAATTTTAGGAATAAGCTAATCAAGGGAAAAAAGGCAACTGATTCAATGCATATTTAATGCAAATTTTCAAGCTTCCAGGCTTAGGTTACAAATGTCCTTTTGAATTAAACCAAAGCACACAGTCAGCAGTAATAATTTGTGTTATAGGCTTTTATTCAAAAATTGGAACCACTTTGATGTTTTGTTTGTTAATACTTGATCTGATATTTGAACTCACCTTTTCAAACACCATTCTGGCATTGAAGACCAGGGGAAAAGTGGCTGGGACACATTGTGTCTTTTTGTATTGGCCAAACACACAGATGCTAAGATAGATGTCCTCTTTGTCTTTAAGCACGACTCCTGGGCAAGTTACCTGAAAGAAATTAGATAAAATGGATGTAACTGCTTTATAAATTCCCTGAACTATCCTACTAAAATAACTTATCAAATATTACATAAAAACATTAGTCTGGTAATCTAATAAAAAATACTCACAAATAAAGAGAGAGAGACAGAGACTAGTGTTTACAGAGTTAAATGAAATGCTTTTATAACTTCCATCCCTCTGAGAAAACTACAATTTTCCATTTGGTTACTTGTGCCACATTTGAAGTTCTATGTACTAGCTCTTGGGACAGACACTAATAGTTTTAAACAGTCAGCCTGAGGCTCCCACTTTATGCTGAATGCTGACATAAAGTTATTCAGCATCATTTAATCACAAAGGATTAACACTCAGCAGAAATAAAACACTATATTATAGAATTTTAAAAAACGCTGATAAAAACCACAAATCTGACTTCTATCACCCAAAATCACAGTCCATAGATACCTTCATCAAAAGTCATATGACAAAGTTTCAAAGCTAATAAAATGAAAGTTTCTAGCCCAATAAAGTACTTTTTACTTTAACTTATTTAGTTATATAGTTAAGTGCATATACCTTAACTGTCTGTTTCCCCCATTACAACGAAAGCTCCCAGAGGGGAGGATTTTCCCTTGTTTACCATGTGTCCTCAGTGCCTAGAACAGTCCACAGAATAGAGTAGGTTCTGGAGAAAAAGTAGAAAAGAAAGAAGGAAAAAGGGAAGGAAGGAAGGTGAGAAGGAAGGAAAAAAAGTGAGAAAGAAGGAAATTAAAAAGTAAGAAACACAATTGGTCATAATTAACCAAAAGCTGCAGTTTTAGGGGGAAAAAAAAGACAGAAAGAAGTACCAAGAAACAGTCATAAGTAAAATATCATATATTCTTTTTTTTTTTTTTTAGATGGGGTCTCGCTCTGTCACCCAGGCTGGAGTGCACTTATATAGTTAAGTGCATATTAAATTGCACTTAACTATCCTCATTGTGATTGACAGGAAATATAGGCAAAAAAATGTGTGGTTATTAAATAACACATAGCACAGTCTCTCCAGTACCTACCATATTCTATTGCCAGTGATCAACTACACCCTCAGCAGGATATTAAAGGCTCTCTAAGATTTGAGTACAATATAATATTACCCAACACTCCCAACAACACATTCAAAGTATATTTTTTATTGTTCTCTTTTCTTGACTCATGTTCTTTCATCATTGTATAATGTAACATAATATAATACAACGTAAGGAGCAGTAACTCCTTACTACTCCATTCCATCTCCTCCTCATTTATTCCTACCACCTGCCAAGACATACATCAATGAACATCTCCTACACCAAATTTCTCTTGATTCACCATTATTCAAGTCAACCTAATTCAAACATTTATTATGAACTTACTATATGCAAGTAAGTATGTCTTAAATTTCTGTAGCATTTTGTAATTATGGTACAAATCATTGTGTACATGCATTTTAATTAAGAGGGTACATATCACCTCTTGATCATAAATTTCCTGAGGACAGAAATTTTCTTTTCCTCATCATTGTATCCAAAGATACAGACTTTCAGTATTAAGAAAAAGCATAGAGATTATCTAGTCTAGCTTTGAGTTTTTTATATGTGAAATAAACGGAGCCCCGGGAAAGTTAAAGTGATCTACTAACTTAAGGTCACAAAGTAAATGAGTCATAAGATTAAATAAGTTAATATATTCAAAGTGCTTACAGCAGTGCTTGACAGAACATTCATTAATACTATCACAATTATTAGATTAAAAACCATATAACCTGCCATCTTACCACACTATTACGTTGAATAAATGACAAATACTTCACATCCTTTTGTACATACTAATTATCTTCTCTGCCAGCTATTTGACTCCATCTCCCTCTTACTCTATGTTCCCCTTTTGCTCTAATATATTCCCAATTGATCATTAAAACCAGGGTCCTCAACAAATCTCATTCTGTCCATAAGGTTCATTTCTTGCTTTGCCTCATTAAAACTAAAATCGTCTTAGATTCCCTCTAAATCTGTGCTGTCCAAAATGGTAGGCACTAGCCAATTACGCCCAGAGATACAACTAGTCTAACTTAAGAAGGGCTGTAAGTGTAAAATATGAAATGGGTTTTTAAGACTCAGTAAAAAAAATCTGTAAAACATTTCATTAATAACTGTTATATTAATTGCATGTTGAAAGGATATTTTGAATACATTGATTTAAATAAAACATATTATTACTTTTGACTACCTCTTTAACTTTTTTTTTTTTTTTGAGACAGTGTCTCACTCTGTCTGTCGTCCAGGCTGCAGTACAGTGGCACGGTCTAGGCTCACTGCAAGCTCCGCCTCCCAGGTTCCCGCCATTCTCCTACCTCAGCCTCAAGTAGCTGGGACTACAGGCACCCGCCACCACACCAGGCTAATTTTTTGTATTTTTAATGGAGACGGGGTTTCACCGTGTTAGCCAGGACGGTCTCAATCTCCTGACCTTGTGATCTGCCCATGTCGGCCTCCCAAAGTGCTGGGATTACAGGCATGAGCCACCGCACCTGGCCTACTACTTTAACTTTTTTAAATGTAGCTATTAGAAAATTTAACATTACATCCTTGCCTCAAATTTGAGGCTCTTATATTTTTTCTGGACAGTACTGCTCTAATTGTCCTCATTGGAAACTGCTGAAGCTCTATCCAATTTGTAACATATGCAAGAAGGCATTGTTTTTTTCATCTACAATTCTACAAATTCTGCTATCTCTTAAAAAAACACCCAGCAGCTTTCCAAAAAGAAAGCCAGAAAAGGGAGGTTAAAAGAAATCAGATGGGACAAACAGAAAATACCTAGCAAGGTGGTTGACTTAAATCACCTTGGCAAGCTATGACATAGACTTGGCAATTTAGAAGAGCATGCACATGTGCAAAGCTGTTCATGTGCCGAGAAATGACCTGAGAAAGCCATAACCCTTCACCTCTGGCTGACCTTGGGGCTTTGAGAAAGTTGGAAGTGAAGGCTAAGGCAGAGTTGCAAATGGCACCAGGGCACAGAAAGCATACCCCAACATATACACAGAGAACCCTGACAATGGCTGAAAGACCTCTTGGTTCAAACATTTAAGGAAATAGAAGGCCACTCTTTAGGAGAACATAAAGCTAATTGAGCAAAGCCATCAGTGGCTACACATGACAAAGATTACAGATTTTACAAAGTTAGTTCAGGAAATTAATTAAACAAACAAAAAACAATAATACCAGACAATAACAAATTCAGGAGAAAGGGAGGGAGCTCTGATTTACACAGTCCCACATAATTTAAAAAGTCTAATTTTCAACAAAAATTGCAACATGCAAAGAAATAGAAAGCACAGCCTATACATGGGGGAAAAAAAAAAGAGCAGTCAATAAAAACTGTCCCTGAGGAAGCCCAGAAGTTGGGCTTACTAAACAAAGATCTGAAATCTATTGTAAATAATACAAAGAACTAAAGGAAATCTTGTCTAATGATCTAAATGAAAGTATGGCAATGCTGTCTCATCAAATAAGAAATATCAATAAAGAGATAAAAATTTTTAACAGAACCAAATAAAAATTCTAGAGTTAAAAAAGTGCCAAAATTAAATTAAAAATTCACTAGAGAAGTTCAAGAGGAGATATGAGCTGTCGGAAAAAGAATAAGGGAACCTGAAAATACGTCAATTAAAATTATCCAGTCTGATTAACAGAAGGAAAAATGAACAGAGTTTCAGACCTGTGGGATACCACCAAGCACAGTAAAATAAATAGAATGAGAGCCTCAGAAAGGATATCACAAGAAATAATATATGAAATCTTCTGATGTTTAAAGAAAACCAATAAAAGAATCCAACAAGATCAAAGAAATCAAGGGAGGATAACTTGAGGCCAGGAGTTCAAGACCAGCCTGGGCAACATAGTGAGAGCCTCTCTCTACAGAAAAAAAAAATTTAAAACTTTTTAAAAGATCACAGAACTCCAACCTGTGCACCTAATAAACTTTCAACAGAAGATAATCTATCCAGGCATGGTGGCTCACGCCTGGAATCCCAGCACTCTGGGAGGCCCACATGAGTGGATCTCCTGAGGTCAGGAGTTCGAGACCAGCTTGGCCAACATGGCGAAACCCCATCTCTACTAAAAACACAAAAATTAGCTGGGCATGGTGGCACATGCCTGTAATCCCAGCTACTCAAGAGGCTGAGGCAGAAGAATTGCTTGAACCAGGGAGGCAGAGGTTGCAGTGAGACAAGATCACACCACTGCACTCCAGCCTGGGCAACAGAGCAAGACTCCATCTCAAAAAAGAAAAAAAGAAAAAAAGAAGATAATCCAATGAACTCTCAAGAAGAGAGAATCTTGAAAACAGCAAGATAGAAGTGATTCAGCAGGCATCAATAATCTTCAGTAAGATTAACGGCTGATTTCTCATCAGAAACATGAAGCCAGTAGGCAGAGTGATAACTGACTCAAAGTGCTAACAGAAGAAAACTTTCAAACAATAATTCAATACCCACAAAAATTTTCTTTCAAAAAGGAAGTAAAACTAAGTGATTCCCAAATAAACAAATGAGATAGCTCATCACTAGCAGAACTTCCCTATCAAAAATACTTAAAGAGAATCTTTCAGGTTGAACTGAAAGGATACTAGACATAGGCTCATATCCACATTAAGAAGAAAAAAGAGCACCAGTAAATGAAACTATATAAATATAAAAACAGTGTAAATGCATTTTTCTCTTATTTCTCCTATTTTATTTCAAGACAATTACAGAAAGCAATAATTATAAAACTGTGCTGGTGTACTTATATTTATAAAAATGTAATTTGTATGACAATAATATAAAGGAAGGGAGGGAGAATAGAACAAAATAGAAGAAAGGTTTTCTGTAATAGTGAAAATAAGTTAGTATTAATCCATACTAGATTATAAATTAAGATGCTAATTGTAAACCCCAGACAAGCACTAAGAAAGTAACTTTAAAACTACAGCTTAAAAAAAAGAAAATGTAAGTGGCACACTAAAAAATAATTAACACAAAAAAAGCAATAGTGGAAGAATAGACAAAATAGTCACAGAAAACAAAAGACAAAATGACACAAGTAAATCTTATCTGTGGTTACATTAAAGATAAATTGACTAAACACTCCAACCAAAAGGTATAGATTGGCAGAATGGATTCAAAACTATGATCCAACTATTTTTTGGCCATAAAAAGAAATAAACTACTATTACGTGCTACAACATGGATGAACCTTAAAAGCATTATGTTAAGTGAAAAAAGTTTTAAAAGCACAAGGCCAGATGTAGCCACTCTTTTTGCTGTCTTTTTTGCTGACTGTCAGTGGGCAGAGTATCCAGGACTTCTTTTCCCAGAGGCAACCCTGTCTGCTCATTTTTGGCTGTCTACTCTAACAAACTGATTAATGGATAGGCAAAATATGGTATGTCCATACAATGAAATATTATTCACCATAAAAAGAAAGAAAGTACTGATACGTGCTACAAGAGGGATGAACCTTAAAAGCATTATGCTAAGTAAAAAAAAGTAAGATACAAAAGGCCACATATTGTTTGATTCCATTTATAGAAATGTCCAGTATAGGCAAATCTACAGATACGGGAATTAGATCCAGGGGCTGGTGGGAGAGGGATAATAGGGAATGACTACTAACAGATACAGGATTTTTTTATATGGTGATGAAAATGTTCTGAAATTAGTAGTGATTTTTGCACAACTTTGTGAATATACTAAAATTTACTAAATTGTACACTTTAAAAGGGAACATTTCAGTCAGGCCTGGTGGCTCACACCTGTAATCCCAGCACTTTGGGAGGATGAGGCAGGTGGATCATGAGGTCCGGAGTTTGAGACCAGCCTGGCCAACATAGTGAAAACCCATCTCTACTAAAAATAGAAAAAATTAACTGGGCGTGGTGGCAGGCACCTGTAATCCTAGCTACTCGGGAGGCTGAGGCAGGAGAACTGCTTGAACCCAGGAGGTGGTGGTCGCAGTGAGACAAGATCGCACCACTGCACACCAGCCTAGGCAACACTGCGAGACTCCATATCAAAAAAAAAAAAAAAAAAAAAGAACGTTTCATGGGATGTGAATAATATTGCAACTTCAAAAAGATAAAGACTAATAAAAGTGAAATGAGGGAAAAGATCTATCATCTAATTACTAATCATAAAAGCTGGGGTAGTTATGTTAATATGACATAAAGTAGACTTCAGAAAGAGAAAAATCACCAAGGATAAAGTGGAACATTTCATATTGATTAAAAGTTTGATTTACTAACACAATCAAATTAAATTAAATATAATAGCATCTAATTATACAGTGTCAAAGTAAATAAAGCAAAAAATTACACATTTGAATTTCAGTACTTCCCTTTCAATAACTAACAAAAATAAGCAGTCAAGTAATCATTAAAGATATAGAAGATATAAGCAATATTTACTAATTTGACCTAAATGACATTTACAGAGTACTTCATCCAACAACAGAAGGATACACGTATTTTTTTCCAAGGGCACATAAAAACATTCACCATGATAGATGATACTGTGAGTCATAAAACAAGTCTCAATCAACATAAAAGGACATAAATTTTTTTAAAAAATCATGCAGAGTATATTCTCTAACCAGAATGAAATTAAACTAGAAATCAGTAATGGGAAAATATCTGAAAAAAATACCTAAATATTTGGAAATTAAATAACAGGGTCCTAAATCACTCATAGGTCAAAGAAGAAATTATAAGACAAATTAGAAAAAAACTTCCAACTGAATAAAAGTGAAAACACAACGTATCAAAATTTGTGGGATGTAATTAAGTCATTTTTTTTTTAAGATATGAGGTGTTGCTCTGTTGCCCAGGCTAGAATGCAGTGGCATGATCATAGCTCACTGCAGCCTCAAACTCCTGGGCTCCAGGAATCCTCTCACCTCAACCTCCCAAGTGGCTAAGACTACAAGCAGGTGCCACCATGCCTGCCTAATTTTTTTTTTCAGAGATGGGGTCTCACTATGTTGCCCAAACTGGTCTCAAACTCCTAGGCTCAAGTGATCCTCCCACCGCAGCCTCACAAAGCACTGGGATTACAAGCATGTGCCACTGCACCAGGCTTATTAAATCACTTCTAAAAGGTATATTACAGCATTAAATCTTCGAAATTCTTTTAATTAATTTTCTGTTTGGAAAAAAAGCATTTGACAAAATTTAAGCCTCATTCATAATAAATGTTCTCAGCAAACTCAGAAGGAAATTTCCTCAACTGAAAAAGAATATCTATGCAAAAGCCTAAATCTGATATCAAACATACTTGACACTGAAAGACCGAATAATTGCCCCTAATATCAGCAAAAAGTTAAGAATGTCCACTCTCAACACCTCTATACCACAATGCACCATAGGTTCCAGCCAGTGCAGAAGGACAAGAAAAAGATATTTGGAAATGAAAGAAATAAAAGGCACACAGTTTGAAAAGGAAGAAGTAAAACAATGTATTTTCAAACATCTTAGTTGTGACCTATTGCAAAATGTGCTACTAGAAATAATAGGGAAATTTCACAGTCACAAAATATAAAGTCAATATATACCGGTAAGAATGAAAATTGGCAGATATTTAAAAAGAGAGACTAAATGAGAATTTTGGAAAATTTAGTCAATTAAGTTAAAAATCCCAGAACAGGAGATAAATTTTAAATTATTAAGTACAAATTTAATATTGAAGAATTATCTAAAAACAATAAGTTTTTTTTTTAATGTTAAAAAAAAAGCATTTAGGAGCCTCTCTGAACCTGTTCTGGTTCAAGGGCTGCCTGATAAATTTAAAGAATAATAAATAAAGCTCTTAAGAAACACTGAGAATAGATAAAAGTTCCAATACATATCTAATAGTACTGCCAGAAGGTAAGACAGGAGAGAACAGCAGAAAAACAATACTCAAAAATATGATAGCTTTTTTCATGTGTCTTTTGGCTACATAAATGTCTTCTTTTGAGAAGTGTCTGTTCATATCCTTTGCCCACTTTTTGATGGGGTTGTTTGTTTTTTTCTTGTAAATTTGTTTGAGTTCATTGTAGATTCTGGATATTAGCCCTTTGTCAGATGAGTAGGTTGCGAAAATTTTCTCCCGTTTTGTAGGTTGCCTGTTTACTCTGATGGTAGTTTCTTTTGCTGTGCAGAAGCTCTTTAGTTTAATTAGATCCCATTTGTCAATTTTGGCTTTTGTTGCCATTGCTTTTGGTGTTTTAGACATAAAGTCCTTGCCCATGCCTATGTCCTGAATGGTAATGCCTAGGTTTTCTTCTAGGGTTTTTATGGTTTTAGGTCTAACATTTAAGTCTTTAATCCATCTTGAATTAATTTTTGTATAAGCTGTAAGGAAGGGATCCAGTTTCAGCTTTCTACATATGGCTAGCCAATTTTCCCAGCACCATTTATTAAATAGGGAATCCTTTCCTCTGGCCATCAGAGAAATGCAAATCAAAACCACAATGAGATACCATCTCACACCAGTTAGAATGGCAATCATTAAAAAGTCAGGAAACAACAGGTGCTACAGAGGATGTGGAGAAATAAGAACACTTTTACACTGTTGGTGGGACTGTAAACTAGTTCAACCATTGTGGATGTCAGTGTGGCGATTCCTCAGGGATCTAGAACTAGAAATACCATTTGACCCAGCCATCCCATTACTGGGTATATACCCAAAGGACTATAAACCATGCTGCTGTAAAGACACATGCACACGTATGTTTATTGCGGCACTATTCACAATAGCACAGACTTGGAACCAACCCAAATGTCCAACAGTGACAGACTGGATTAAGAAAATGTGGCACATATACACCGTGGCATACTATGCAGCCATAAAAAATGATGAGTTCATGTCCTTTGTAGGGACATGGATGAAATTGGAAATCATCATTCTCAGTAAACTATCGCAAGGACAAAAAACCAAACACCGCATGTTCTCACTCATAGATGGGAATTGAACAATGAGAACACATGGACACAGGAAGGGGAACATCACACTCTGGGGACTGTTGTGGGGTGGGGGGAGCGGGGAGGGATAGCATTAGGAGACATACCTAATGCTAAATGACGAGTTAATGGGTGCAGCACACCAGCATGGCACATGTATACATATGTAACAAACCGGCCCATTGTGCACATGTACCCTAAAACTTAAAGTACAATAATAACAAAAAATAAAAAATAATATGATAGCTAAGAATTTTCAAGAACTACAGAAAACCTTAAATTCTGAAGTGGAAAGCATACACCCAGTGCAAAACAGAATAAACAAATAAATCCACAGCTCTATACATCACAGTGTACTGAAATACATCAAGGATAAAGTGAAAATACATAATCATAGTGAAGATTTTAATACCTCTCCATTACAAATGGGTAGATCATGCAGACAAAAAATTTAATATGGAATTGAATTTCAGAGTAAGTAAGATTGGTGTGATAATGACAGATAGAGCCATACATCCAACAAATGAGATTATATATTATTTTAAGCAAGTAGAGAGCATTTACAACAATTGGATAAGTATCAGGACACAAAGGAAATAACAAACATAATAACATAGAGACCTTGTTCACTAGCTATGATGGTTAATTTTATGTATCTACTTCACTGGGTTAAGGGATACGTGAGTAGCTGGTAAACATTATTTCTTGGTGTGTCTGTGAGGATGTTTCCATAAGAGATTAGTATTTGAATCAGCAGATTGAGTAACAAAGACCACCCTCACCAATGTGGGCAGGGATTATACCATCTGTTGAGTGCAAGGATAGAACAAAAGGTCAGATTAAGGGCAAATGTGCTCTCTCTCCTTGAGCTCGGACATCCATCTTTTCCTGCCCTGGGATAACAGAACTGCAGGTTCTCAACCCCTCAGACTCCAAGACTTACACCTGGTTCTCAGGCCTTTGTACTCAGATTGAATTACATCACCAAGCTTCCCTGGTTCTGCAGCTTGCAGACAGCTTGCAGGCAGCATATCATGGGACTGCAAAGCCGTCATCAAGTGAGCCAATCCCCATAATAAATTCCCTATTAAATAACTATATAGTATATCCTATTGGTTCTGTTTTTCTGGAGAACCCTAATACATGACCCCAATGCAATTCATTAAAATACCACAATAAAAGATAATATATATGTATATGTGTAGGTATGTATGTGTATAGGTAGGGGGGAGAGTATGAGTATGGGAGAGTGTTACACACACGTAAATCTTATGCATCTTGGAATTAAAACAAATCCTAGATAGTTCATAAGCTAAAGTAGAAATCATAATAAAAATTATAAAATATTTAGAGCCAAATGATTTTAAAACATTATCAATAGCTTTGAGATGCCAGTTAAACAGCAACTGGAAGCAAATCAAGTGCCTTAAAGGCAGATATTACAATGAGAAAAAATATTGCAAATTGCAGAGAAGTGGTAAATACAAAATTCAGGATACCGATTGGCCAAAAAGAAGAAGGAAAAAGGGATTTTATTAGGCAGAGATTTACAGGATGCTTCACCTGGATGGGTACACAGGTGTTCATTAAATGTTACTCTATAACTTCCTATATGTCTGAAATATTTCAAAATAAATGTTTTAAAAATAAGTGAAAAAAAGTAGTTGACTCATAAAGCTAAAATCTCTCTACAAATACAAATAAAAGATCCTAAATAAAAAATTAGCCAACCAAATCCAGCAAAATAGAGTAAAAACTGTACATCCTGACTTAAAAGAACTTATTACAGGAATAGGAATAGTTCAACATCAAAAAGTGTCATTTTTTTACAGACTATGAAAGCATTATTATATAATAATTTCACTGGATTAAAAAAAAACATCCCAAATAACTCAACATTCAGGATTTTTTAAAATTAGAATAGAAGGGAACTGCACTAACTCAATAAATGAAAACCCTACAGCCAATATTCTATTAGGTTCAACTACATTTGAAATGGCTGAGGTTTTTTTAAGCCAAAAAAATGGCCCATTATCAGCGATTTCATAGGATTTGGTCTAATGATGGTGAGACTTCAGAAGCATAATTTAAAATTAGAAAAAACGACAAAGATACCTACTTTGTTATCCCTAACATTAAACACTATACTAGAAATTCTAGCCATCAACATAAAGACAAGGCAAACAAAACAAAACAAAACAAAACAAAGGATTGTACTGCAAAAGTCAAAACTGTCTATTTTCAAACAACGTCATTTTCCACATAAAAAATACAACTATTGAAATAATGTTATTTCATGTTATTTAATGTTGCATCCAAAATTAAAATATAAAATGTGCAACAAAGATATATACAAGAATGCTCATAGGAGCACAATTTGTAATATCCCCAAACTAGAAACAATGAGAATGTCCATCAACAATAGGAAGAATAAATAGTGTTATATTCATTTAAGAAGGGAAAAAAGGGCTATTGCCTCATAAACCACAAGGATAAACTCCCACAAATTGGTTAGACATAAAAGAATTCAGACCATACAAAATAGACAGATCATAGATAGATATAGCTAGATTTCAAAACTTCAAAATATATTGTAAGAGAAGTCAAGATGTGGTTACCTTTGGGAGAGGAACAGGGGTAGGTGAAGTGGCGGGAGGGAGACAGCCCAATGGAGCAATCTGGGGTTCTGATAATATTCTAATTATTGGTGATTATACATTTACGATTTGTGTACTTTATGAATATATGCTATAGTTCCATAAAAAACTTAATTTAAAAAATCAATAACGCAATAAATATATACAAGTTTGTCAAGTAAAATAATCATTTTAAAAATCAATAGCATTCTTTGTTTACCAGAAACGAAAAAATTAGAAAATGAAAAACATGCAGTACTAAAAAGAGCAAAAACAAAGTAAAATATAAACTTCAACTAGACGATCTTTGAAAATTCCATTACACATAACCAATAAAGGTTTAGTATCCAAAATATATTTAACAAGAAGAAGAAAACAAGAATACACTTTTAAAGGACAAAGGATATTGGTAGTCACAGAAAAGGAAACCTCTAGGATCCAAGATTGGAGTTAAGCAGCCACAATCCAAGGAATGCCTGGAACCATCAAAAACTAGAAGAGGCAGGAAAGATTCTCCCCTAAAGCTTTTGAAAGGAGCACCGTTCTGCTGACACTTTTATTTTGTACTCTGGCCTCCAGAAATGTGAGGGAATAAATTTCTGTTGTTTTAAGCAACTACGTTTGTGATAATTTGTTATGACAGTCCTAGGAAACTAACCGGATACCCTGAGACTCAATAGTTCCATTTCTAGATCTACTCCCTAGAGCACTGGGTCACCATTCTATAAGACCCAAAATCATCCTTTTACAGAAAATATTTTCAACTTACCTATACATATAACTAAACAATAAACCAATATCCTAATTAAAGTTTGAAAAAATACAGAAATACTTTATAAGAAAATACATATTTCTAACATGTAAATGCTTGGGCAAGACTACACTGGAAGATATATTTGCACCTATACACAGAATCTATGTGAAATGGGCAGTTTCAAACGTGAGATGATAAACATCCCACACTAGCAACTCAAACACCACAAGCAGCATTGCCTCTGGTGCCATGATTTTCCAAAAAAAGTAAACTCTTAGCAGAGCACCAAACCCAACAAAGTGTACTCTTTCCTCAATTTACATGGCAATTGCATTACTGTAAAATGCGTTTTAAAAACCTTTTAAAAAGACTTTGTGTTTATAAATAAACAGATAATTGATTATCAACTGCTATTATGTTATTAACCTCCAGTAATTATAAACAGGTTTTTCATCTACATATTCAATGAGACATTCAAGTCATGCAGGATACCGAACAATTAATACCACAGGACTCCCCAACCACTGTGACAAACAAAAGTAGTCTAGTCAATTTGTAAAATGCTCCCTAGGGCACACAATACACCCCTGAGAACAACAGACACAATGATACTAGGAAATATGTGCAAATATATTCATTGAAACATTGTTTTGAATAATAAAAAGCATTAACTACTAGTATTTAATAAAAAGTCCATTAAGAGAGGAACAAAAATTATATCACTGTTAATATAAACATATACCATTTTATACTAATGAAGGAAATGAACTAGACCTGCAAGAATCAACACTGAAAAATCTCAAAAACAGTGAATCAGAAAAAGCAGGTTGCAGAAGGATACATACAAGTAAGATACTATTTGTGCAAAATTTAAAAACAAAACTACAGCATAGGTTATACACAGACATACACAAATACTTAGTAATAAGTACAAAAATCTGAACAAACAATACACTACAACTTCAGGATATTAGTTATTTTAAGGAAGGTAGGGAGGAAAAAGTGGTCAGGAAGAGGTAAAAGGTACAGAGGAGGCCTCACCTACATGCAACATTATATTTCTTAAAAACAAAAATCTGCAGCAAACATGTAAAATTTATCATTTGTTAAATGGGGGGTGGGGCATCAAAGGATTCAGTTTTTTTTTTCTATAAATTTGAACTATTTTATAGTTAAAATTTTTTAAAGTCTATATTCCAGCGAAATTTACCACCAACTGTGGCTTAACTGTGACTGAGACACTACCTACAGTAACCTGGATAAGGATCACAAAGATAAATATTCAGATGAGTAGTGACTGAAAGAAGCCAGATCTGTCTGCCACAGTGCTATCATTAGTTTCAGTTAGGTAATGAGATGAAGTGAGAATTACATGCAATCCCAAATTGACACTATTACTTTACCTCCAATATCTTCCATTTTCCCAAATAAGCTCATAAAAATTGAAATATTAAATATAAAAAGAAGGTAAAGAGATAAAGCAGCAATAATACTTCTTCCCATCAAAGACAAAAGTTTTAAAGATTTAAAATGTAAGTGATGGAAAATATAATTCTTTTGATGCTCTTTAAAAACAAGTTACTTAGCATACTATGTCATTCTCCAAAGACTCATTGAGAAAAGTCACTTTCCTCTTAGCAATATATTTTCTCTCATGTCATATGGCTCTGTTGGGCAACATAAAATGTTGTGTGACACATCCAAACCTTTCTATGTTTTTACTTTCATATTACTAAAGTATTACACAGATGAGATTACCACTAACACAAAACTTCAGCAAAAAGTAAGCATGGAAGGGGTAGAGAAGAATGAGATTGCAACTTTCAACAGGCAATCAAAGATAACACCTAGTTTCCAGTTTATAGTAATTGGGAAAAAACTGAATGTCACCACAAAAAGAAGAAAAAATCAGGCAATAATACAACATGAACTATTCTGTAACCGAGCCAAGTATGTTCAAAAGGTAATGTCCACAAAAAGATTTTTACAAGAATGAATATTCATAATAGTATTATCCAATAATAACCATAACCTGGCAACAACCCAAACAACCATCAACAAGAGAATGGATAGCATCAGAGTAAAAAGCTTCTACACAGCAAAGGAAACCACTAACAGTAAACATACAGAATGGAGAAAATCTGATAAGCGGTTAATATCCAAAATATGTAAGGACCCAAACTCAATAGCAAGAAAACAAAAAACCTAATTTTAAAAATGGGCAAGAGGTCTGACTAGATATCTCAAATGGCCAACAGGTGTATGAAAAGGTGCTTACCATCTCTAATCATCAGGGAAATGCAAATCAAAAATATAATAAGATATGCCCTCGCACATGTTAGAACGACTACTATAATAAATTCAAAAAATTGTAAGTGTTGGAAAGAATGTGGAGAAAGGGGAACCCTTGTACACCGTTGGTAGAAATGTAAATTAGAAGAGCCATTACAAAAAGCATATTTCCTCAAATAATTTAAAAAAAGAAAAATTTCCTCAAATAATTAAAAAATAGAACTACCATATAATCCAGCAATCTCACTTCTGGGTATGTATCCAAAGGAAATTAGTATATGGAAGAGATCTGCACTCTCATATTCATTGCTGCATTATTCACCATACTCATGATATGGAAGCAACCTAAGTGTCCATCAACGAATGAATGGATAAAGAAAATGTGGTAGGTGTGTGTGTGAGGGGGTGTGTGTGTACACTATTCCGATTTCTATCACTATGGATTACTTTGCCAGTACTTAAACTTCACATTGGAGCCACATAGTATGTGATATTTAGTATCTGACTTCTTTTGCTCAGCATGTTCTTGAGATTCATCCATGTTGTTGGTTCTATCAGTAGTACCTTTGAATTGTGGAGTAGTATTCTATTGTATGTGTATACTACAATATATTTATCCATTCTTTTTTGTCAAAACTTACATATATTTACACTGTACAAAGTGATGTTTTGCTACAGGTATGTACACTGTGAAATGATTAATTCAAGCTAATTAACATTTCCATCATCTCCTATACTTATTTCTCTCTGGAAAGCAGTTCTGTCTGGAATGGACCTGAAAGGGGAACAAGGGAATTGCGAGGGGTGATGGAAGTGTTCCAAATCTTGATCTGGGTGATGGTGACATGAGTGTATGAATTGACCAAAACCAACTGAGGAAAAAAAAGGAACATTGTGGGAATAAAAAAAAAATAGAACTGCTCTATATTAAAATGAACTACAAAGACCTATCAATCAAATGATTAAAGGTAATATATAAACCTTGACTGGATCCCGGTTTGAAAAAGTTAACTATGGAACTCATGTTTGGGACAACCAGAAAAACTTGAATATGAACTAAATATTAAGAATTTCTCACCAATTATCTTAGGTGTAATAATGGTGTTGGGGTTATACAGAACAATCTCCTTATTTTTTAATTTTATTTACGTATGTATTTATTTAAGAGACAGGGTCTCACTGTGTTGCCCAGGCTGGAGTGCAGGGCTACTCACAGGTGTGCTCACAGCATACTACAGCTTCAAACTCCTGGGCTCAGGTAATCCTCCTGCCTCAGTCCCCTGAGTAGCTGGAACTACAGGTGCCTGTCATCATACCCAGCTAATATCCTTATTTTTAGAAGACACATGCTGAAGTACTTACAGGTGGAGTATCATTATGTCAATTTATTTTCAATTTTTAGCAAAAAAATAAAAAATTTATACATAAACATACACATACATATAGACAAATCAAATTAATGTACATGGTCATGGGTTACAGTTATTCATTGAACTATTCTTCTAAGTACTCTGTATGTTTGAAAAATTTCATTTAAAAAGTTGGGGAGAAAGATGCCAGTTTTAATAGATACAGAGTGATCTCCAGGACATACTGAACGAAGAAAAGCAAAGGTACAGAATAGTTTATACGCTACCTATTTCATAAAAACAAATATCTATTTATATATATATATATATATATATATATGTTGTGTGGTATGTGAGAGAGAGTTTGTGTATCTGTTTATATCAAAACCAGTGAAAATGGTTAAAGCAGATGAGTATAGGTGGGAAATAGTTTTGAGCCTGGAAGCAACACTTCTCTGAGTATATCATGTTATAGTCTTGAACTTGAACCATGTAAATGTAAAAAGGAAATAGACAAGAAAGGAACTAAAATCAAAATGAAGATGTTAAAAATATCTAGGGTCATATAACCTTTCTATTCAATCAAAGCCAAATTAATCAATCAATCAAACATGTTTAACTTTTACGTCTGCTAGTGGGGTTTTTTTTGTGGGGGGGGCGGTCAGGGGCGTTGTTTGTTTGCTCCTTCTGAGCATCAGAGCCATTTTAAAAGGCTTTTGTTGTTCAAAAATTCGGGAACATTTTGCACATCTGCTTCTAAACAGTTGTGCAATCCTAGATAAATAATAGCCATGCTGAGCATCGATTTTCTTGGCTGTAAAAAGGGATTGAATCCAATGATTTCCATCTAAGATGTCTCGGAACTATAAAATTCTGTGACTTAAATGTTTGTTGGGGAAAAATATTATTTCCACCATCATAGTTTTCTTTAGCTCTGATAAGTAACAAAGCTCCGTTATACAGTGAATTACACAGTCATTCACTTTTCTGCAATACAACTAATACTCAGGAGAAATGTAGCTATTCCTCCGACTCCTTCAAGCAGTAATCAGTTACAACAGAGTACTTCCTCTTAGAAAGTTTGTATTGGCAACGTTAGGGAAGCTGCAGCCAGCCAGTCAGGCAGCTGCGCTCACCAGACTGCTAAACACCATTAGTTGGCAGGAGGAGGAAGAAGCCAGTAACAAAATCTATTAAGGCTGAACTCTGAAGGAGTTTCACTAACTTGTGTCCTGGGCCAAGGGATCGAGAAAGTTTCGTGCATTCTTCTTGCTAAACTAATTTTACTTTACAAAAAGTTGTCAAAAATGGCAGCTTTGGGAGGAAAACAAGCAAAGCTAGGGCTATGGAGTTTCCGAGAAAAATCTCTGCAGGCTTGAAGATAAAGGGAGAGTCCAAGAAAATTTCTACTTCACCACCACTGCCTCACACTCTGCCCCACGCACACTTGCCTTCTTTAAGACCTAACAAAAGACCTAAAACAGTCCTGTGATTTTCCTAGGGGTTTAAGTTCTGTGCTGCAGCAACCTCATTCTAACGTGACGAAGGCCAGCCAGGAAAGGCGGGAAGCTGCAAGCACGGGTTAAGTGGAGCCTGGCCAGTAGGGTGTACAGGAAGGAAATGCAGAGGGCTCCTGGCTGCAGCACCCAGGAGAGTAATGGTAATATTTCAGCACTCTCAACCCCCAAGTTTTCCTAGGAGATCAAACAGAAGGCAATATACATAAGAAGACTTACTGAGTAAGAAGGAGCGAAGAGACCGAATGGTGAATTTTGGTTCCAAACTCCGTACAGGTCTGTGCCTGCAGGACTAAAACGGGGTGTGGAAAGGGTCTTGTGGAGATTTCCTCCAGAACAGACAAGCGGGAGTATTCCTCTAAACAGGGGAATGAGAGGGTTCTCTAAAGAATGCAGGGGAAGAAGTTCAAAACCCTTGGAAGTCTTCTGAGATCAACAAGGGGAATAGAGTTTTCTCCTAGCATGGAGAGGTCCAGCCCCTTCACTGGATGAGTGGGGTTCTCTGCCCCAGCTGGACTTCCACAGGAGGATGGAGGAAAGCATCCTCTTGAGCAAGTCTGGAGAGTGAAGGGGTGGGGTTGCAAGGTTGGAGAAGGAGGTGTTTCCCTCATAAAAATGACTGGGCCTTTCTTGCAATGGCTGGCACAAAGTCGGAAGGGTCTGGGGACGGGAGGGGCCTGAAGTGATTTCTGAGGAGTTGGGTTTTTCCTGTAAGGCCCTGGGAGGGAAGGCAAGGTACTTTGCGCAATGACACATTTCAGTTGTTGGATGTGAAGATTCTCCTTCGAAGACAGAATAAAGAAAGGCCCCTTCATTAATGCGGGTTTGAAACTGGTCTGAAATGGTGTGCCTGCAGGGATTCGGGAGGAAATGCGACGCCCACCCCCAGACTTGGGAAAGGCGGGGGCAATAATTCTCTAAGAGAACTGGAGCCCGAAAGAGGAATGAAAAGCCCCCGCGCCGCGCACATACACTCTCTCTCACTGGAAAGTTAGGAGCGAGGAAAGAACTCTGAAGTGATTTGGGAACGATCTGAAAGCGCGCAAGTTGGAAGTCGGGTTGAAGCCAGCATAGCGGAGCAGGGGTCAGGCCTCTGCGTGGCCGGAGTGGGAGAGCGCTTCTGAGAACAAGATGGGGCAGGACCGAAGGGGCGTGAGGTCGACGCTCCCTAGGGATGATTCGGAGGGTGAAGGAGGTTTGGGGGTGGTTCCGGGCTCTCGGAGGTGACTGAGGGAGTCCCTGAGCCAATGCCCGGGGGTGGGAGGCGCTACCGGTACTCACTGAGCTGATCTCCAGCGCCAGGGCGCACTGCAGCGCCTTCACCTTCGGCATCCGTGCGGGGAGGGGCGGCGGGGAGTGACCCCGGCCACGGGCCCGAGTGAGGCGGGGAGACCTGGGGCTGGGCGGGGACGGGGAGGAGACGAGGTGGCGGCGGCGGTGGCAGCAGTGGCCCCCAGGCCGGGGCCCGCGGTCCAGCCTGGGTTCCGCCGGAGAAGCAGCTGAGCGCGGGGCGCAGACTCGTTGTCATGGCAGCCAGGAGGGGCGGGGCCGGAAGAGAGGCCGCGCGGGGCACTCCAGGGCTACCCGCGCTGGGACGAGCGCTGGAGGCGGAGCTTGACGAACGCCGAGCGAGGCGGAGTCGGGCAGGGGGCGGGGCTTCCGAAGGGGCGGGGTGAGGCAAGGCAGCTCTTCTGTGACGTCAAACTGCGCCCAAAGCCGGACGAAAGGGAGCTGCTGTTTGTATAATGGGACGGTGCTCTGTTCAGGGAGTTGGAGTTCCTGTAAGGCCGTCGGAGGGAACCCCTGAGTTACAACGTGGTGATGGCACCTTGGGCTAGTGGCGACCCACTGTGGCCTCAGTTTTCCCAATTGTAAAAGAATAATAATTATTGTTAGTCCTCCTATTTAAATTTCACGGCACGGTTTACAAAGCCAGCATAAGGATACTGGGAATTAGGGAAGAGACTTGCCCAAATCAAAGTCGGAACCAGGACTGGAACCCAGGAGCTCTCAAGTTAAACCCCAGTTGCCTCCCTGAGGAGAGGGGCTTGCATCAGATGGTCCATACTCCTAGTCTCCTATTCTGTGATTCCCTTTGTTAGCGCGTTCCCTTTTCCCTTCAAATTTTCCTGTCTAATTCACCCATGTATGCGTCTTAATGCATATTGCTTAAGTGGAACTGTCAATGAGGTGCCAACAATAAGTCCAGCTGTGAAGGGCCTGACAATAGACCATCAAAGATAAAAAGAACCTAAGAGATTGCCCAATCCAATCATGTTAAAAATCATTTGTATTGCAAAATACATTATACATGCAGAAGTGTATAAAACACGTTTATCTTAATAATAATGTGAACAGTACCTGTACAACTAGCACCCGGTTAAGAAATAAAACATTACCAGCACCTGAAAAATGCCCCCAACGATTACATTGCCTTTCTCGCCCTGGAGTAACCACTACCCTGACTTTTGTACAATAATTCTCTTCCTTTTGCCATTCATGTATGCATTTCTAAACAAGATATTGTTTAATGTTTTCCGGTATTGATAGTATATAAATGGTATTAATACTGTATGTATTCTTCTGTGATTTGCTTCTCCCACTTAATATTATGCCACCGGTGATGCTGTGTAGCTGAAGTTTTTTCCATTGCTGGACAGTATTCCAATATAGATTGATTTATCCTTCCTACTATCAATGATCACTTACACTGTTTTCATTTTTAGCTATTATTAACAATGTTGTGAACATTGTAGTACAAGTCTGTGTCTATTAATGCACATGTACTAGCGTAGGAGTGGGTTAGCTGGGTATTAGGGTTTTGCACATGTGGGTCTTTAAAAAGTAAGACCACACCATTTTCCAAAGTAGTGTACCTATTTATGTTTCTGGTGCTTATGTATAAGAGTTCTTATTTTTCCACATCATCAGCAACATTTGTGTTTGGATTTTTAACTTTTGTATATTTGGATGTGTGTATTTTAGGTATTTCATTGTGGTTTTATCTTGAATCTCTGGGTACTGTTGAGGTTGAGTACCTTTGGTTTTGTTAGCCTTTCCATTATCTCTTATTGAACTGCCAAGTAGTTATCTTGCCCCCTTTTCTGTTGGTCTCTCTCTCAGTTCTTTATATACTCTGGATAATAATTATATGTCTACTCTATATGTTGCAAATATCCTTTCCACTTTGTGTTTGTATTTTAATTTTACATATAGTCTGTGATGAACAGAAGATAAATTGTTGTCATGGAGTATGAGTATTCTCAGTTTGACCATATAATTCCAAGTTGCTATCCAGAATGCCATACCAGTCTATGCTCCCAATATTCGAAGGTTACTATGGCCCCACATTCTTCCCAGGCTTGGCATTATCAAGGGTTCTTGTTTTCCCCCAACATAACAGATGTAAAGTGTTATCTCACTATTGAATTTTTCAGATTACTGATGAGTCTGAGCATGTCTGTATATGCTTATAAGATTTTCTATCTTTACTAAAAATCATCTGCTCATAATGCTTTACCCCATATTCTATCAGGATTTTTGTCTTTTTTTTAGGAATTTTGTGTATTCTGGTTAGTTAATAAATTAATTCTAAGACACTACAAAAATCTTCTCTCTTTATGGTATTTTTATGAACTTTGCCCAGGATTTTGTTTTGTTTTGGGGTTTTTTGGGTGTTTTTTGTTTTGTTTTGTTTTTGACAGGGTTTTACCCGTCACCCAGGCTCTGGAGTGCACTAGCACAATCTCGGCCCACAGCAACCTCTGCTTACCCAGTGATATGGTTTGGCTGTGTCCCCACCCAAATCTCATCTTGAATTGTACTCCCATAATTCCCATGTGTTGTGGGAGGGACCTGGTGGGAAATAATTTGAGTCTTGGGGGTGGTTTCCCCCATACTGTTCTCATGGTAGTGAATAAGTCTCACAAGATCTGATGGTTTTATCAGGGGTTTCCGCTTTTGTATCTTCTTGTTTTCTCTTTCTGCCACATGTAAGAAGTGCCTTTTGCCTCCTGGCATGATTCCGAGGCCTCCCCTCCCTGTGGAACTGCAAGTCCAATTAAACCTTTTTTCCTTTCCAGTCTTGGGTGTGTCTTTATCAGCAACATGAAAATGAGCTAATACAGTAAATTGGTATCAGTAGAGTGGGTGTTGCTGAAAAGATATCCGAAAATGTGGAAGCGACTTTGGAACTGGGTAACAGGGAGAGGTTGGAACAATTTGGAGGGCTCAGAAGACAGGAAAATGTGGGAAACTTTGGAACTTCCTAGGGACTTGTTGAATGGCTTTGGCCAAAAGCCTGATAGCCACATGGACAATAAGGTCCAGGCTGAAGTGGTCTTAGGTGGAGATGAGGAACTTATTGGCAACTGAAGCAAAAGTGACTCTTGTTATGTTTTAGCAAAGAGACTGGGGGCATTTGGCCCCTGCCCTAGACATTTGTGGAACTTTGAACTTGAGAGAGGTGATTTAGGGTATCTGGCAGAAAAAAATTCTAAGCAACAAATCATTCAAGATGTGACTTGGGTGCTGTTAAAGGCATTCAGTATTATAAGGGAAGAATAGCATAAAAGTTTGGAAAATTTGCAGCCTGATAATGCGATAGAAATGGAAAACCCATTTTCTGAGGAGAAATTCAAGTTGGCTGCAGAAATTTGCACAAGTAATGGGGAGCCAAATGTTAATCCCCCAGACCATGGAAAAAATGTCTCCAGGCCATGTCAGAGGGCTTCACGGCAGCCTCTCCCATCACAGGCCCCGAGGCCTAGGAGAAAATGGTGTCATGCGCTAGGCCCAGGGTCCCCATGCTGTGTGCAGCCTAGGGACTTGGTGCCCTGCGTCCCAGCTGCTCCAGCCATGGCTGTAAGGGGCCAACATAGAGATAGGGCTGTGGCTTCAGGGGATGCAATCCCCAAGCCTTGGCAGCTTCCACATGGTGTTGAGCCTGCAAGTACACAGAGTCAAGAACTGGGGTTTAGGAACCTCCACCTAGATTTCAGAAGACATGTGGAAACACTTGGATGCCCAGGCAGAAGTTTGTTGCAGGAGTGGGGCCCTCATGGAGAACCTGTGCAAGGGCAGTGAAGAAGGGAAATGTGGGGTTGGGAGCCCCCATACAGTGTCCCTACTGGGGCACCACCTAGTGGAGCTGTGAGAAGAGGGCCACTGTTCTCCAGACCCCAGAATGGTAGATCCACCAACAGCTTGCACAATTCACCTGGAAAAGCCACAGACACTCAATACCAGCCTGTGAAAGCAGCTGGGAGGGAGGCTGTACCCTGCAAAGCCACAGGGGTAGAGCTTCCCAAGACCATGGGAACACACGTCTTGCATCAGCGTGACCTGGATGTGAGACCTTGGAGTCAAAGGAGATCATTTTGAAGCTGTAAGATTTGACAGCCTCGCTGGACATTGGACTTGCATGGGCCCTGTAACTCCTATGTTTTGGCCAATTTCCCTCATTTGGAATGACTGTATTTACCCAATACCTGTACCCAAATCATATCCAGGAAGTAAATAGCTTGCTTTTGATTTTACTGGCTCATAGGCAAAAGGGACTTGCCTTGTCTCAGTGTGGACTTTTGGGTTAATGCTGAAATGAGTTAAGACTTTGGGGGACTGTTGGGAAGGCATGATTGGTTTTGAAATGTGAGGACATGAGATTTGAAGGGGCCAGGGAAAGAATGATATGGTTTGGCTGCGTCCCCACTCAAATCTCATCTTGAATTGTACTCCCATAATTCCCACATGTTATGGGAGGGACCCAGTGGGAGATAATTTGAATGATGGGGGCTGTTTCCCCCATACTGTTCTTGTGGTAGTGAATAAGTCTCATGAGATCTGATAGTTTTATTAGAGGTTTCTGCTTTTGCATCTTCCTCATTTTCTCTTGCCGCTGCCAAGTAAGAAGTGCCTTTTGATGAGTTCATGTCCTCTGCAGTGACATGGATGAAGCTGGAAACCATCATTCTCAGCAAACTAACACAAGAACGGAAAACCAAACACCGCATGTTGTCACTCATAAGTGGGAGCTGAACAATGAGAACACATGGACACAGGGAGGGGAACATCACACACCGGGGCCTGTCGGGGGGTGGGGGGCTAGGGGAGGGATAGCATTAGGAGAAATACCTAATGTACCTGATGGGTTGATGGGTGCAGCAAACCACCATGGCATGTGTATACTAGCTATGTAACAAGACTGCACGTTCTACACATGTATCCCAGAACTTAAAGTATAAAATAAAAAAAAGAAAAAGTTCCTTTTGCCTCTGCCATGATTCTGAGGCCTCCCCAGCCACGTGGAATTCTGAGGCCTCCACAGCCATGTGGAATTGTAAGTCCAAGTAAACCTCTTTTTCTTCCCAGTCTCAGGTATGTCTTTATCAGTAGCATGAAAATGGACTAATACACCCTAGCTCAAATGATAATCCTGCCTCAACCTTCCAAGTAGCTGGGACTACAAACGTGCACCATAGCGCCTGGCTAATTTCTGCATTTTTTGTAGAGATGAGGCTTCACCATGTTGTCCAAGCTGGTCTCAAACTCCTGGGCTCAAGGGAACCACCCACCTCGGCCTCCCAAAGTGGTGGGATTACAGGCGTGAACCACTGCACCCGGCCATTAGGGTGTACTTTCGTTCATAGAAGTAACCTAACTTCGATGTAAATCAATCATTTTTGCCTTATATTTGTGTTGTGTTTTTAACATTTTAGTAAGTCTTCCCAAAATTAGCTGGGTATGGTGGCTCATGCCTGTGGTCCCAGCTACTTGGGAGGCTAAGGTAGGATTGCTTGAGCCCAGGAGGTGGGGTCTGCAGTGAGCGATGTTTGTGCCACTGCACTGCAGCTTGGGTAACAGAACCCTGTCTCAAAATAAACAAACAAATGAACAGTTTTCCTAGTCCCCAGATTCAAACATACTGTATTTTCTGTTTTCTTATATTAACTTTATAGTTTACCTTTCACATTTTGATGTTTAATCTATTAAGACTCAATTTTTGTACATGACGTTAAACAGTAATCCAGGATTCACTTTCTTGTTGTTGTTGTTTTCCCCTTTAAAAATGTATGCTAGATTTTCCAACAATACCTACTAAACATTCTATGCTTCCCCTCATTGATTTGTGGTGCTACCTTTCTTATGTATTAACTACCAAAGTTCTGATTTCAACCTTGCTCTTCTGTTCCAGTCTTCTATTTGTCTATTCTTGCAACAGTACCACACTGCTTCTATTTATTACTATGGCTTCTGTTTGGCAAGTCTCCTTTTTTAGGAGATAGATTTAGCTATTTGTGATCCTTCATTGCTTCTTTTTATTTTAGAGTAATTTTATCAAGTTCCTCAAATAGTCCAGCTGGAATTTTGACAATGATACATTAAACTTATAGATTAATTCAGGGAATTGACATCTTTGTAATATTATGTCATCCCACCCAAGTGCATGGAATATATCTCTTTTTTTTTTTTTTTTTTTTTTGAGATGGAGTCTCACTCTGTTGCCCAGGCTGGAGTCAGTGTGGCACAATCTTGGCTCACTGCAACCTCTGCCTCCTGGATTCAAGCAATTCTCCTGCCTCAGCCTCCCGAGTAGCTGGGACTACAGGCGCCCACCACCATGCCCGGCTAATTTTTGTATTTTTAATAGAGGCGGGATTTCACCATATTGGCCAGGCTGGTCTCGAACTCCTGACCTCATGATCTGTCCACCTCGGCCTCCCAAAGTGCTGGGATTACAGGCATGAGCCATCGTGCCCAGCTGGACTGTATCTCTATCAGACATAGTCTATGTCCTTCAAGTTTTGTCCATAGAGATCTTATGTAATTCCTAGGTATTTAACTATAGTTTTTTCTTTATAATATTGAGAATAGTTTCTTAAGTTTTAATTATTTTTACTAGTTTGTTATTGCAACTATACAGAAATTTTGTCTTTATAAGTTAATCCTGGCAAATCTGTTAAAGCCTTGCTGATTGAAATAGTTTCTCTGGCCCCTTTCCCTTCTCCCTTCTCCCTTCTCCCTTCTCCCTGCTTCTCCCTTCTCCCTCTCCCTCTCCCCATGGCCCACAGTCTCCCTCTCCTTCTCTTTCCATGGTCTCCCTCTGATGCCCAGCCGAAGCTGGACTGTACTGCTGCCATCTCGGCTCACTGCAACCTCCCTGCCTGATTCTCCTGCCTCAGCCTGCCGCGTGCCTGCGATTACAGGTGCGCGCCGCCATGCCTGACTGGTTTTCATACTTTTTTGGTGGAGACGGGGTTTCGCTGTGTTGGCCGGGCTGGTCTCCAGCTCCTAACCGCGAGTGATCTGCCAGCCTCGGCCTCCCGAGGTGCCGCGATTGCAGACGGAGTCTGGTTCACTCAGTGCTCAATGGTGCCCAGGCTGGAGTGCAGTGGCGTGATCTCGGCTCGCTACAACCTCCACCTCCCAGCCGCCTGCCTTGGCCTCCCAAAGTGCCGAGATTGCAGCCTCTGCCCGGCCGCCACCCCGTCTGGGAAGTGAGGAGCGTCTCTGCCTGGCCGCCCATCGTCTGGGACGTGAGGAGCCCCTCTGCCTGGCTGCCCAGTCTGGAAAGTGAGGAGCGTCTCTGCCCGGCCGCCATCCCATCTAGGAAGTGAGGAGCGTCTCTGCCCGGCTGCCCACCGCCTGAGATGTGGGGAGCGCCTCTGCCCCGCCGCCCCATCTGGGATGTGAGGAGCGCCTCTGCCCGGCCGCGACCCCGTCTGGGAGGTGAGGAGCGTCTCTGCCCGGCCGCCCCATCTGAGAAGTGAGGAGACCCTCCGCCTGGCAACCGTCCTGTCTGAGAAGTGAGGAGCCCCTCCGCCCGGCAGCCACCCCGTCTGGGAAGTGAGGAGCGTCTCCGCCCGGCAGCCACCCTGTCCGGGAGGGAGGTGGGGGTCAGCCCCTGCCAGGCCAGCCGCCCCGTCCGGGAGGGAGGTGGGGGGGTCAGCCCCCCGCCCGGCCAGCCACCCCGTCCGGGAGGTGAGGGGCGCCTCTGCCCGGCCGCCCCTACTGGGAAGTGAGGAGCCCCTCTGCCCGGCCAGCCGCCCCGTCTGGGAGGTGTACCCAACAGCTCATTGAGAACGGGCCGGGACGACAATGGCGGTTTTGTGGAATAGAAAGGGGGGAAAGGTGGGGAAAAGGTTGAGAAATCGGATGGTTGCCGTGTCTGTGTAGAAAGAAGTAGTCATGGGAGACTTTTCATTTTGTTCTGTACCAAGAAAAATTCTTCTGCCTTGGGATCCTGTTGATCGGTGACCTTACCCCCAACCCTGTGCTCTCTGAAACATGTGCTGTGTCCACTCGGTTAAATGGATTAAGGGCGGTGCAAGATGTGCTTTGTTAAACAGATGCTTGAAGGCAGCATGCTCGTTAAGAATCATCACCACTCCCTAATCTCAAGTACCCAGGGACACAAACACTGCGGAAGGCCGCAGGGTCCTCTGCCTAGGAAAACCAGAGACCTTTGTTCACTTGTTTATCTGCTGACCTTCCCTCCACTATTGTCCTATGACCCTGCCAACTCCCCCTCTGCGAGAAACACCCAAGAATGATCAATAAAAAAAAAAAAGAAGAAAAGAAAAAAAAAACAAAGTGGAAAAAAAAAAAAAGAAATAGTTTCTCTGTTCCATTGTTAGTATTAATATTATTCTCACAGAGATGATAAGCACTACACTGATTTTTCATTGCTAACATAACAAATTACCATAAACTTAGTGGCTTAAACAACATAAATTTATTATCTTTTAGTTGTGTAGGTCAGAAGTCCAATATAAGTTTTGCTGGATTAACATCATGGGGTCAGTAGGGCTGGATTCCTTTCTGAATGCTCTAGGAGAAAATCCATTTTCTTGTCCTTTCCAACTTGTAAAAGCCATTAGCTTTCCTCAGCTCATAGTCCCCTTCTTCTAGCTTCAAAGTTAGCAATTCCTCATTCAGCCTTTCTCACATTACATCACTCTAACCTACTCTTCTACTTCACTCTTCCACTTTTAAGGACCCTTGTGGTTACACTGAGCCTACAAAGATAACCAGGGTAATCTCCTTATCTAAAGGTCAGCTGATTAGCCACTTTAATTCTATTGATTGCCTTAATTCTCTTTTCCATGTAAGATAACATAGTCACAGATTTCAGAAATAAGGACATGGACATCTTTGGGGGTTCATTATTCTGCCTGCCACAAATACCAAAACAAATAATAATTGTATTGCATTGAAGTACATCAAATATGTTGAAAATTCATGAGTTGGTAATGTTATTCAAAGGGAAAAAAGCATTGGTCAGATTTGGATGACTTTAAGAACCAGTTCATTCCAAAAACTGAGAAATAAAACGAATCAAGCATTTATCCTGAATATCTTGTTTGAACTCTACCTCAGGGTGACCAAAGAGCTGATGAAAGAAAGTTCTTTATAGAAAAATCCCCACTATAAATGAATAAGAATAAAGAATTAGAATATTCTTGGCTGCTAAAAACCATTACTGAAAAGCTGATGAAGAATTTCATAATAGATTAGTCTGATAGCACTCAAACACACTGATCAATCTTAATATCACAAAAAACAGTATGTCCTTTGAGATGATGCAATTAGAAGTACACAATATCACCATTCATGTCAAAAAAATCAAACTTGAATCTGATCAAGCATCCAAATCTGTCACCAACATACAGGACATATAAAATGTAAAGTAACTCGTTAGACAAAACCATAGGGATGCAAGCAGCAAAATAAACACAATAGTATTTCTTCAACAAATAAATTGCAAAGAAGACTTTATGTATTAAAAAGACTGAAGTAAACCTAATGTAAAGTGTTTATGAGACCATTGCAGATATTTGAATGCTACTGGATACATGATCTTAAGGAATTACTGTTAAATGTTTAAGTATAATAGTAATACTAGGGTCCTGTTATTTTTTTAAAGAGCTCTTTCAAAAAAAGTGGTACACATTGAAGTATTTATGGATAAAATATGATGTCTGGGATTTGCTTCAGAATACTCCAAGCGAGGTTGGAAGTGGTAGTGATGGAAAGTAGGTGAAGGTATGGATGAAACAAATTAGCCACGTAATTGTTGAAGGCTAGTGCCAAGTATGCTGGAGTTGATTTTACTATTTTTTCCTACTTTTGTTTATGTTTAATTCCATATTAACACATAAAAAGTAAATAGATATTGAACAGTGTCAAGTGCTCTTTCTATACTGATTATTGAGATAATCATATGAGCTTTCAACTTCAACCAATTTATGAAATAAATTATATCAATAGTTTTTTCTGATGATGAACCTTTCTTGTAGCCCTGTACTGTTATTTTGTGAAAATGCTTCTGTATTGTTAGTTAATATTTTATTTAGGTTTTTGCATCATATTCATAAGAGAATTGGACCTATAATTTTTTTCTTTTATTGCCCTTTCCTGATTTTGGAATCTAGATTATACCAACCTCATAAAATAAGAGCATATATAAAAGCAAATGCTCTTATCTTGCAGATCCCTGAACTGAGGAGGCAAGATCAGTTTGGCAGTTGAAGCAGCTGGAATCTGCAATTCAGAGAATCTAAGAAAAGACAACCCTGAAGAGAGAGACCCAGAAACCTAGCAGGAGTTTCTCCAAACATTCAAGGCTGAGGGATAAATGTTACATGCACAGGGTGAGCCTCCAGAGGCTTGTCCATTAGCAACTGCTACAGTTTCATTATCTCAGGGATCACAGATTGTGCTACCTATTGCCTACCATCTGAAAACAGTTGCTTCCTATATTTCATCCAGTTTAATATTTATTTAAACCAAGAAGGTTAATCTGGCACCAGCTATTCCGTTGTGAGTGGATGTGAAAGTACCAATTCCATTCTGTTTTACTATTAACTATCCTTTGCCTTAATATGTATCAGTAGGTGGCTTGTTGCTAGGAAATATTAAATGAATGGCATGTTTCATAGGTTGTGTTTAAAGTTGTTTTTTGAGTTAAATCTTTCTTTAATAATACTTTCTGATGTCAAAAACACTTAGAAGTCATGGTGTTGAACATCTATATAGGGTTGGATCTAAAATAGCTTCTTAACCTTTCCTAACCACTGTTTTTGTTTGTTTGTTTTTAACTAAGCATCCAGTTTGGGAAATTCTGAATTAGGGGAATCATAAAAGGTTTCATTTTAGCTGGGCCACATAAGGAAAGTAAGATATCAAATTGTAAAAATCGTTAAGAACTTCTATCCCATCTGAAGTGTGGGTTAGGTGCCTCTTCTCTGTGCTCCCTTAACATCCTATTTTATCTGTATATATATATATTCTTCCAAATATCCATGGGAAAAAAAATCTGATCATAAAAATATTTTAGGCTGGGAGTGGTGGCTCACGCCTGTAATCCCAGCACTTTGGGAGGCTGAGGTGGGCGGATCATGAGGTCAAGAGATCGAGACCATCCTGACCAATATGGTGAAACCCCATCTCTACTAAAGATACAAAACTATTAGCTGGACGTGGTGGCACGTGCCTGTAGTCCCAGCTACTCGGGAGGCTGAGGCAGGAGAACGGCTTGAACCCAGGAGGTGGAGGTTGCAGTGAGCTGAGATCGCGCCACTGCACTCCAGCCTGGGCGACAGAGCGAGACTCTGTCTCAAAAAAAAAATATATATATATATATATATACACATATATATATAAAATATATATATATACACACATATATATATAAAATATATATATATACACACATATATATAAAATATATATATATACACACATATATATAAAATATATATATACACACATATATATAAAATATATATATACACACATATATATAAAATATATATATACACACATATATATAAAATATATATATACACACATATATATAAAATATATATATACACACATATATATAAAATATATATATACACACATATATATAAAATATATATATACACACATATATATAAAATATATATATACACACATATATATAAAATATATATATACACACATATATATAAAATATATATATACACACATATATAAAATATATATATACACACATATATAAAATATATATATACACATATATATAAAATATATATATACACATATATATAAAATATATATACACACATATATATAAAATATATATATACACACATATATATAAAATATATATATACACATATATATAAAATATATATATACACATATATATAAAATATATATATATACACATATATATAAAATATATATACACACATATATATAAAGTATATATATACACACATATATATAAAATATATATATACACATATATATAAAATATATATATACACATATATATAAAATATATATATACACATATATATAAAATATATATATACACATATATATAAAAATATATATATATATTTTTTAAAATATTCCAATTGTCTCACTTTGTGGATGAGAAAAAGAAGTAGTTAGAGGTCAAGTAACTTGGCCTACATCTTTTCTCAAGATTGTAAACTCCTAGTGAGCAATAACCACATCTTCATTTTCTTTGTATAAAACAAGAAAGTTTAGCATGAAAAAGGTACTCAATTACAAATGTGTTGGATTGAATTGAAGACCCTTGGAAGGGGATTTTGTACCTGAGGATCTCTTTCTTTTGGCCATATTGTTCAATGGACAAAATTTAGCCTTCGAAGGCAGGCCGATTTGAGGTTAATACTACCTTTACCACTTGATAGCTATGTGACCTTGGCCATGTGGTTTCAACAGTCTGAACCTCATTTTCTCTGTGTATGTGTGGTCCTCCTTACAAGTTTGTGAAAAATGTGAAGTCCTTAGCCATGATAGCCCAATATAACAGGCTAAATGATAATAGGTTTATGTTCTTTTCCTTTATATTCTCAGATAAGCACTGTCCAAGTTTGAGGTGTTTTGAGGTCTCGCCTGATTTGGATTGTTTGAGTTTATGCTATTCTTTGAATTCTTTGAGCTGTTCTGAAGCAGTGTATCATGAACAAAAACATCCCCAGTTCAGTCCAAACCCCTGGTTACATATCATTCTTATGCCATGTTATAACCAGTTTGAGAGTGTTCCCTCTGTTATTGCATTTAAGTTTCAGCCTCACACAGAAATTCAGCAGCCAATTTCTAAGCCCTAAGCATAAAATCTGGGGTGGGGGGGGGGGATGGCCTGAAGAGCAGCATTATGAATAGCACCATTATAATTAATGATCTCTCAGGAAGATTTACAATCACAGGTAGCAGATAAAACAAATAGTACTGCTTCTGCACTTCCCCTCCTTTTATTCGCTATGAAATTTTATGGGAAATCAGTCCAGTGAAAAATGTAAGCTCTTAATCTTTCCCAGAAATCCTACCTCATTTGATGAATACTTTGAGGGAATGAATTAGAGCATTTTTTTCTTTTATAGTCTACTTCGCATTTACGAAGTGAGGACGGTAGCTTAGGCTGCCTGGCCAACTGATGAGAAGGTCAGAGGCATTTTTAGAGACCTCTGTTGTCTTTCATTCATGTTCATTTTCCACAAGGCAAGTAATTTCCAACAAATCAGTGTCTTCATTAGTAATAAGATTATTAACAACAATAATAGTCATAGTAACTATTCAGTGAGAGTCCATTATATATCAGGCATTCTACAAGGTACTTTATATACATCTGAGTAAACCTCACACAATTCTACAGGGAGGTATTTCTATCCCCATTTAACAAATAAGGAAACGAAGTCCAAGTAAATTAACTTGCCCAAGGTCACACAGATAGTACCTGGCAGAACAGGAATTTAAACCTAAATTTGTCCAACTCCAAAAGCAGCCTTCTATTTGTTATAAATGCTGCCTCTCATTATCACATATTTTATTATTAACAACAACAAACATACCAATTAGCTTAAGATACAATACAACCAGATAATCATGATGACAACAGTAATTGTTATACTATTATAATAAAATAGATGTTTTGTATGTTACTATAATCTTGAATTTGAATAGAAATTTGCATTTCTGAAAGCATGTTCCTGTCATCTAATATGATTCTGTATCTATTAAAATAGTACTACATCTAGAGTTCTACTACTAGATTTATTTATCACTGAGAATGGTTTGGACGATTTAAGAGAAACAAGACTTCTTAAATTTCTTATATAGTTTAGAATGAAAAGATATAGCAGGAATAACCTAGTAAGAATTTTCATGTATAGAACAATATGAATTGTACATCTTGGAAAAAATGTGTTTGGGCTTCAAATGCATTATACAACTTTAATAATACATACCCAGAAGAATGTTTTGTTTTATTAATCTTGTCTCTCCAAGTAAGATATGCTAGTTCCATCAACAATAATTAGATTGTTATGCCTCTGGCTGAGTTTTAGAAAGTAATATGCCAATGAGGAATCACTTCCAATTTCTCATATAACAGCCTTGGATGAGGAAGAATTCCCTTCTGATGTTGAAGCTAGGAAGTTGTTGGGGGAAGGAAGGTTCTGAAATAAGTGGTTCTGATACCATTTATTTTTGTCCACAACTACCAAGTTTTAAGTATCAGAGACATTGAGTAGTTGTGGTAAATGGAACAGTGGCCTCCCAAAGATGTCTGCATCCTAATTCCCAGAACCTGTCGATGTTAACTTCTATGACAAAAGGGATTTTGTATAAGTGATCAAGTTAATGATCTGCGATGGGGAGATTATTCTGGTTTTTCCTGGTGGGCCTCATGTAGTTGCAATGGAAGCAGAGGAGTCAATCAGAAAGAAGGTGATATGATGAAAGCAGAGGGAGAAAAAAAAGATGTGATACAGAGCAATGAACCAAAGAATGAGGACAGCCTTTAGAAACTGGAAAAGGCAATGAATGGCTTCTCCCCTAGAGACTCCAGAACCAGCCCTGCCCACACCTGGATTTTGGCCCTGTAGAACTCATCTCAGATTTCTGACTTCCAGAACCATAAGACAACAAATTTGTGTTGTTTTAAGCCTCTATGTTTGTGATAATATACTACAGCAGCAATAAGAACCTTATGCAATACTTAATTTGGTCAAAATCTGCAGGTGGGTTAAAAGTGAAATAGGCTGACTGCAAATTTCTTAAACTAGTCCAGAATCAATTTTGCAATAGAAATTACAAATTTTAAAATCAAAACAGAAACAGTGAGCTCAGGGGACTTTTTAAGCCATGCCCTCAGGTAAATAACTCCTCTATGGTGTCTATTAAGGATGGTTTCTTAGCATCCAGAGTCTTGCTCTGTCTCCCAGGCTGGAGTGCAGTGGCGCAATCTCGGCTCCACTGAAAGCTCCACCTCCCAGGTTCACACCATTCTCCTGCCTCAACCTCCCAAGTAGCTGGGACTACAGGTGCACACCACCATGCCTGGCTAATTTTTTTTAATTTTTAGTAGAAACGGAGTTTCACCCTGTTAGCTAGGATGGCCTCGATCTCCTGACATTGTGATCCACCTGCCTCGGACTCCCAAAGTCCACTTGTTCTTATAGGGAGGAAGAGTGAAGATGAGTTGGATCTTTCTCCATTTCTCAATGATATTGCAGCTCCACTCCCATACTGAAGACCCACTCTTCTGTATTGAGGCTTTCTCAGCTTCTGGCCATCAGAATAAGGTTGGCTTTTCACCTCTCCCTCAAACTTCTGAGCTCTTATATATGATTAATTGGTTTAATCATGATATGGTTTGGCTCTGTGTCCCCACTCAAATTTAATGTTGAATTGTAATCCCAACTGGTGGGAGGTGACTGGCATGGAAACGGATATCCCCCTTGCTGTTCTTGTGATAGTTAGTGAGGTCTCATGAGATCTGGTTGTTGAAAAGTGTGTACCACTTCCCCCTTCACTGTCCTTCTCCCACTCCACCATGCTTGTTGATTTCCTGAGGCCTCTCCAGCCATGCTTCCGGTAGAGCCTACAGAACTGTTAACCAATTAAACCTCTTTTCTGTATAAATTACACAATCTCAGATAGTTCTTTATAGCTGTGTGAGAATGGACTAATACAAATTATCTCTTGCTTAAAGAAATAATGGTTAACAACACCTGAAATTAAATACATATCTGATTCCACTCCAGACCAATTAAATGAGAACCTTTGGAAGTGAGGCATAAGCATCTATATTTTAAATTTTCCCCAGGTAATTAGTCAGGACTGTGAACCATTGTTCTAACTGAGTGATAAACCCTATTCCTGGCCAAATTTTAATCACCAATGTGATTGTGTCTCCCCCAAATTTCCATGTTGAAGTCCTAACCCCGGTAACTTAGTATATGTCTGTATTTGCAGATAAGGTCTTCAGAGAGGTAATTAAGGTTAAATAAAGTTATTAGAGTAGGCCCTAGTCCAACATGACTGGTATCCTTGTAAAAGAGGAGATTAAGACATAGACACAGAAAGAGAAAAGACCATGTGAAGACACAGAGAGAAGATAGCCATCTGCAAACCACAGAGAAAGACCTCAGAAGAAACCCTGCCAACACCTTTGTCTTGGACTTCTAGCCTCCAGAACTGTGAGGAAATTAATTTCTGTTGCTTAAGCCATCCAGTTTGTGGTACTTTGTAATGGCAGTCCTAACAAAGCTAGTATAGCCAGTATACCAGTTAAAAATTTTTATCAAATCCATTGAACATTTTTATCCTAGAAACACTCATTATCTGAACTCTGAACATTAGCATGGGGTATACTTCTTTGCAAGGGGATAAAAAGTAATAATAACTTTCAGCATAAGAAAATGCCAAATAGGTGAATTGCTTTTAGTTGCAAATAGAAAACTCAATTATCACTTTCTTAAAAAAATGATTATAAAATTTAAAAAAAAAAAAATTAAAAAAAAAATTAATTATCTCATATAATAAGAAGTCTGCAGGTGATGAGGAGAGAGATGCTGGAGAGGATCATCTGGTCTGAAGGCCCAGGCCTTTTCTTTTTGTCCATTTTACTGTTTTCAGCACGTTTTGGTGGAGTTTGTTTGTTTTTGTCCTCATGCTGGTTGTCTTCAGGCTGCTTGTTTACATTCCTACCACAAAAAGTAGAATGGGCAGCACCAAGTAACTGGCAAGTCATGCTTGTCCCTTTTTATGGAAAAGTAAAAGCTTTTCCAAAAGCCTCCCAACAGACCTCGGTTTGCTAAGGCCACAGCCTTCTGTAGGTGGAGGGGAAGCTAAAGGTGGAATACTTCACAAATGGGAAAGGAACATTCATGACTGGCTTAAACTAATGGTTCTCGATAATGGTTCATCCATGATGTCATCTGGAACAAAATTGGGACTCAAATAGCAAGACAGGAAAAGTAATAGGATAAGGATAGTGATTAATATGTTGTGGCAGACACAACTAGAAACTATTTGCTCATAAAACAGGGAAGATCTAGCTGGATTGGGGCATATTTAATGCAAGACTAAAAGGATCATTCAGTGTCTCCATTCTTCCTCCACCTCTCTTCACTTTCATCTCTCTCCCCCTCACCTTCCTCTCTCTCCCTCTCCCTCTCCCTACCTCCCACTCCATCTTTTCCTGCTTTCATCACCCATTTGCTCTATTTCTAGCACGTCTTCATAGCCAGGATTAGATAATCAAACAGGACTATAAGAAATACTCTTTTTGGCCAGGCGCAGTGGCTCACGCCTGTAATCCCAGCACTTTGGGAGGTTAAGGCAGGTGGATCACGAGGTCAGGAGATCGATACCAGCCTGGCTAACATGGTGAAACCCTGTCTCTACTAAAAATACAAAAAAAAAAAAAAATTAGCCGGGCATAGTGGGGGCACCTGTAGTCCCAGCTACTCGGGAGGCTGAGGCAGGAGAATGGCGTGAACCCAGGAGGCAGAGCTTGCAGTGAGCCGAGATCATGCCACTGCACTCCAGCCTGGGTGACAGAATGAGACTCCATCTCAAAAAAGAAAAAAAAAGAAATACTCATATATTTATTTTATATATATATATATATAGACAGCCTCACACTATTGCCTGGGCTGGAGTGCAATGACACGATCTTGGCTCACTGCAACCTCCGCCTCCCGGGTTCAAGCGATTCTTGTGCCTCAGCCTCCCGAGTAGCTGGGATTACAGGCGCCCACCACCATGCCTGGCTTATTTTTTGTATTTTTTAGCAGAGATGGGGTTTCACTATGTTGGCCAGGCTGGTCTCGAACTCCTGACCTTGTGATCTGCCCACCGTGGTCTCCCAAAGTGCTGGGATTACAGGTGTGAGCCACTGCTCCTGGCCTCTTTTTTTTATTTTTGAGACAGGGTCTCGCTCTGTTGCTGAGTGGAGTGCAGTGGCGTGATCTCGGCTCACTGCAACCTCTGCCTCTCAGATTCAAGTGATTCTCATGCCTCAGCACTTCCCAACAGCTGAGACTACAAGCCCGCACCACCACACTTGGCTAATTTTTGTATTTTTAGTAGAGATGGGGTTTCCCCAGTTTGGCCAGGCTGGCCTCAAACTCTTGGCCTCAAGTTATCTGCTTGCCTCAGCCTCCCATAGTATTAGGATTACAGGCATGAGCTACTGCACGTGGTCACGAAATACTCTTTACAGAACCAAAACAGACGACCATGCAGTGATTAATTGAATGCGTTTGGTGACAGACAGCTCACTGCCTTCTGCAGAGATGCTACATATGATAGTACAGGTTGTGCTCTGCACAGAGCACCTGCCCAAAGCAACAGATGGATGGGGCCCAGAAGCCACTGTGTCAGGCTTTGTCCAACTAGAGAAAGAAGTGCCTTTTTCTAATTCACAAAAAGATACCACACAGGCTATCAGGGGCCCTGGCAGTATGAGGGTCTCTTTTCCAGTGTTACATGTCTATGACTGCTATCAGGTTCTCTTTTACAATGAGACAAAATTTACCTCCTCAAAGATTCTATTTAATGTTCATTTAATGGCTTAGAGCTGCTTAGGACACATTTGCTCTCCCCTCTTAGTCCCCATGATATCTTTTCTCTTCCAGGATACTCAGCCCTTTTTCCTCCAGACATGAACACAGCTACAACACAGCTCAGATTCAGCCTTACCATTCACATTCATTCTTCTTTTATTATAGCAGCAGGTGGTCAGTGGCCCTCTTAAGCTGTAGCACCATAGCTTGAACATTGAAATAGAATGTCCCAAAAAAGAGAAAGAAGATGTGGAAAATAAAAGGCCCTGTTCACAGAAATCACCTTGCTGCATGGCCGTGAAGGAGTAGACCTGAGCTGGCTCAAGAGTAAGTAGCAGAGTTTAGTGTCATGGAAGCCAATAGAGGAAAGAGTTTCAAGGATGAAGTGAGGATCATCAGTGTCTCATGCTGTTATGAGGCTGGGAAGTAAGATAAATACTGAAAGTGTCTAATCAATTTGGAAATTGGTCATTGGCGACCTTCATCAGATAAGTTTCAATTAATGGATGAATATGGATAAATTCCAAATAAGGCAGTAGAGAAAGCAAATGCAGAAAAACGGCAAGCTGGCCAGGTGTGGTGGCTCATGCCTGTAACCCCAGCACTTTGGGAGGCCAAGGCAGGAGGATTGCTTGAGCTCAGGAGGTGGAGATCAGTCTGGGTAACAGTGAGACCCCCATCTTCACAAAATATAAAACAGCCAGGTGTGGTGGTGCACATCTGTAGTCCCAGCTACTTGGGGTGGGGCTGCAGTGGGAGGATCACTTAAGTCTGGGAGGTCGAGGCTGCAGTGAGCCAAGATCATGCCACTGCACTCCAGCCTGGGTGACAGAGTGAGAGACCCTGTCTCAAAAAAAAAAAAAAAGAACAAGAACAAGAAAGCAAGAAAGGCGAGCTTATGGATGACTCAGATGGTCAAGGAGTGTGTGTGTGTGTGTGTGTGCACATATGTGTGTCTTTTAGGATGGGAGAAACTTAAGTACGGTCACAGGCTGAGCAGAAAGAGATAGGAGAGAGAGAGGCTGCAACCTGAAATCAGGAAGATGATTATTGGAAAGATGATTATTGAAGCTAACTTTCTAGAAGACTTAGTCTAGAAGACCAAGAAGTCTGGGGTCAAAGGCACAGATGGAGAAGTTGGCTTTGAGCAGGTAGACTAACACATCTTCCATGAAGCCTGAGAGAAGGAGAATGTGCAATAGAAAATGGGGAAACTCCTTTGAAATTAGTACACAGAAAGGTTTTGGACAATTTCTTTTATAAAATGAAGTAATTTCAGTGTTAACACATCCCTCCTTCCCTCTCCCCATGTCAGCAGATACTTATTGAATTTGAGCCATCAAGCATGTTGGCTACAGAAAAGAATGAGACAAAGCCTTTGTTCCTGAAGAGTTGGCCCAGTAGAGAAGGCGCTGCTCCTCCATAATCACTTCTCACTCCCACCACAGGACCCAGACCAGCACCACACGCAGGGCAGGGATTAGAGAGAGTTCCCTTTTCTCACAGCCAATGAGATCCTAAGTCCTTTAAATCTTCCTATGTGTTCTTGATATTTCCTAATCATTTTATCAAATGTGTAAGAGAACACAGCTCACTGGGATGGCAGGAGGAGGGAAGGAGTCAGAGATAGACCAAGTTGAGGAGGAATAATAAACTGTTATTTTAAAGCAAATGGCCTAATTCCTCTTCTGGAAAGAATCATGCTTTTTTGGAAAAATAACTTTAAGACTTGTCTACAGGTATGGAAAAAGAAACCCAGAGGATATAACCAGGACAGCCTAGTACAGTCAGAAAGGGTACACAAGTGCCTCTCACAACAAAGTGGGATGAATTCTGAGGTTTGAGTGTGGTGAGGAGGAGGGAAGTCAGAGAATACCTACAATGAGAGAGAGAGAATGAGGGCTGGAAGCACTGTGAGAGTAAGCAGGGTAGGCTGTGCTCCCAAAAAGTCATCTCTGAATAGAAAAAAAATGAGCTGGGGATAGGAAGTGAGGTGATGGCCTTGTGCTTCCTGGTGACACTGTAATTGTTGGCTTCTGTATCAGGCTGGCCCTGTGCCCTGTGAGATCCTTCAGGCAAAGAGCCAGGTCTTGACTGTTTTATTCCCAGTAGTCATGATGGTGGCCAGGTGGTTTCATGGAGCATGAAGTTTACATAATTGGGAGAGCACCCTTTAATAAGAAGAATACAAAATATATTAATGAAAAAATTATAAGTATGGAAGTGAATATATATTTAGAATGAGGGAATACATCACAAATTGAATTTTTAAAGTCTCAAAATCCAGAAAAATTACAGTCTATTTTTATTAATTAACTGCTTGTTATATCACTATATCCTTTCTCTATTTCTTGTGTTTATTCTTTGATCACCCCTTCATTTGACAACAATTTTTTGAAGATTTTTTCTTTTGAGAGAACAAAAAGATAATTCAGTCTTTCTTCTAGCATGATTGATACAATTAGATTTTTATTTTACAGAATTCAGAAAAGTTTATTTTAGTTTCACAACTCCTTACTACTCATGTCTTATAAATTTTTCAGACTGTTGTTTTAAAAACCACCACCAGTTTTCTTTTATTACGTGCTATAAGATTTCGAGGCATTTTGCACTTCCTCATGCAGTACTAATTCTGCACACTCTGAATTGACAGCACTCATTAACCAGTTTGTGGCCGATGTCTGTGTTGTGGAGGCTATGCACCTGTGAGTCACGTCACTGGGCAAGTGAGTATAGTGGACCACAGCTGTATTCCTAGAAGCCATTCCAACACAAGAAGGCTAACAATACCGAATTTTATATGGGAAGTGACTGTGAATCACATAAACATAGCCCACTAAACCCAAACATCACTCAACTTCCCTTTAGCTGGGTCCCAAAAATGCCCATGGATACTTCATTCCTTCCATATGTGAAGGTGACTGAGGTGGAGGGGAAGGAATTTGGCATAGAAAATGACAAGGATCTCAGACGACTTCCATTAAAATATCTTCCTTTAGAAATGTATAAGAATGGGCCAGGCACAGTGGCTCACACCTGTAATCCCAACACTTTGGGAGGCCGAGGCAGGTGGATCACGAGGTCAGGAGAGCAAGACCATCCTGGCTAACACAGTAAAACCCCCTCTGTATTAAAAATACAAAAGATTAGCCGGGCATGGAGGTGGGTGCCTGTAGTCCCAGCTACTCGGGAGACTGAGGCAGGAGAATCGCTTGAACCCAGGAGGCAGAGCTTGCAGTGAGCCGAGATTGCTCCGCTGAATGCACTCCAGCCTGGGAGACAGAGCAAGACTCCATCTCAAAAACAAGAAAAAAAAAGAAAGAAAGAAAAGTATAAGAACATGGTATCAGGGGATCACAATTCTGGGGAAGGGGCCAGTGCAAGTTAGGAGTTAGGGGTTCTGATGCCTCGTGAACCTAAAATAAATCTGTTGGTTTGTCCCATAAGCGCACACTGTCATATCATGGGCCCTAGATGAAGGTTGACTGAAGCAATGTGAAAGCGAGGGAAAGGAAGGAGAGGATGAGCAGGAACAAGGGCACTGCTGCCTGTAAAGAAGCAGCTGCCTGACACTGTTGGTAGTTGGTGAGGTATCATCAGTACCCCAGCCTGACCTCAGCCTGAGGAATTTGCTCTGCTTGTCTGTTGGGGCTTTGGACCTCCTGGATGAGCTGCCTGTGTTCCTCTCTCCTCTTCACCCCTAGCTGTTCTAGCTACACAAAGGGCTATATTCTCATCACCATGGCAGGAAGTTTGCCAGTCACCAAGCCTCCCTGTGTGCCTCTTTGATTTGCAACATTTAAAGGGCATGAAGAGACGCATTCAGAGGCAGGCTTTTAAACCCGAAGTTACCCTAGTGTGAGTCCCAACTGAAACATCCTTGCTGGCAGTAACTGCTGAGCACAGCTGGACGGATGTAGCATTTGCCCTATAAAACATTTGATACTTTGCCAATAAACTGTAAAGAGGGAAAAAAAGGCCCCTGTTTTCTTTGCAGTTACAGGGCAGCTTTGGAATGTGCTAACCAAAGCAAAATGTGACCCTTGCTCCATCAGAGTATACTCTCCCAGCCCTGCTGATGAATAAGAGTATAGTTAGGCCTCTCACTCAAACCCTCACTTGGCAGAGCCACTGGGATTTCAGAGCCTGTCCCCAGATCCTTCCCTTCCCTACTGCTCTTGGGTGGCTAAGGGTGTCCTCAGGAGCCACTGAAGCCATCTGGCATGGGTACCACAGTCACTCTCCACTCCACCTCTTTGTGGTCTTGTCAACTGGTGTAGCTACTGTGGCAAAAGAATGGTGACCTGCACCTCCACTGTCATTACTGTACCTCTTTAGAGCTGTCCCTTTGCTTGTACCCATGCTTCTCTGTTCTCCATACAACAAGGGTCTTGAGGCTGGGTGCAATGGCTCATGCCTGTAATCCCAGCTCTTTGGGAGGGGGACGTGGTAGGCTTAATTGAGGCCAGGAGTTCGATATTAGCCTGGGCAACATAGAGAGACCCTGTCTCTACCAAAAAAAAAAAAAAAAAAAAAGTATATTGATATATTGAAGGGAGAATCTCTCCACCCAGTGAAAACATCTCCTTCAGTCAGATGTCAGGGAACCTGGTAATCTCCTAAAAAGTTATTTATAAAGATGAATGCCCTTTCTGATTTTCAAATTCATTCTTGATGAATGTGAGTCATCCAAGGCCAAGTTGCAAGATAATTTTGGAAGATGATCAGTAGCATCCAGAATCAAGTAAAAAACATGATTCCTCCCTGCCAACGCACAAACCTACAAAAATTCCAAGATAGAAGTCATGGGCCTCCTCTTTTAGAATGAATTCCTTAAGAGCCCACAGATTCTGCTTAAGGGCATCCTGAGTTCCAATTTGCTTGAGTGCCAGTAATCTGGGGCTCAGCCATCTGGCCTCAGAGTCTTTTTTATGTCTCCCCAGAAATAAGAAGATCTGTGTGTTCTTATATAGACAGGATTTCTGGAAGCTTTGTTCTCCCAGAGTTCCTGTCTTAGTTTGGGATGCCTCAGAACCCTCAGACAATTATTTGGGTGTAAGTAGTTTACTGAGGAGGTGATCCCAGGAAACACCAATTAGGGTAGGAAGGAAGCCACCAAAGGGTGCGTTATTAAGCAAATTTTCACTGTGGGCAACTGGAGTACAATCATATTAAATAACACTGATAGCTAATTAGAATATATGCCTCAGAATTATCCCACCCAAGGAGTGGGGAAACTGGGGTCTTTAAGCACCTGTTCTCATCAGCCATTGTTTGAGAGTGTTAATTCCTGCCCTTCTGGCCTGGCATGTGGGTAGAGTGAGCTTCAGTAGGTAAAGCAAGCCGAAAATCACAGGTGCTGGCTGTTGGAAGTCAGGCCGGTGAGCAAAGACATGGGGAAGCTGGGTAATAGGGGTGGGACACTATCACATGGGCTACAGTTCCCAAGGTGGACAAGCAGGACCCACTCATGGCATAAAGAAGGCCACAAGCCAGGCAAAGTAGTTTGCACAATCTTCAGAGTGTGATGATAGTCTGTATGGTAGCCCTGAGTAATCTTTCCGGTAGGGAACAGCTGAGAATTTAGGAGCAGAATCAGTCCTACATCCCCAGGCATTGGCAATGACAAGAATCAGGCAGGAAGTTGGGGTTCAGGACAGAAATCCTAGTTCAAAGGGAACAGGGGTTCTAAGGAAGGGAAACAGAGGCATAAATCTGCATTGCTGTAGGCAAGCGATTCTCCATAAGGATGATTTCACCCTGTAAGTGTTTCAGGAATTTGTGGGCCATTTAAAAATGGTTGTCACAATTGAGTGATGCTCCTGGTACCTAGTAAGCAAGACTCATAAGTGCTAGGTATTCCTACACAGTAAAGAATTGTTCAGGCCAGGGTGTGGTGGCTCACACCTGTAATCTCAGCACTTTGAGAGGCCCAGGCAGGTGGATCACAAGATCAGGAGATTGAGACCATCCTGGCCAACATGGTGAAACCTCATCTCTACTAAAATACAAAAAATTAGCCGGGCATGGTGGCTCACGCCTGTAGTCCCAGCTACTCGGGAGGCTGAGGCAGGGGAATCGCTTGAACCTGGGAGGCGGAGGTGCAGTGAGCCGAGATCATGCCACTGCACTCCAGCCTGGCGACAGAGCAAGACTCCGTCTCAAAAAAAAAAAAAAAAAAAAGAATTGTTCAGCAACTCCAAGTCTTATCCCTTCACATATTCTTTTTATTTTTTATTTTAAAGACAGGGTCTAGCTCTGTCACCCAGACTGGAGTGCTGTGGCACGATCTCGGCTCACTGCTACCTCTGACACCTGAACTCAAGGGATTCTGCCATCTCAAGCTCTTGAGTAGCTGGAACTACAGACGCATGCCACCACACCTGGCTATTTTTTGTATTTTTTGTAGAGATGGGGTTTCACCATGTTGCCCAAGCTAGTCTCAAACTCCTGAGCTCAAGCAATCCTCCCTCTCCACCTCCCAAAGTGCTGGGATTACAGGTGTGAACCACCTCCCCTGGCCCCTTCACATATTCATATAGGTGGAAAACTTGCTTATAAATAGTTGAGTTTTTAGCTTAATTTCATTTTACATATAAACTCAGTCTTTTTTGCATGGCTTTAATACAGCAAACATTTTTCAGGAATGCAACTTCTTTTTTAATAGTCCAGAGGTCTTGTATTTATTTATTATTTACACCTGTTACACCATGAATCATAAGGAAGAGGTTCCAGCAGCTCAGGCTCCTTTTCACTGATTGTCACAAAGTGTGCCTCTCTGGGTGGAGCAGGCTGGCACTTCAGTTGAACCTAGGTGACTTTCTCTTTGGTTTCATTCTTTTTCTGATCCTTTCCTTCATGCATTTCAGGAAGCTACCTTGGCTCTCAGAGCGCTTAATATGCTCAATATGCACATTTGTTCTCTTGGCGACAATCTTGCCCTTAACTTGTTTGTTTGCAATATGCCAACAGCATGCCTGGTGACACTGTAGACTCTTCCAGTTTAGCCATGGTGACATTTATGGGGCATTCCTTTTTGAACAGTGCCCATTCCCTTGATGTCTAGAATAGCGCCTTTCTTGTAGATTCACATGTATGTGGCCAAAGAAACAACTCCATGCTTTCTAAACGGATTTGAGAATATGTATCAGGTGCCTCTCCTCTTTCCCTTTGTCTGCGTCATTTTGGCAAATTACTGGAAGATGGCAGTTCCAGCCAAAAGGTGCAACCTCCTTTTAAATCAAAAGAAGACTATATTTTGTTTTGTTCAGAACTCTACCAGGAGTTGTACAAGAGCTTAGCAAAGCATATTATTTGCAGCTAGTGGTAGTATTTGAATCACCAATTCAACATTCCTGATTGAGTCAGTTAGCATTTGCAGTTCTCACATTTGGGTAATTTTATGAAGAGATGAAAAGCATACACTATTAAGTCTTTTTATGTGGCCATCCCAGATCATTTAGATATGGAAATACATTATTATTCTATTGCACATTACTTCGCTTTTATTTTTCTTTTGTATTACAGTTAGAATATTATTTACATGTTTTAAAAAGTTGTGTGAAGGCAAGTTATATTTTCTGTGATTTTTAAATAGTGAAGAAAGCGTTACAAAATATTTGTTATAAAAAAAGGAGGGTTGAGTCTGGTAGGGCTATGAGAGTCACTGCCTGAAGCTTATCAGAGAAATACCAGGGAGAACAAGAGGAGTTCAGACGCCCCCTGCTGGTGAGGCCCGGCTGCTGCCATCCTGAGAGCCTCCTTTCCCATGAACCGTGCTCACCAACTCTGAACTCAGCCTTCAGAACTTGCTATCTGTTTTTAAAAGGCTATCAACAAACCTGATCCAGACTAGAGTGACTAGACTCGTCATATAACTGGGATGAATGCTTTCAAAATATTAGGATGTAAATATGGTCCCTTTTTTTAGAATTAAATAATCAAATTCCTCCATCTCGCACCTCCCATAAGAGTTTTTTCTGGAAGTCCAGTTCCTCTTTCCCGCGCTTTCCCTTCATTCCTCTGAGTAAGAATCATATGGAAACAGGGGTCCATTAAGGTACTCACAGGCAAATGCAGACAGAAGGCCCGCGTGTTCCCCTCCTGCCGTGGCGTCCTGCTCCCACGTGGTGGCACTGTTGAAGACAGCCCAACAGAGTACGAAAGATGCCACTGCAGAGTTGACAGTAACGCTTGCCATGGTTCCTTGAGGAGGGATAACCCCAGCCTAAAGAGACCCCATCCTTTTGGCCTAGCGTTTTCAGTTCTTAGCACTTGTTCGTTCAGCAAATTTCCTAGGAATGCAACTTCCTGGAAGACACACAGCCACTTCTCAAGGAACAAGCCAGTCCCGTTTGCACTGTGGTCCTGGTATCTGACTCTGCCCAGACCCAAAGCTCTGTCCCTTCCTCTCTCCTAGTATTTATTCACTCTGGGTGTAGGGCAGCTTTTTCCTCTTGAACTCTCAAGGTACGGAACCTCATTCTCCACATTTCTCAGGCCAGCTGCCCTTCCTTCCGCAGTTCCCAGCTCATTTCTGTTCCCGTCTATTCTGTGACATAGCAGCCAGTTTCTCTTATTAAATAATTATGACTGTATAATAACTATGCCTCTGGCAAAGCATCTTCTCTAACAGGCACCTACTAGAATTCTTTTAAGGTGGGGGACAGATTTTATCTTAATAAAGGAAGAACTTTTAAAGCCCAGAGCTTGATAATGCCTGCCGCAGGAGGTAGTGAATTCCTTGTCTCTAAAAATACTTAATATAGGCTGTCTGTGTAACCCTCACACCAACATCCCAACAGGTGTGCAGGACAAAAACACCGTCTGCCGTCATGAAGGTGTGGCTCCGGAAGGACAAGGCTTTTTAAGACAAGGACAAGGACAACTGCCTGTATTAACAGTTAAATCCCCCAGTCGCCCAAATGTGCCTACTTCACAGTTTCCCCCTCTTTTGTTGAAACTAATGAGTCACGATTGGAGTGATGTTTTTCTGTGACTCTGAAACCATTTTGCTTAATGAGGTACTAAGTCTTTATAATTAGACCCAGAAGGAAACGAGGACGTGGCCCTTAAGAGCAATAATTATTTCAGTTATTTATGGTAATAAAAATTTGAAAATAGGAATTCTTCCTCAGAATGCAACTGTTTATTCTTTTACATATTGCCTAACAGGCAATTACCCTATTAAGGCTGTGTTTGGTTGCTAAATACATTAATTGAAATGTAAATTAAATGTAAATCAGCTAATTAAATTGATATGTAATGAACTTGTCACGCGGGCCTCTCTGATCAGATGCATTTCGCTAATAAACAAGCATTGCAGCCAGCCCAACACACAACTGGGGCGAAAGGGTGCCTGAGCTGTTTCCCGTCAGACACCCCAGTGAAGAAGGGAGGATCTGCATTACCCAGAACTTCAGGAAGAAAGGGGAACATTTTGGTCAGGCCCTTGGAAACATGCTTTCCTTCCGATACCTTTATGGGCCTTATTTTTGTTTTTACTGATACAATGCTTTCAGATGTAAAAGCTAGAAAATTCAACTCAAACTGGGTCATGTAAATGAAACATCCAAAAGTAGGAGGAGCTTTGGGCATGGCTCCTTCAGAGTTGCAGCTTCATTGCTCTGTGATTTCTCTAGGCTGGGTACTCCTCCCTGCGTTGCCATCATCTTTAGGTTGGTGTCTTATAGAGTACAGGCTTTATCACACAGAGGAGGAGCAGGGCACTGTTTCCACAATCACTGAAGGTAAGGCTTGAGGCTTGTGCCAATTGAACCAGGACAGCTTTGCTGCTGGTATGCACTGGTACAGCTGAACCAGTTGTTAAAATAGTGAGACATTTTGATACAACTGCCAAGTAGCTACTTAAGTACCCAGTGACTATTTGATACTCAAATGTCTCCTTCCTACACTAGCCACTCTAGCTTCCCACCCAGAACCCCACAGGCCACTTCATGCTTAAGCAAGGAAAGGATTAATGTTTGGTGTCAGAGGGGCCTGTCAGGCCTCTGAGCCCAAGCTAAGCCATCATATATCCCCTGTGACCTGCACGTATACATCCAGATGGCCTGAAGCAAGTGAAGAATCACAAAAGAAGTGAAAATGGCTGGTTCCTGCCTTAACTGATAACGTTCCACACATTGTGATTTGTTCCTGTCCCACCTTGAATGAGCGACTAAACTTGTGAAATTCCTTCTCCTGGCTCAGAAGCTCCCCCACTGAGCACCTTGTGACCCCTGCTCCTGCATGCAAGAGAAAAAACCCCTTTGACTGTAATTTTCCACTACCTACCCAAATCCTATAAAACGGCCCCACCCGTCTCCCTTCACTGACTCTTTTCGGACTCACCCTGCCTGCACCCAGGTGAAATAAACAGCCTTGTTGCTCACACAAAGCCTGTTTGGTGGTCACTTCACACGGACGTGCGTGACAGGGCCCTTCAGAACCCTGCTCTGGTGCCACGGCTAGTCCCTACCCTGATTGGTTGGGGCCTTGTTATGCTGGTTGTTAAGTATTTTGAAAATGTTCCCAGTATTAGATCACACCTAAACTAATCTCTAGGATTATGGGAATCCCATTTACTGATTAGCTGTACTTCTGAATTGACACTTTGGCAAGTGAAAAGACATTTTCTTGATGATTCTAGACTCAGTCTGGGAGAATAATCCTCAAACTTGAGTGTGCTCAGAATCCCCTGAAGGGCTTGTTAAAACACAGATTGCTGCGCTCCATGACCACAGTTGCTGACTCAGGGGTGGATCTTTAAGCCTTTACATTACTATCAGCAATCAGGTGATGCCAATGCTGCTGGATGGCAGATGCACCTGACAGCAATAACTTAAGCATAACCTGAGAACGACCCTATGGCCTAAGAAGAATGTGTGTTCAGAGTACTGGGCTAAGGAATCTAGGAGGGACCAACCCAGAGGTTCACTTACTATCTATGAAGGACATTTGAATCCATGGCCCATCCCTTGGAATGTTGGCCGTGTGGAGACTGAGGCCCTTTGTTTTGGGTTACATGAAGGTTGTCAGGTAGAGGTTGCTGGCAGGAGGGTATTGTATTAGGGTTCTCTAGAGGGACGGAACTAATGGAATATGTGTGTGTGTGTGTGTGTGTATATACACACACATATACACACACACACACACACACACACACACACACATATATATATATAATGAGTTTATTAAGTATTAACTCACACAATCACAAGGTCCCACAATAGGCTGTCTGCAGGCTGAGGAGCAAGGAGAGCCAGCCCCAGTTCCAAAACTGAAGAACTTGGAGTCCAATATTCTGGCAGGAAGCATCCAGAACGGGAGAAAGATGTAGCCTGCGAGGCTAGGGAAGGCTATCTTTTCACATTTTTCTGCCTGCTTATATTCTAGCCGCACTGGCAGCTGATTACGTTGTGCCCACCCAGATTAAGGGTGGGTCTGCCTTCCCCAACCTGCTTACTCAAATGTTCATCTCCTTTGGCAACACCCTCACAGACACACCCAGGATCAATACTTTGTATCCTTCAATCCAATCAAGTTAACACTCAGTATTACCCATCATAGGTACTAAGTGAAAATGCTACATAAACTGCATGCTTTTTACAAATGGTAGCGGTTCTCCTCTCTAGGCTGCTACCACTAGACCATCCCTGTATGTAAGTCCCCCCAGTAAACTCTATGTCTCATTCACCATCTCTGGGTCTCTTTGACACAGTGCCACCCCTACTGGAGTCAGTAGGGGATAACAGCTGCAGGACTGGAGACCACACTTTGAGAATCACTGCTCTAGAGTCTTTTCTGCACTTGGGAAAATCAAGAACTTTGTACTTGCAAAAATTTCAACAATTTTCTGTGTTGAGTAGTTCAGATGAGGAACCTAGTTGAGAAAGGCAGCTCTAGGCCAGGGACCGGCAAACTGGGGGTCATGGGCCAAATCCAGCCTGCCACATGTTTTTGTAAATAAACTGGTTTTAGAACACACAAATGTTCATTTGTGTATGGATTATCTATAGCTTCTTTCATGCTACATTGGCAAAGTTGAGTAATTGGGAAAGAGATCTAATGGCCTGCAAAGCCTAAAATATTTACCAATTGGGCCTTTCAGAAAAAAAAACAAAAAAACCTGCCAACCCCTGTTCTCAGCTAATCAAGGTCCACCTCTGGAATTGAAAGTGGAGTTAAATCTCATCCATCAGCCTAGGCTACACAACTGAGGATGAGTAGAGTGGATGGAAAGAAAATGAACCATGTCCACCATGGTCCTCATCTATTAAATCAGTATAATAATCCCTGCTCTAAAGAACTTCTATTGTTTTGCAGTCAAAGTACCAGCTAAAATGAGTATTAGCAGAAGTAAACAAAAATATTTATTTAGCATCAAGGATGTGGATATGAGGCATAGCAAGATTTGTCTTAGTACAGTTCCCTTAGGCTACCTCAGAGACCAATAGACCCACAGACTGAATTCTCAGTCAAGTCTATAACTCCAAGGTATGCGGAACCTAAGAGCTTCCCCCAGCCTACTTTATGGTAGGTGAGGCACAGATGGATCTTATTAACACAAAAAGATGTACCTAAAACATTCATTCATTCATTTAAAAAATATTTGCTGAGCACCTACAACAAGTAAAAACTGTTCAAGGGACCAGGGATTTAGCAGTGAACAAAATCAGTCATTCTGCAGTTAAGTTGACCAGTTATTAAGCCTTACCCATGCCCACAAAGCTTCCAATCAGTTTTCTAGTGGTCACCCTTTAAAATAATTTTTTTTTTGTAAAATATGACACGTCCTTATAAAGAAATAGAACACTTCCAGCAGCCTCGGACTATTCCCCAGCACCTCCTGTCCCTTTGATCTGTTCATCTACCTCTTCCCTCTCCTTAGGCGTAACTACTATTCTGACCTTTACGAGATCATTCTCTTGCTTTGTTTTATATTTTTATCACCTACGTATGTATGCATACATGATTTAACTTAGTTTTCTCTGTTTTAAATTTAATGTAAATTTAATCACACATTATGTACTTTTTATGTCTTGCTATTTTCAATCAGCAATACATTGAGATTCATTTGTATTGTTGTGAGTTGCAATGTTATTAATGTTGAGTAGAATCTCATCATGTGGATATAGCACATTTTATCTATTCATTCTACAGTTTGTGGACATTTGGGTTGTTCCCATCATGTTATTGAAAACAGTGCTGCTTTTTTTTTTTTTTTTTTTTTTTGAGATGGAGTCTCGCTCTATCACCCAGGCTGGAGTGCAGTGGCGCGATCTCGGCTCACTGCAAGCTCCGCCTCCCGGGTTCACACCATTCTCCTGCCTCAGCCTCCCGAGTAGCTGGGACTACAAGCACCCACCACCACGCCTGGCTAATTTTTTGTATTTATAGTAGAGACGGGGTTTCACGGTGTTAGCCAGGATGGTCTTGATCTCCTGACCTTGTGATCTGCCTGCCTCGGCCTCCCAAAGTGCTGGGATTACAGGCGTGAGCCACCGCACCCAGCCACAAACAATGCTGCTTTAGGTATGCTTGTGTATGCCTCCCTCAGGACTTGGGCATCAGTTTCTCTAGAATATATACCCAGGAGTGGAATTGTTGGGTCATAGCCTGAGAGTATTGTCAACTGAATTATATAACACCAAATTATTTTTCAAAATCATACCAATTGATGTACTTAGTGGTGGAAGAGTTCCCATTGCTCCATACCCTTGCCAACATGTGGTACTATCAGACTTTTAAATTCTTGTTAATCTGACGTTTTTAAAAGTTAACTTAGTTGGATTGTGGTAAGAACACATAATCTGAAATCTACCCTCTTAACAAATTCCTAAGTGTACAGTACTTATTGTTGACTATAGATACAATGTTGTACAGCTGATCTCCAGAGCTTATTCATCTTGCTTAACTGGAACTTTATGCCCACCAATTAGTCATTCTCCACTTCCTCCTCCCCACACCCCTGGCAACTACTCTTTCATTCTATGAATTCGACTATTTTAGATACATAAGAGGAATTCTGTAGTATTTGGTTTTCTGCAACTGTCATATTTCACTTAGAATAATGTCCTCTAGGTTCATCCATGTTGTTGCATATTGCAGAATTTTCTTCTTTTTTTAAGGCTGAAGAGTATTTCTTTGTATATATATATACCACATTTCCTTTTTTCATTCATCTGTCAATGGACTTTTAGGTTGTTTGCACATCATGGCTATTGTGAATAGTGCTGCAGTGAACATAAGAGTGCTAATATCTTTTTGAGATCCTGATTTCAGTTCAGTTGGATCTTTACCCAGAAGTGTGAGATCCTGATTTCAGTTCAGTTGGATCATTACCCAGAAGTGGAATTGCTGGATCATATAGTAGTTCCATTTTTTTTAGTAACCTCCATATTGTTTTTCAAACAGCTGCACCATATTGCATTCTCACCAACAGTGTGCAAATGTTCCAGTTTCTCTATATCCTCACCAACACTTGTTGCCTTTTTATTTTTTTTTAATTTTATTTTTGAGACAGTCTCACTCTGTTACCCAGGCTGGAGTCCAATGGTGCAATCTCAGCTCATTGCAACCTTTGCCTCCCAGGTTCAAGCAATTCTCCTTCCTCAGCCTCCCAAGTAGCTGGGGTTACAGGTACCCGCTACCATGCCCAGCTAATTTTTGTATTTTTAGTAGAGACAGGGTTTCACCATATTGGCCAGGCTGGTCTTGAACTCCTGATCTCAGGTGATCCACCTGCCTCAACCTTCCAAAGTGCTGGGACTATAGGCGTGAGCCATTGCGCCTGGCCTCACTTGTTGCCTTTATGTCATGTGGCTTTAATTTGCATTTCCCTAATTACGAATCAGGTTGAACACCTTCTTATAAGAGTTTTGGCCATTTAAGTTTTTTTGATCACTTGTCTACAGAGCTTTTGTGCAGGACATCTTTCAGTTGCACCTCCAGATCCATTCACAACTTCTTTACTCTGCCTTTTGTCCTCGGAGGCTGACCCAAATGGATTACAGACATGGGATCCTTGACCTCTAACTTCAGCACTTGTTGAGCACTGAAGGGAGGAAGGGAAGGGAGACTGGAGTATTTATTCCACCACCTTCCTCTTTGCAGAGTCAGAAGGGGCTGACTGCATCCTTTGACCACAATTTCTGGAAGGCAGCTCTCTGCAGCAACTCTTTGTGCTTCTAGATTCTAGGGACTGTTATGTCTCCTTGTCCTTTCAGACTTGGAGGGGTAACTGTGGTCTCCCTACACCCTACTCTCAATCTTGTAAATTTATGTTTGTAAAACTCTCCACAAATTTGTCAATATGAGTGTTCCATCTGTTTCTACAACACAGTTGATTACTATTTTCTAATGAATTTTCAGGAGTTATTTATTGTGTTTTGAATATTCTCCTTTGTTGATTATATGGGTACAAATATCTTCTCCCACTCAAATCGCTTTTCTTTTTTTTTTTTTTTGACAGGGTCTTTCTGTGTTGCCTAGACTGGAGTGCAGTGGCGTGATTTCAATTCATTGCAACCTCCACCCCCAGGGCTCAGATGATCCTCCCACCTCAGCACCCCCAGTAGCTGAGAGGACAGGCATGCGCCATCACACCCACCTAAATTTTTGTATTTTTTATAGAGACAGGATTTCACCATGTTGCCCAGGCTGGTCTTAAACTCCTGGGCTCAAGCAATGCACCTGCCTCAGCCTCCCAATGTGCTGGGATTATAGGCTTAAGCCATCGCACCCAGCCTCAAATCACTTTCTTAATAGTGACTTAACACTTCTTTATTATAAAATAAAACACATATACAGAAAAGCACATGAAACAAAGCTACAGTTGAGTAGATTATTGGATTATTTTAAGGCAAACAGCCCTATAGCTACCGCCAAAGTCAAGAAATAGAACATCGCTAACTAGCTCAAAAGCCCTTCATATACCCCATCACAGCCTTCTTCCTCCCCTCTCAAAGTAACCATTATCTTTAATTTTTATAGTAATCACTCTTTTGTATTTCTCTATAGTTTTATCATTTAGGGTGAATCTCTAAATAATACAGATTGGTTCTCCCTGTTTTATATGTTTCACAATCTCTTTAAAGTATCCCCCTCTAACTCCCCATCCTTACACTTGCAATTTATTTTGGATGATCTTAGGTTATTTGATGTTTAGGTGACTTAAGTCTCAGTTTTACTGATTGATCCCTCATGGTATAGGTTAATAAGTTTCTCTGCATTTCATGAAAATTAGTAATTGAATCTAGAGACTTGTTCAGATTCAGAGTTTTTTGTTTTTTTCAAAATATAGATAGTGACGTGTTCTCTCAACAGAAAGCCCATAATGTCTGTTTTTTTCTGTTTTTGATAATGATGGTTAATTTTATGTGTCAGCTTGACCATGAGATGTGCAGATGTCTGGTTAAACAGTATTTCTGGAAGTGTCTGTGAGGGTGTTTCCAAATGAGATTAGCATTTGAATTAGCATAATTCAATTTGCCCTTCTCAGTGTGGGTGGGCACCATGCAACACATTGAAGGTCTGAATAGAACAAAAAGGCAAAGGAAGGTTGAATGATCTCTTTCTGCCTGACGGTTTGAGCTAGGACATCAGTCTTTTTCTGCCTTTGGATTGAGACTTACACCCTCAGCTCCCCTGGTTCTCAGGCCATTGGCCTGAACTATGCTGTCAGCTTTCCTGGATCTCCAGCATACAGACAGTAGCTCATAGGACATCTCAGCCTCCATAAGCCAATTCCTCATAATAAATCTCTCTCTCTCTCTTTATACATAGTTAGCTAGCTAGAGATTTCCATTGGTTCTGTTTCTCCAGAGAACCCTGACTAATACATTGCTGTTAGCACAGTTTCCAGTTCTCACAAGAAAGTCAGGATAAAATTTTTATTCTTTCTATTTACCAGTTTCCAAGATAATGATTTACTCAAGATAATGAGCTGTCCTATCATTCCATGAAACGAAATCATTTTTTACTGAACTAATAATGGATTTAAACATATTTGGCATTTTTAAGCCATTGCAGTTGTTACACTTATTGAAGCCCAAATTGTCCCTTCTTTAGCCACTGAGAGTGTTACAAGCTGACTCCTCAGTCCTTTTAACTGGCCCTTAGTAGTCTTCAACATTGTTTTTGCTCTATGGTTAGGCAAGATGTTCCAGGTTTATCTGGAATATTTTCTGTCACAGACCCAGAAGAAGACATTTTTCTGAGAAGCCCTAATTTCTTTTCATGAGAAATGGTGTTTTAAGACCACCTTGCAGGCACCAGGGATGCTCACTACTACTGGACCTGTCATTGTTTCTAGGCCTACTCTAGATGCTGTTTATCAGGTTGATAAACTATATTCTATTCCCACTTTGCTGACAGGTTTTTATATTTTGGTTTTAACCATGAATAGATGTTGAACTTTTGTCAATGCTTCCTCCACATCTATTGAAATGATCACATAAATTTTCATTTTAATTCTAATTAGTGAATCACCCTAATTTCAAATGTTAAAAACCAACCTTGCATTTCGGGGATTTTTTGACTTGGTAAAAATGTCTCACCCTTTTTATACAGTGCTGTATTTGATTTGCAAAACTTTTCTTGAGGATGTTTGTGTCTGTATTCATAAGAGATATTGGTCTGTAGTCTTATTTCCTTATAATGTCTTTGTGGGTTTTTGTATCAGGATAATATTAATAGCCACATAGAATGATTGAGAAGTGTTATCTCCAGTTCTATTTTCTGAAGAATTGGTGAAGAACTGGTATTATTTCTTTCATAAATGTTTGATAGAATTCATCAGTGAAGCCATTCTGGCCTGAAGTGTTTTTTTGGCAAGTTGGGTGATCTAATTCTTGAGTGAAGTTTGGTGAGTAAGCTTTTGGTTTGCATGTTTCACGACATTTTTTATCTCATCTAAGCTGTCAAATTTGTTGGAATAAATTGGTTCATAATATTTCCTTATTATCCTTTATAATCTCTAGGAGCTGTACTTATGTCTCCCTTTTTATTCCTTATATTAGTAATTTCTATCCTCTCACTTTTTATTTTTCTGATGAGTCTAATCAGAGGTTTGTTGATTTTATCAATTCTTTTCAAAAGACCCACTCTTATGGGCAAAAGGATCATTCACCTGACCACTATGCACCACCACAAACTGGAAGTACCTCCTGGGAATGCATCCTGAGGCACTAGTGCTGGGGGTGGGGAGAAGGTTAATGTAAGACTGGGTAAGAGAGATTTTTATCAATGTGGGGGGCATTAACCTGTGACTTAGTATTTAACATCCCAAAAGACATCTGAAGCCAGTCCTAATATGCTGCTATATTGCTTCACTAATCTTGAAAATACATGCATGCACACTGGTGTGTGAAGTGGAGATAACACTTCCCAATCATTCTATGTGGCTATTAATATTATCCTGATACAAAAACCCACAAAGACATTATAAGGAAATAAGACTATAGACCATTATCTCTTATGAATACAGACACAAACATCCTCAAGAATGCAAGTGTGCACACATAAACACACACATACACAATGATCTACAGTAGGAAAGATGCTAGAATTGTCATGAAAAAATATTAAAAAGGGGTCAAAGAGTATAAGGAAGTGGTCAATGCTAGAGTAGATTTTCTATAGAAGTCTGGAGAACCCATCAGGCTGATTGTGTTACCTATGAGGGTCCTAAAGACAGCCTTCACTAATGCAGTAAGAAATGTGCTAGTGAAAGTGGTGACATAGATAGGCAGACAATGAGGGTTTTTCTTGACTTAACAAAAAAGTCTGAGAGAAGGTAAATATAAAGTTGACGTTAGCTACCAAACAAAGGAAAAAATTATGTATGACCCTTTGCCCAGATTCCAATCTTGAGCCAGTTCTCAAATCCAGAGCTCATTGATGAAGTAAAGCCAGATCTCCTTCTAGAAGGATCCTATAATACCACAGTATATACAGTAGTGTTTTTCCTAATATTTCTCCAGAGGGACCTATGACTATTTCCTGGAGCACTGACTACCAGGGAGTGAGGAGTATCCAGCTCTTTGAGGGCTTCTGAATTTAGGATCTGAACTGGGATTTTTCTAAGAAACCCTAAATGCAAACATGGCTTCCTTATTAGAGTGGAGGCCTAGGGAATCCAGGAGTAAGTTGAGACCTGGTCCATATACACTTTGTAGTAGAGCTGATGCACCAATCAAGTGCATAAGTGAGATGGATATACCTAACAGTTGACAGAAATTTCAGGTTTGTTTCATGATCTGTGAAGCAAGAGTTATTATTGTGGGAAAGGGAATATGCATGCCCTGCCTCCCCCATATTATACCCCATCCAGGAAAAATAATGAATTAAAAGCAATACTTTTTATAGTAGAATGGTAGATATTAGAAGATGTAGGGGTAGTGGTCCACAACATATTCTTATTTAATTCACCATTCTGACCAGCTGAACAAAACAGATGATTATGGTAGGAGATGCTGGATTACTGTAGATGTAATCAAATGGTAGCCTAATTGTGGTTATGCAGGATGTGATATATTTACTAGAACACATAGAAACAGCATATTTCTAAGTATATTCTTTTGATTTGGTAAGTATATACTTTTAATTCCCACCATAGAAAAGAATTAAAAGGACAGAAGTACAAACCATCTTGCTCCAGAGCTACACTGATTCTCTCACTCTCTGGTACAGTGTAGTCTAGAGGAACTTGATTGTTTGGACAGTCCATAGAATGTCTCACACTGGTCCACTATATTTATGGCATCATGGTAATTGGACTTGAAGAGCAGTAAGTGTCAAATAGTCTAAATGGGCTGGTGAGATAGATTATATATGTATATGTTAGAGTAGACCTGGCAGCCACAGTCTGTTGGTGTTGAGTGTTTAGGAAAAGGCCATCTGAGGAGGATACATGTGAGCAGCAACCAGGGGAGGGGATAGCTCATGTAATAACCCCAAATCTGGAATGAATATGGTGTGTTTGAGAAATAGGAAGAAGGTCAGTGTGGCTGCAGTGTACAAAGGAGAGTGTGGTGGGAGCAGAGGTTTGAGAGGTGGTTAAGGATCACATCATGTAGGGTTATGGGTGTCAAGCTAAGATTGGCAGGTTTCAACTAACCCATTTTAACCTAAGCATGATGGGAAAAGGGGGAAGGGCTCTTAGCAGGGAAATGATGATATGATTTATGTTTTTGAAAAAGAGTCCTTTGGGGCCAGGCATGGTGGTTCACGTGTGTAATCCCAGCATTTTGGGAGGCTGAGGTGAGTGGATCATGTGCAGTCAGGAGTTCGAGACCAGCATGGCCAACATGCTGAAAACCCATCTCTACTAAAAATACAAAAATTAGCTGGGCATGGTGGCAGGCGCTTGTAATCCCAGCTACTCAGGAGGCTGAGGCAGGAGAGTCGCTTGAACCTGGGAGGAAGAGGTTACAGTGAGCTGAGATTGTTCTACTGCACTCCAGCCTGGGTGATAGAGCAAGATTATGTCTCAAAAAAAAAGAGTCCCTTGGTTGTGTGTGGAGAATGGATTGCAGGGAAGTAGAGGAAAAAAGAGGAGGACATTTGGGGCAAGGATAAAAATACATGTGGAAATCAAGAATTCTGTTTAAGTCTGAGATACCTAGTAAAGAAATGGCTATATGAATCTGAATTTCTGGGACAGTGTCAGACTAGAGATGATGATCTGGAACTGTTGGCACATTCATGGATTTTAAAGCTGCATTTTGAGAGTGGGGAATATCTAGATGGTTGGAGGCAGTATCATGGTGTCAAAGAGCTTGGGCTTTGAAGCCAGACTGAAGTGAATTTTGAATCCTCACTTTTTACTTACTAGTAGTGTGGTTATGGGCATGCCACTTTTTGTGCCTTTAGCTCCTTATCTATAAAATGAGAACTATCCCTGGCATTAGTAGTAGTAGAAATTGGAGATGTTAGCACCATTACTCACCTGGTGAAAGCTCCTTGAATTACAGCTGTAGTGCCTGGTAGTAAGTATTGCTAATTTTACAAACCCAAATCCTTGAAATATTAACTCATGCTCCCTCCATACTACCAAGACAAAAGTCTAGACAAATACTTATATACATATAGACCAGGGTGAGGGCAGAGTATAGAAATCTTGCTCCAGGTAGCTACCACAAAATAATGGTTCTGTGCAACTCATTCACATTTGTTTCCTGGCAATTGATAACACTTCAAAACATCTTCAACAGGAAAGAACACATAGGTGGTTGGATAGAGAAACATGATTTTGCAGTCAGACAGAGCAGGGTTTAATTCTCTAGCTTGTCTTGACCTTACCCTTAAGCGTGAATTTAGGTGAGAGGGCTGCAGCAGTGCTGACCTCCCATCTGGAATGACATTGGCGTGAACAGCCCACATTGGCTCCTTCAGGATCCACATATTTAATAAATACATCAACTGGCATCTTTGTCATTATTACTTTAATGCAGCTCATCAGGAACTTAGCATTGAGGAGCCCTTGAATTTGAAGCTTATGGAGCAATTAAACTCCCTCCTGGGAGAATGCAGACCTGGAGACTGTCAGTGCATAGAGATGAGCAATTGTGTCTGTCTCCCTCTTGCCAGAAAAATGGAATGCTCCAAAGTTCATCAAGACCTTATATTGTATTTCAATGAACCATGTGTACCTTGCATACTAGGTAATTAATTTAGAAAACTGCTCATCTCATAAACTCTGGGAACTGGCCTATCTTCTATTAATTTCTTCTAATTAGCTATTATCAGGAAAGCACTGAATGTCTGCCTGATGTGATTCCTACCCACCTGATGGGAACATTCAATGATAATGCTGAACAGATAATTCAAGTGCTGACACGCCCTGTTGTCTGTTGTCTTATCACAGTGCTTTGAGTCAAATACGGCAGATAGCATTATCTTCATCAGATCCTGGACCTCTGAAGATGAGGGGACTTGCCCAAGGCCACAGGGAGGTTTCATTTCTCTGCAAAGCCGGATCACTAAGGGCATGGGCTCTGGAGTTGGGCACATCTACAGTCACATCCCAGCTCTGAGAGTTACTAGCAATGTGGCTGCAGTGCTCCTCTCAGTGCCCCCCTTACCCTCAACACTGTAGGAAGTCCTGCCAACTTCTGACTGCCATCACCTTCATTTATCTGTCTGCCAGAGCCTGCTTTGCCCACTCACCTCCTACCTGCCCCTTTTCCATAGCAGGCAGAAGTGACAGGAAATTAGCACCCCTTAGAAGCAACCTCAACCAAGACTGACTGGAGTTGGTGAAAAATATTCAGCTCCCTCATCCCTCATGCAAGATAATTCTAAGATATGAGTTCTACACTGGCTTCCAGAGTCCCACGAGGATTAAGTTTTGGTCATCGATGATGGTAACTTGCTTGATAATGAACATTTCATTGGCTGCCGTCCCTCCCTTGTCTCATGTTTCTATTTCACTACTAGTTTTTCCTGAGATCTCTTCTTTAACCCCTTGCACTTAAGTCCTTATTCAAGGTCTGCTTCTGGGAACCCAAACTAAGAGAGGGACCTTTGACAAATTATTTAACTTCTCTCTGATCCTCAGTTTTCTAATCCGTAAAAAGAAAATATATATAGTACCACCTCACAGACTTTCAGGGAAGTTTAAAGGAAATACTGCATATAAAGAATTTTGCCCAATTCTATTCATACCAGCATAATTTATAATAGCAAAATGCCGAGATCAGCTCAGTCGGGAAGACCCTAACCCAGCGGCATTAGAGGAATTAAAGACACACACACAGAAATATAGAGGTGTGAAGTGGGAAATCAGGGGTCTTACAGCCTTCAGAGCTGAGAGCCCAGAACAGAGATTTACCCACATATTTATTAACAGCAAACCAGTCATTAGCATTGTTTCTATAGATATTAAATTAACTAAAAGTATCCCTTATGGGAAACGAAGGGATGGGCCAAATTAAAGGAATAGGTTGGGCTGGTTAACTGCAGCAGGAGCATGTCCTTAAGGCACAGATCGCTCAAGCTCTTGTTTGTGGCTTTAAGAATGCCTTTAAGTGGTTTTCCACCCTGGGTGGGCCAGGTGTTCCTTGCCCTCATTCCCGTAAACCCACAACCTTCCAGCGTGGGCGTTAGGGCCATTATGAACATGTTACAGTGCTGCAGAGATTTTGTTTATGGCCAGTTTTGGGGCCAGTTTATGGCCAGATTTTGGGGGGGGGGGGCTACTCCCAACATGTCCCCCTTCTTTGATTTGCAAATCGATAAATGCAAAGGCAGCTTTGTCACGGTGAGCTACTTCTCACAGGAGTCAGGATCCACATCTGCAGACTATACAAAGACAACACAGATTAAAAGCACAATCACCATTGAAATCACAGAACTTCCAAGTGTTTTTATCCATTTTAATGGGTTACTAGCTGCTAAATTGTCTGCAGCTCTTTTAAGCACTCCGGTTCCTGGCATTAAGGTCAGGTGTGCCTGGAATGCTTTAAATATTTGTTCTTTAATTTTGCAATATCCAAAGACAAGTTTGTAGAGTGTCTTTTTAGATGCTTTTTTATTCTTTCCCAAATTTTGATCTTATTAAGAGCATTTAATAGTTTCCACAAATCCTTATGTTAAGCTCCTAGAGTGGGCCATATCATTTGAGGTTGAGGTGCCACTATACCACCATGGTTCCAGATAATAGGAACTTTTGCCATACTTCTTATCATTTCTACCATCTGACTGTTTGGTTCAGATCATCTGAACATGGTGTGACCGTGGCACGCAGACTGAGAGGTGCAATTCAAGCTAAACATCCCCTTAGGGGACCAATCAATGATGATTCCATAGGAATCATTGTGCAGCACCTCTGCCTGTTCCGCAATGCAATCTTCCTGAATGAGTATGTTCATTTTTTCTAACTCGGTCCAATCCTGTTTACAAATAGGTTTTTGAGGGTGGTATGCCTCAATTATAGGAGCAGGTTTATTATAGTAAATACTGAGATCAGAAAGCATGTGTAACTGTGTCACAGAGTGATTGCATCCAGGCATTATTGCCAGCCAAGATTGATAAATATACTCAATAAGTGTAATTGTTCTCTGTGTCAGCCCTTATTGAAGGAATACTCATGGCAGTGGTGATAACCGCTATTATAGTTACCATTAAATTACTCATTGTGACTGGTTGTCCTGCTTTCCTCAGATTTTCTTCTGCCATCTGTGACAGCTTCTTGATCTGTCCCCAGGTGGGTGGCTGTGTTTGACAGGTGTTGCTCATGAGAGTTGGGGTCCTCCTCAGTGTCAGCCTCAACATGGCTGCAACTGAGGGGTCCTCGGGATCCTCCAGGAGTCGCTTCCTTGGCATCTGGCTCATGATAAGGTTTCAGGTGTCTTGATAGTATCCAAATCAGCTGTTGATTTTGGCCTGGAGAAATACAAGCATAACCTCTACCCCAAGTTATTATTTTACCTATTTCCCAACTTTTTGTTATTGGATCTCTCCACCAAATCAGTTTTTCTGTTTCTGTCTTTGCAGCTAGTTTTTGTAGATGCTGTTCAGCTGCTGATAACTTCTGGCCTTTGGGCAGGCTCAGAAAATTTAAAGTTAATAATGCTAGATTTAGTTGTATCTGTGGTGTTCCATATTCTCTGTCTCTCCCTTTCTGCTTTTGCAACTGCTGTTTTAGGGAGAGATTCATTCTTTCCACTATGGCTTGTCCTTGAGAATTGTATGGGATACCAGTAATGTGTTTAATATTCCCCACAGAGAAAAATGTGGCTAGAGCTTGGTTAGTATAGCCTGTGGCATTATCTGTTTTAATAGAAGCCGGAATGCCCATCACCACAAAACACTGCAAAGGTGACATTTAACACAGGCAGAAGACTCTCCTGATTGGCATGTAGTCCAGACACAGTGAGAAAAGGTGTCCACACATACAGGTACATAAGCTAGTCTCCCAAATGAGGGAACATGTGTGACATCCATTTGCCAAAGAGAGTTAGGTTCCAGTCCTCGAGGATTAAATCCTCCTGTAAAAGATGAAGAATGTACCATTTGGCAAGTTGGGCATCACTGGATAATAGCTTTAGCTTCTTTCCAGGTAATGCTGTATCTGCATTGGAGACCAGAGGCATTAACATGGGTTGAATTGTGAAAGTGTCTAGCATTAGATATTGCATTAGCAATTAGGCGATCAGCCATTTGATTTCCTTCAGTCAAAGGTCCTGGAAGAGGAGTATGAGCCCTAATGTGAGTGATGTAAAAAGAGTGCATTCTACTTCTAACTACTGTTTGCAATTGGGTAAATAAAGTCATCAGTTGTTCATCTGTATGAAATCGTAACTGAGCATTTTCAATTAACTGTGTGGAATGAACCACATATGAAGAATTAGAAATCGCATTAATAGGCATATCAAAAGCAGTCAATCCCTCAATTACAGCTACAAGCTCCACTTTTTGAGCTGAGGGTGTCTGGAAAACTTTACCTTTCAATCCAAAATAAGAAGCTTTACCATTACTAGACCCATCTGTAAAAACATTCTCAGCACCTTCAATTGGTTTAAATTTAGTAATTTTGGGGAGAATCCAATTAGTTAATTTCAAAAACTGAAACAGCTTCATTTTAGGAAAATGATTATTGAGACTACCCACAAAGTCAGTTAAATGGGTTTGCCAAGTAAGACTATTTACAAAACTTGCTGTATTTGTGCCTTCGTGAGAGGGACAATAATTTTTCCAGGATCATATCCATGTTATTTAACAATCCAAGTTCTCCCAATCCCTATCATAATAGCGATTTGATTTAAATGAGTTAGAGTCCGTGAATTAGTATGTGGAAGAAAAAGCCACTCTATTAAGTCCTGTTCTTGGACAATAACACCAGTAGGTGAATGCTGAGTTGAAAAAATCCGCAAATCTAGAGTCTTCTCTGGATCTATTCTATTTATTCAAGCTTTATGGACTTGCTTCTCAATCACTTGTAACTCTGCCTCAGCCTCCTTTGTTAATTGCCAAGGGCTAGTGACACTAGGATTTCCTCTAAGGATAGCAAACAGATTACTCATGGCATAGGTAGGAATGCCTAGAGCAGGTTGTATCCAGTTAATATCCCCTAGTAATTTTTGAAAGTCATTTAATGTTTTTAGTTGATCCCCACGTATGGTTACTTTCTGTGGCACAATGGTAGTGTCATTTACTAAGTTCCCCAAGTAGGAGTAAGGAGTAGTAGTCTGAATTTTGTCAGGAGCTATAATTAAACCAGCACGAGAAATCAAATTTTACAAGTGATCATAACATTAGAGTAATATTTCTCGAGTGGGGGCAGCACAAAGTATATCATCCATATAGTGAATAATGTGACACTGAAAATTTTCTACGAGTAGGTTCAATTGCTTGCCCCACATACGTCTGGCAAATTATGGGACTGTTTAACATGCCCTGTGGCAACACTTTCCAATGATAATGCTTAGCAGGCTGCAGGTTGTTTACTGCAGGAATTGTAAATGCAAACTGTTCACAGTCTTGCTTAGCTAAAGGGAAAGTAAAGAAACAGTCTTTTAAATCTATGACTATTAAAGGCCAATTTTTTGGAATTATAGCAGGAGAAGGCAATCCTGGCTGTAATGCTCCCATAGGTTGTATAACTGATTGATGGCTCTTAAGTCAGTTAACATTCTCCATTTACCTGATTTTTTCTTAATTACGAAAACTGGAGAATGCCAAGGGGAAAATGTTGGAGCTATGTGCCCATTTTCTAATTGTTCAGTAACTAATTTCTCTAAAGCCTCCAGTTTATCTTTACTTAGCAGCCATTGTTCTATCCAAATTGGCTTATCTGTTAACCATTTTAAAGGTATAGGTTCTGGACGCTTAACAATGGCTGCCATCAAAAATTATATCCTAATCTTTGGCGGGAAATTTGACTTTCCACTTGAAGTGGTTCTTTCAAACCTTGCAAATTTTTTTCTAGTCCCATAACAGGGACATATCTCATTTCATGCATCATATGTTTACTTTGAGGGCTATATAATTGTTCTGCAATTAGAACTTGTGCTGACATTGTTGTAATAAATCTCTTCCCCATAAATTTATAGGTACAGAAGTTATAATTGGTTGAATGGTCCCAGATTGTCCATCGGGCCCTTCACAATGCAAAATATAACTACTTTGATATACTTCAGAGGCTTTACCAACTCCAACTATGTTAAATTGAGCGGGTTGAACTGGCCACGTGGATGGCCAGTGCTGTAGAGAAATGAGGGAAATGTCCGCTCCTGTATCTACCAAACCTTTAAATTTCTTTCCCTGAATAGTTATTTCACAGGTAGGGCATTTATCAGTAATTTGATTTACCCAATAAGCTGCTTTGCCTTGTTTATTTGTGCTTCCAAATCCTCCTGTTCATTTAATTCCACTTTTTCCCATTCCCACATACGGCACAATCAGGAGCTATGCTATGCACTCTCCTGGCTCTGCTTTCCAGGGAACAGAAGTAGATATGACAATTTGAATTTCCCCATTGTAATCTGAACCAATGACTCCTGTATGTATTTGTACGCCTTTTAAACTTAAACTAGACTTTCCTAAAAGTAATCCTATTGTCCCCACTGGCAAGGGTCCACAGACTCCTGTTGGGACCTTTTGCGAGGGTTCCCCAGGCAGAAGGCTCATAGCTTTTGTGCAGCATAAATCTACTGTGGCACTACTGGCTGTGGTGGGGGACAGACATTGTACAGGGGTGAGGGAATGGCCTGAGCTGGAAACGCCCCAGTTTAGAATGGGGCCCGGGACAGGCCCCTCATGGCATTTCCCGAAATCAGGTTCCCTTCTTTATCAAACTTAGAGTGACGCTGATTAGCCCAACGTTTTCCTTTTTTACATTTTGGACATATTTCAGGCTCAACAGTTTTCTTTTTTCCCCTATCTGGCGGCCTGACTCGCTGATTTTTTCTACATTCTTTTTTAGTATGACCACGCTTCCCACAGTTAAAACAAGCTCCAGGAAATGGAGTATTTCCTTTATCCACTCTCAGTCCTGCCATTGCCATTGCCAACAAGGTAGCTTTACGCAGATTACCTCTGACACCATCACAGGCCTTGATATAATAAACTAAATGTGATTTCCCTCTGATAGGTCGCAGAGCAGCCTGGCAATCAGGACTAGCATTGTCAAAAGCTAATAACTGCAACACTGTATCCTGAGCAGCCGAACCTGCAATCACCTTTTTAAGAGACTCCTGTAACCGAGCTATAAAATCAACCTATGGTTCCCTTGGTCCCTGCTCTATAGCACCAAAGGAAGGGTATTGCTCCCCACCTGAAGTGATTTTTTCCCAAGCTCTAATGCACACTCCTCTAAGCTGTTCTATGGCATCATCCTGCATGACCAGTTGTGCATCTAAACCAGCCCAGCCGCCAACCCCCGAAAGTTGGTCTGCAGTTATGTTAATTTGAGGTTGGACCTGGGCATTGCGAGCAGCCTGAATGGAAGCTTCATCTGCCCACCAAGTTTTAAATTGTAAGAACTGAGCAGGAGTTACATAAGCTCAAGTAAGAGCGTCCCAGTCAGTAGGAATCATCCGACTGGAAACAGCAACATTTTTTAACAGTCCCATTGCAAAAGGAGAACCTGGTCCATATTGATTAATAGCTTGTTTAAATTCTTTGAGTAATTTAAAAGGAAAAGGCTCAAATGTAGCTGTAATATTTCCCTGTTGATCTGGGGGGTGTATTCTAACAGGGAACTGCGAAGCCTTTAAATCACCCTCTTGTCTAGCTTGCTGAATTCCTGCCTGAATAGAACTAAAAGTGATTGCTTGAGGCGCTGCTCGAACAGTCACTGGGGCAACTACTTTTTGACCAGTGTCCTCCAGAAAAGAATGATCTGGAGGGTCTTTTCCTTTAAAATAATAATGAGGGGGTGCAGAAGGGTAGGGATGAACCTCTCCTTCCTTTGCTGCTTTAGCTGGCAAATAAACCTGTAACCTCTTCTGTTCTTCGCTATACTCTTCTTCCTCCTCATCATCAGTGTGAAAAAGTTCCAAGGTGAAATGAACCAGACCCCACACTTGTCCCATTGTTACTCTGATGATTTCGAACTCCCCTTCTTACTCACCATGGGGATTGCTTTAAGAGTACTCGGGTGTCCTCCAGCTTAGTTCCATGTTTTCCAACCGTTGCTCTGGCGACCCTTCGACCTGGATTCGAGCCCCCACGATGGACGCTACTTGCCAAGACCAGCTCTGTTGGGGAGACCCTAACCCAGTGGTGCTAGAGGAATTAAAGACACACACACAGAAATATAGAGGTGTGAAGTGGGAAATCAGGGGTCTCACAGCCTTCAGAGCTGAGAGCCCCGAACAGAGATTTACCCACATATTTATTAACAGCAAACCAGTCATTAGCATTGTTTCTATAGACATTAAATTAACTAAAAGTATCCCTTATGGGAAACGAAGGGATGGGCCAAATTAAAGGAATAGGCTGGGCTGGTTAACTGCAGCAGGAGCACGTCCTTAAGGCACAGATCGCTCAAGCTCTTGTTTGTGGCTTAAGAATGCCTTTAAGTGGTTTTCCGCCTTGGGCGGGCCAGGTGTTGCTTGCCCTCATTCCCGTAAACCCACAACCTTTCAGAGTGGGTGTTAGGGCCATTATGAACATGTTACAGTGCTGCAGAGATGTTGTTTATGGCCAGTTTAGGGGCCAGTTTATGGACAGATTTTGGGGGACCTGCTCCCAACACAAAAATGAAAAATGGCCTAAATATCCAACAAAAGGGAAATGGGTAAACAAATTATGTTTTAGCCATATAATATAATATTAATCAGTAAAAATTAATTTTTTCAAAGAATATTCAATGGCATGGAGAAATGTACATGAGAATTCTACATTACACAATTCAGCTGGGGACCCCAATGACAAAAAGTATCTAAAACTGTAAATATACAATTACTTCAATATTGTTAAAAATATACTAAAAATATATAAAAATTTATCTCTTTTGGTGGTGATGGGTTATTTTCTTTATGCTTTTTCCTATTTTTCAAATTTCAAAAGTTTCCAAATAAATAGCATTAAGTTTATAATAAAAAAGGAAATGTTACTTGTAGAAATTGGTCTTCAAGATTTTAACTATAAGTAAAAAAAGGTATCTAAAAACAAAATATACATAAAATCTCAAATATTTTGTTTTTATTTTCCTTTTTCCTGGTCAATTGCACTAATTGTTGAAAGGAAATTCAGCTTTCATGCAATATCAGAGTTAATAGTAAGTAAGGGCAAGGCTTTGCAAAGTTTTAGGAGTGTCTAAATCTGAGGTTCTTTGAGTCCCACCTTCAGGCTTCTGGCCTTCCTGGGAGCTTCTTTTTTCTGATCCCAGTTCAGCTACTCCTCTGGCTCCCATTTGTAGTGTTGATTCCAAGCTGGAGCGCCAGGTCAGACCAAGTCAGTCAATAGGCCCAGCACTGATAGGTCCTTGACCCGGGTCACTTGATCCAATCCTAGATTCATTTCTTCTGAGGGCTTCTTGACTTACCTGCCCATGCCCCATGTTGATTACCCTATACATCAAAGTCCATCTGCATCCAACCTCTTCCAACCTCCATTCACCAACCCCCATTTGTACACAGAAATGATTCTTACAAAGGAGAAGCTTCATCTGCACATCCATATGCCCATCCATCCATCTATCCATTACTTCCCTCAGCAAATAATCACTGGGTACTTAACTCTGTGCAGGCACTATGCTGGATTATTGGGATGGAGAGTTGACTCCGACACTGTTTCTACCAAATTTCCCAGCCATGGAATAGAAAAGACAAGGCGCTCATGCTCACTGACCTTTCCAAGCCCAAGCCAAAAAATGAGAAGTGGCCTAAATATCCAAAAAAAGGGAAATGGGTAACCAAATTATGTTTTATCTGTAAAACTCATGTAGAGCAGACACTTGTGCTGCCTGCCCCCCACATCTCAGCCCACCTGACTTGTGCTGCGTGCCCCACATCTCAGCCCACTGACTTAGTGCAGTGCGATGGACAGTTCCATGCACCTGGTCTGCATCCCTCATCAAGTGGATCTCAGCTGCCTCAGGGATCAGCCTTGCAGAAGAGCAAGGGGGAATTCACACCCAAAGGGGCAATCCTCAACTCTGAGGAGAGTCTTTAAATCATTGCTTAGAAAGTCCTGAGAGGGATCGAGGCCCCTTTCCCCTTAGTGATAATTAGCTCTTTAACACACCCTTCCTGTTTTTTCTCTCTGTTGGTCTCTCTTTTGCCTCTCCATTACCTCTGCTTCTTGGTATCACCTGGCATATAAACTACTCGCTGTCAGTTCCTTGTTGCAGTCTCTGCTTTTGGAAGAACCCAAACTAAGATACCATGGTAAACCTTACTAAGGAATGAATGAATGCTGATATTATAGTGAGAAGAGAGAAGACAGTCTTGGACGCGGACAAATGACCACCTGATGTTGGTAAAGACCCTGTTACATTATTAGTCAGTTATAATGAGGGGCCACATTACCCATTTATAATGTATGTCAGGGTGTTGGTTTGACTGACTTAGAAATACTAAGCGTAAGAGTAATGTGGATGTGACTGAGAACAATACCTACCCTCTGTGGGACACTTTCATTTGGTCTTTATTTATATCTTCTCATCATCCACCCTTCACAACCTTCCTGTAACCCAGACATTAATTAATCTCATTTTTAAAGTGAGTAAACAGGTTCACAGGGATGGCTCAAGGCCACATCGTGGCAGAGCAGGACTCTAAGTTTGATCTGTCAGACATCAGATTCCAGACTCTTGTGCCCACATCTCTGCATGAGTCTATTACAACATCCAGTCAGAAGCCCAGTTCTCCAGCTGCTTGACAAGCAACTTATAATGCACACACTTGAAATCAGGGTATGCTGTCTCACAAGGTCTAGGTCAGCCATAGCAGGCCTGTGCAGGGAAGGCATAGTAAATAAGACACGGTCTATTTATTACTCACTGTTAATCAACACTTAAGATAAAACACTGCTTTATTTATTCTCTTTGGCAGCTCAAGTGTGCTCCATGGTGCCTACTGCACGGTGATGTTAATTAGGTCCTCAGTACTGCATCTCTTGTATGCAAGGTTCGTGGTGTCACCAGCTCGTCTCACCTCTCCAGAGGTCTCTGGTTCAGCATTAAGTCTGAGGACAGAAAGAATCTTTGGAAGGCGGGAATCACCACCAGAGTTGCTGAACTAAGTATGAAACTTCACTACCATACAAAAATTAGCTGGGCATGGTGGAGTGCACCTGTAATCCCAGCTACTCAGGAGGCTGAGGCAGAAGAATCGCTTGAACCTGGGAGACAGAGGTTGCAGTGAGCCGAGATCGTGCCACTGCGCTCCAGCCTGGGCGACAGGGCAAGACTCCATCTCAAAAAAAAAAAAAAAAGAAAGAAACTTCACTACCTAGTCCTCATTAGGGTTTAGCAACCTGACATGCATACTGGGGTCAGTGTGAGATCATTTTTAGGGTAGGCAAGTGGGTTGAAGGGGGTGTTCCTAGAGACCCAAAATGGCAGAACTGGAGGAGCCCTTAGTGATCACCTACTTCAACAGATTCCATTTTGTAGATGGGAAAACTGAGGCTTAGAGAGGGAGAGTGACTTTTCTAAAGTTATATAAATGCTGGGAACATATTGCGATTAGATTCCAGGTCTCTCTGCTTCCAGTTAAGACTCCTTCTAATGGATCATTTCTAGGCCTTTGTCCCTGCTCCTGATGTCCTCACTTGTCCCCATCCCCTTCCTATTGTATGGCTACAGAATGGATGCATGCAAAGTACTGCCTCTAGTAGGAACTCAGAGAATGTGAGTTCTTTCTCCCCACTACATTCACTTTCCCTGAAATTCCTCAAAGTAATCCTGTGATTTAGAAACAGCAATAATGCTTAATTCCATTCTGTGGGTGAGGAAGTTGAGGTTCAAAGAGGGGAAATGACAGCAGCTGAATTAGGCTTAAATCCAGGCTCTGGGTTAGTGCTCTTTCAACCAAACCACATGGCCTCCCTAAGGATAAATGAATAAAAGAAAGAATGAATATTTAACTTAGAAAAGAATGAATTAAGGCATGTATGGCAAACAGGCTTAATGTTTGAAAGTCCCCACCCCATGTATTTGCTTTTCAGTAAAGGCAAAGTCTCAAGCTCCGTGGAGCTGCTCTTTAGGCCAGAGCAATGTACAGTCATGCATTGTTTAATGACAGGGATACGTTCTGAGAAATGCATTGTTAGGTGATTTCATCATTGTGTGAACATCATAGAATGTACTTACACAAATCTAGATGGTGTGGCCTGCTATACACCTAGGCTACATGGTACAGCCTATGGCTCCTAGGCTACAAACCCGTCAAGTATGTTATTCTACTGAATGCTGTAGGCAATTATAACACAATGCTTGCATTTGTGTATCTAAAAAAATCTAAACATAGGAAAGGTACAATAAAAATATAGTATTATAATCTTATGGGACCACTGTCATTCAGGTAGTCTATCATTGGCTGAAACATTGTGAGGTGGTGTGTGACTGTATTTCACAGCTGTGTGCCCTTCACTTTTGACCACCACCTGGTATTCGACCTATTTTAGAGCAGGCCCTCAGTGAGTGCTTCTGAAATTGAACAGAAACAAACCCCCTGGAATCATGGAATTTCAGCTCCAGGAGCACTTTGGAGAGGTATTAGGGGTATTAAGGAGAACTACCTCTCACTTCTTCATAACACCACACAAGCAATGTTTTTCAACCTTTAGTCAAGGCTGATCTGAAGAGAGAAAAAAAAAGAGAAAGACAGGAACACAAAGCTGAAATACAGAAAAGACACCTAAACACAAGATCACCTGGAGACAGAGTCTGAAAAGGGGGTTCTTGGTGAGCTCTCCACCCCAGAGGGACTGGCTTGGCTGAATCAGCCAGGATCAGCCTTCACTGGGACTGGGAAAGAGGAGAGGTGGCCCTGACATCGTGCTGAGCACAGTCCCTGGGAGGCTGGGGCAGAGGGGTGATCCATTAATATGGATGAAATGTCAAGAAAGTAGACAGAATTTCAAACAGCAGCTTAACCCAGGACCTCTGACTATGAGTAGATGTAAAAAAATCTGCTTAGATTTGACAATGATCTGTCATCTAATATTCAGTAAAAACATTCACAACTGAACAAACTTATGCATTTTCACACACAAATATAAAGAAGTTATTCATATAAGATGTTCACATAATGGTAGCACACACACACACATACATTCAAATACATCATAGTCAATTTATCTCTTTTACCTGTCGTAGTCTCTCCCCAGCTTTCTCCTTTTTTTTTTTTTTTTGTTTTTGCCCTATGGATACTATTAGCCTAAAGTCTCACAACTTCCTATATGGGCCTATAAGCTAGGTTTGCTCCACTTTATCCAGAAGTTTCAGGGTTGCTTTTATTTGTGAACTTCTGGAGGGAGAGAGAAAAGGAGGGGTGTCAGCATCACCAAAATGTTCTGCTTGGAGCAGGCATCCTCAGTCTCATTTTCGCCACCAGCAGCAGCAGCAACAGCCACAAATTCTCTGTGAATGGCTTCTCTGTCTCTGGCCTTATGCTAAGGCTCTTGGGCCCCATAAATGAGTAAGACTGTTTTTGGCCCTCTCTAAACATCTCAGTCCAAGAAAATGGAAAGTTGAATTGGTAAGAGAGCTGATACACAATAAAAGTGAAATACCAAAGCCATTACCAAGTGTCAAATGAAATGTGTTTAGACAGTGGTTCCCTAGAAGCTCAGGGCCAGTGCACCAGGAAAGACTTCCTGAAGGAGGGGTCTTGTAGAATCAGTAAAAATCAGGGCAGCAGAGAGGAATGGGGAGGTGCCTAGCAAACACAGATGCTTCATTATTTGTGTTGGATAAATTAGTGATGAGACACTTCAGGTTAAAAGCATGGATGAAGTAGGGAACTTCATGAGGTCTCAGAAGAAAGAAAATATTGGAAAATGTTTTTCAAAATACCATACTTTCCCATTTATCTTCTCAGTTGATCCTCACGATTCTCTTTTTCTTTTATTTTCTGCTGAGGATTATGTCAGTTGAAGATTATGTTCCCATACCAAACAGTAAGAAACTGAAACCAGTTGAAGCTCTGGGGTTACTCCATCCAGGACAAGAGACTTACTTAATGTCTAATACAGCCAGGCAGTATCAGAGCTGGGAGCAGAACCCAGTTTCCTAACGGCTACATCTTTAAATCCATTTGACTTGACAATTTGAGTCTGGGAGTTGAGGATAGAATGTGGCTTGGGTTAGAGGAAGAGGAAGACTTTGGGATATTTCCTGGGAAAACTCCCTCTAGTTAGTGACATAGCACCCTCTTTATAACGCAGGAGTGTGGGAGAGGTGGGTTAATAGAAGGAGCTGGGCGTCCTTTGCACCACTCCATCCTAATATCCTGGCAAAGCACCTCGCTTGTTGTTACAATTCTGAGGGTAGCACCAATCCTGCCTGTTAAGACAATCATTTCACAGCAGTTGTTTCAAAGGAAGAGACTCAGGCATACAGGACATATGGGGACATCCAGTTGCAAAGGAGACCGCCTAAAGCAAGACTCAGGGGAATCAGGCAAAATGAGGTCATGCACAGGAACAAACATAAACCAGTAAGCTCCCTGAGGTGGAGGCTTTTTATAACCAGCATTAAATATTTATTGTATTGTCAGTCTTAGGACTGTACACAAAAAGGAGGAGGGGAGAACGAAAAGAACACAAGCATTAGAGTCTGATGACTCCCAGGCTCCTCCACTTACAACAAGCTGCACAACTTTGGTCAGATTCCTTAGTCTCCCTAAGCTTCTGTGTCTTTAGCAGGGAAATGAGGAGAATAATGCCTACTTCATAGGGGTGTTGTGAGGATTGCATCAGATCATGGAAGACAAAGCAATCAGTACAGGGCCTGGAGCCAAGTAAGCACTCAGTCAGGGCAGAACAGCAGTAACAGTAGCAGCTGCAGCGGCAGGAGGAGGAGGAGGAGTAGATTAGTAGTAGCAGCAATATCCACAGTAGTAGTGGTAGCAGCAGCGGTAGTAGCATTAGATTAGCAGTACCAGCAACAGGAGCAGTAATAGTAGTAGGAGCAGCAGCAGCAGTGGAGTAGTAATGGGAATAACAGTAGAAGTAGATTAGTAATAGAAGCAGCAGTAGCAGTAATAGCAACAGCAATGTTTTTACTAGTAGTAATAGCAACAGCAGAAGTAGTAGTTATAACCACACCAGCAACAATTGTTATGATGTTTATTGTTATAGAAAAAAGGATCTAATTGCCTTGGGCTGTGAAAAAGAATTTAGCTTTCAGGAAACTGTTGGAGGATTAAGTAAATCTGTCTCCTTCATCTCTCCATGGACCCTGGGGCCATGAAGATCATCCAGGACCGCTGACTCTAAGTCTAAAGCACTCTACCATACTATGCTGCCTTTAATGCTGAGTTGGAGCTTAATTCTGTAAGTAAAGGAAGCCATAGAGGAAATCTGAGCTGTGGAATGTCTCAGAGAGGTTGAGGCTTTGGGAAGATAAAGCCATAATTAGGATTCAGTTATCAGGGTGAGGTCAGGATAGAATTTTCGATTTGAGATTTTGTTCATTCTTTCTTTTATTCTGCTGTAGTTACTGAGTGCCTCTGACCTGTCTGGAACCATTAGGTTCTATGGGAGGTGTGAAGACAAATAAAACCTGAACTTTGCCCCCAAAGACATTAAATGATAGTGGGGGAGGTGACAATCAGCTGAGTGAAATAATTAATAAACAGGCCTGGCGCAACAGCTCACGCCTGTAATCCCAGCACTTTGGGAAGCCCGGGGTGGGTGGATCACGAGGTCAGGAGATCAGGACAATCCTGGCCAACATGGTGAAACCCTGTCTCTACTAAAAAAATACAAAAATTAACTGGGCGTGTTGGTGCGCGCCTGTAGTCCCAGCTACTCAGGACGCTGAGGCAGGAGAATTGCTTGAACCCAGGAGGCAGAGATTGCAGTGAGCTGAGATCGTGCCACTGTACTCCAGCCTAGTGACAGCAAGACTCCATCTCAAAAAAAAAAAAAAATTGATAAACAGATGAATAAGCAAAGTGTTAGGGCAACCGAGAAAAGAAAGCAATTAATGACAACTGCTAAGACTGGGAGGATATCATGAAGTTGGGACACATGAGCTAAGTCTTGAATGATGAGAAGGATTTTCTTAGTTAAGAGGAACAGAGATGTTGGCTGGAAATTAGAGAGAACAAGCAGGAATAACCAGTGGGATTTGGCAATTGAACAGAAATGGGGCGTGAAAGACACAAAAGTCGGATGATATCCAGGCTCCTGGCTTGGACAGTTAATTTGAAAGAAGTACCATAAAATGGGGTCATGTTTTATGGAGCTCCTGGAAGCTTCTAAGCAGGGAATGGGTTAACAGGAGAGCATCTGGAGACAGGGAGGCCATTCCAGCAATCCAGGTAGGAAATAATGGTGGGAGTGGCTAGGAGGGAAAGCATGGAAAGGATAGAGGGAGGGAAATGCACAACAAACCTGCCAATAGGCATTATTGTCCCATTTTAGAGATGGGGCAAGTAAACTGCTCTAAATGATTTATAAGATGATTAGCAAGCGGTGGAGCTGAAATTAAAATTCAGGTCTATCTGACTCAGAGTCACTCCATAATACTACCTGAAGGCAGACACACCAAAGAGGCAGAAGCAATGGGACGTGGTGGTTGGTCAGCTGTGTGGGGAGAAAGACATAAAGGAGTTAAGGCAAGGGCAGGGCTTCCAACCTGAGCAATTAGATGGAAAAAGAGAATATTAACCAAGGCAGCTGATGCCAGGGAGAGAAGCAGATTTGGACTTAAGATTGACATGGGGTCAGCTAAAAATAGATCCCAGGTCTTTAGGGGAACAAGTAAATTTTAAGCACTAAGGAGTTATAATAGGCATCATTAGGATGACTTTCTGACTTGTTCGGGCTTAGTGTCGAGGTCTGGGGCTGAACCGAGAGACAGAGAGGTGTGGTAGAGTTGTGTTTGTATCCAGGGTCCACATCCTGTCCTAGTTACTTACTGGCTGTGGACCACGGGCATGAGATTAATCACACTAATCTGAATTTCTTCATCTGCAAAGTTGAGAAAATAAGCCCTGACCAGCACACCACCTGAATTTGGTGTATGAAGACAGATATGTGAGTGCCTTGGGGGAGTCCTGAATTTCAGCTGGCAGAGAAGATCTGTATGATTACTTCATAAAGATGATCCCTGAGATGTTGCATGCCAATCAAAGTAACATAAAAAAAGTTTTGTATGTATCCTGGTAAGATTTGTTTGCTATGATTTTGACAAAACATGGTATCTTGTAGAATCTATTTCCCCCTTCTCTTTTTAGTCTAGTTATTTCAGCCTCACATGAGGCTGGGTGAATATCATGTTCAACACTGTCTTCCCATTTGTTCAGAGTCCCAACTTCCAAAGCCTCTTTCCCCTCCCTCAAGGGTTCAGGGTTTTTGGGTGACCTCACTCTCACCATACCCACTATTTATTCATTCCACACTCAGTGAGCACAGACTCTGCTACGTAATCTGTGTTAAGTGCTAAGACTACAGAGATGAATAAAACCTAGGTCCCTGGCTTGACACTGATCCCTCAGTGTGACTGCCTTTCTTCTGGACACTCCTCTCACTCTTGTCCTCTACTCAAGAAGCATTTGTACTTCTGTCTGTACGTCATCTGGGGAGAAGAAAAGCTTTGGCTCTAGAGAAGGGATTTCCAACTCTAGCAAGCAGATGAGAGGCAGAGCAGGGGTGAAGATGGCTTGAGAAAAGAGTTTTTCTCAGTTCCAGGTATTTTATAGATGTTATTATATTCAATTCTCACCATAAATATAGGAAGTAGATATTATTCAGTTCATTTTACAGATGAGGATCCCGAGACTTAAAGAGATTACATTATTTGCCCAAAGCCATACAGCTTAACAGAAGAGCTGGGATTCACACTCAGGTTGGCCTGACTTTAAACTCGGGCTGTTCCTATTACGTTATGTCTCCCCTCTGCTTTGTGGCCCTGATGCCCCTTTGGCTGAGCTCAGCCAAAAGGTACCAGACTTCTTTAGTGCTCAGAAGGCAGGAACTTAGAGGAAGAATTCCGAACAAGAAATGAGGGACATAGTAGGCTTATTTCGCATACCCCAGATGGAGGAAGTGATAGGGAACCAGAGCTAGATTATCTGCTTGGGGCCAGTAACCCAGAGAGTGTCACGATGGGTCCAACAACCCTGCTGAGATTCCAGGGGCCCTCTGCATGTCAAGGGATAAATGGGCCCCTTGCCTAAACGCTGCTCTCTGGAGGACTCTGGAGTGCCTAGAAGAAGGTCAGACAGGTGTGTGGGAATGAGAGATAGGAAGAAGGCAGGGCTTCAGCAGCAAGTGCTAAAAAGTCCTGAAATCATTACACATTTTTCCCAGCCTGTAAACTTAACATGCTTCCTTCCCCTCTCCCTATCCCCCACTACCTCTAAATGATGCCATTGTTTACTTGTTATTCTGCTTTAACCTGTTTCTTTTTTTGACCTGATTTTACCTGGAGACAAATGGATAAGGCCCAGCACAAAGTAGTGGAAGGGGAGCAGTGTTTGAATCCAGGTTCTCACTAGCCACATGGGTGTAAAAAAAAGGTGTTTACCTTTAGGGTTCTCATTTTTTCTCATCTTCGAAGTGTAGAAAATGATACTTACCTGATAGGACTGTTGGGAACATTGAATAAGGCAATGGATACAAAGGGATCTAGAACTACACCTGACACACAGTATATGTTCAGTAAACATCTGGATGTATGAATCGATGCTGCACAAATGTTAATCAGCTTACACTTCCATAGTTGGCTCTGTTCTTACTATGTAGAAAAATGAGTTGGGTTCTCTAAGGCAGGTCTCAGGTGTGTCAGTTGAGTTACAGTGAAAGGATACTAGTTCTTTCTGTGTTTACCGCCCCGCCTCCATTTAAAAGGCAATAGAAAAAGCTTCTAGACAAAGGCTCACTGTTGGCTGCCGCAAAGCAAACATTATCACCAACCTCCTCTGCTGGGGGCTTAGCAACGAAGAAACTGGGTAACCTCCAGTTTGTCTGCTGCAGCTTGAGGGTAAACAGACTTTTAGTCCTGTCTCTGCACCTCTGAACTGATACAGAGCAAAACTAGCACTGCATCAGTATGGAGAGTTGTGTGAGAGCCAGGTTGAGACCTGTCATGATCCCTCTCCTTCTCACCCCTACTTTTTGCATAGTTGTCTGTCTCCTTGGAAATGCACAGAACACTGCTTTGGTGGCCAGCTCCACCCACCTGTGGCTCTAATCTGAGACAGACCTGGCTGGACAAGAAGATAGGCTGGTGCGCCCCCTGCTGGAGCCAGGTGGGCTAGTAGCCTCTGGCGGGTTGTACACCTCTTGGTGCTGTCCTCCATCTCAGTGCTGAAAACCTTTCCCCTCTAGCTTGAGGTCATAGGTATAACCTTGTTCAAGAAAGCTAAGGAGAAGCTAAGCAGGCCAAGACCACACAGAGGGCTGCTGACAACCCCTGGGCTCTTGCTCAGTCCTTTTTTTCTGCTCTGCCAATGTGGAAAAGCAGACAGTCATCTTGCAAACACACCCTCCTACAGGCTGCCTTATAGCCAGCTTTTTTTTTTCTCTCTCTCTCTCTCTCAAGGAATGGGAAATTTTATCAGAGTCCATATATGCTGTAATTCAGAGACAGTTCATATCACTGTGTCTAGCATTAAGTACTAACTATACTGTACACTCCATTTGCTGACATCCAGAAATGTAACATCCTGTCCCATGTCATTTCAGTCCAGAGAAATGACATGAGGTGATGCTTCGGAGCATTCAGCTTCCAACCCAGCATCCCCCTAGAGAGGGAGTCCCCTCTATTTCCTCCCAGACAGATGTTCGTTCAGATTCTTCTTGCACACCTGTGGTGATGGGGAGTTCATGGTCTTCCAAAGGAACCCATCCAGTGGTTGGCAATTCAATTCACTAGAAGGTTTTCCTCATCCTGAGCAGAAATCTGTCTTACTGAGACTCACTCCCTGGATTTGGTTATTACCTCTCCAAATCCAGGAGAGGTAATAAACTTGTTTGGCAGCACAGAACAAGTTTGCTTCTTTTGTCCAATGATGTCTGTTTAGCTTTTTGGAGACTGTGATCTTTCTTTCCTATTCCCACTCCCTCTTATTATGTATGTATGTATGTATGTATGTATTTATTTATTTCAGCCAGAGTCTCACTCTGTCACCCAGGCTGGAGTGCGGTGGCATGATCATGGCTCATTGGCTCACTGCAACCTTCACCTCCCAGGTTCAAGCAATTCTCCTGCCCCAGCCTCCTGAGTAGCTGGGATTACAGGTGCGTGCCACCACGCCTGGCTAATTTTTGTATTTTTAGTAGAGACGGGCTTTCTCCATGTTGGCCAGGCTGGTCTCGAACTCCTGACCTCAGGTGATTCTCCCGCCTCAGCTTCCCAAAGTGTTGGGATTACAGGTGTGAGCCACCGCACCCGGCCTATTTTTTATTTTAAACAATAAACTGCTCCAGTCTCCTCATTCCTTTCTAATGGGGAAGGATTTGCAGATACCTCACTTTCCTAGTCATATTCCAAATGATCACAGCTACCATTTAGTGAGCACATAAATATTTTTGCCTACATTTTCCACACGTAAGTTCATTAAACTTTCATAACTATTATAACAAGGTAGATATTACTATGACCATCTTTCAGGTGAGGAAACTAAGATCTAGAGATGTTAAATAACTTGCCTAAGATCACACAGTTTTATTAAAGAAATAGAAGTAGGGTTTGAATGCAGAATTAGAACCCAAAGTTGCCTGGCTCCAAGTTTTTGCTCTTAAATAATCATTATACCTGCTGTTTGTGTAGTCTATGATCCAATTAATCAATGTAGTTTTAACTATATGGGCCAATATGTGATCACATTATGGAAGTGACCTGGCCAAGGAAACATGGATCTAGACTATTGCCTCTCTCATCTTATGCAATCTGCCTCTTTTCATGCTATCTAAAATGATGCTATCATTTCCAAAAGGCTGATACACTCTTGGTGCATGCCAAGCTGGTTGCAGTCAATTAAACTCCCCAGGACTTTGACACGGGAACTGCTGGAAATCAAGACTTGACTGTTGTCCCTTATTTTGAAAACAAAGTCCCTGACCTCAAAGTCAGGGTTATATCAGTTTTGGGGTTTGCCTGTTGGTTCTTGAGTAGTGGGGACTGAAAGGGAAAGGTGCCAAGAATGCTCAGAGGAACAGAGGAGCTGCACAAAACACTTTATTTGTGTTCCTCTGGGCAAAACGAACCCAGGGGAGAAGCTGTATATACAACATGACATTTGTAGCCAATCAACATATGGCTCTTTGTCATCATTTCTGAAAACTAGCATGCAAAGGAGAACAAGTTTTCTTTTTGATTTTTGTAGCAAACTTCAATAATCTCCAACTCAAACAAACAAACAAACAAACAAACAAACAAAAAATGCTTTAGTGGAGCTCTGTGCTAAGGGATTTTCCTCCCTGGAGCCTCCCTTCCTCTCCCTGTGTTCTAATCCTCATTTCCGGGAGGTCATTTTAATTAGCAGGCTGTCATGGTGACTCAGCCTGCTGTTTCCACAGACAGGAAGGGAGCAGACCCCCCTGGACCCATTCATCATACAAAGGCACTTTACTCTTCACAAAAATGCCAATATTTAGCTTGCCACACCTTGGGAATTGCTACTACTGTTTTATTTTATCATTCCTCCCTGCCTCAGGGTGCATCCTTCTGTCTTTTGCATCTTCCTTGCCTGGCAATCACCCTTTCCTCATTGCAGATTAGCAATGCCTACATCTTCAGGGGCCAGGCTTAATCCCTGTCACCTGGGATCTGGAGACCTTAACCATAATAAACCTTTTAAAATGAGTGACCAGTGCTTTTTGTCTTTAGAGCTAAAATTTTAATTAAACTACCGAGGAAATTGGGAAACAGCTCTCAAAACAGTTTTCTAAATCTGCATGCTGGGGTTTGAGGGAATCAGCAAGCATGCAGCTTAGATACAGTGACCATATATTTAAGTCCACCGTTGATTTCAAAAATTCTGTCCCATTGTTCCCTAGGATGCATTTGCCCTTTGGTTGCATGTGTTGTTGCTGTTGTTTTGGATCAGAAAATACAAACACTGCATTTCTAAAGCTGTAAACAACCAAGCCTATTTAAAAGGTAACCATCTGCAGTAACTATAAAACTTAAAAATGTAAAGTGGCTTTGAAAGAACTGACCTGATATGTGTCAAATCTCTTAAAAGGGATGTGTAGGTTTTCCTCATCTTGGAAGATCTCTATGTTGTAGAAAATAGCATCTGTGCTCACCTGGTTCCGATCTCCTATTTTGTTCCTGAGCTTTTTGAGCTGAAGGCTTACAATTGATTTTCCATTGGAAAAAGGGAAAATCAGTGATGAAGTTTCTCATTGTATCCCTTCCCTTTCACTAGCCTATGCATTAATCCACAAATCCTTGGAAGCTAGAGAAGAGTGATTAATTTCATTCCCCAGCAGAAAATGCATGCTCCTGTCCCCATAAGACCTCCCAGGACTCCGTGTCTTTAAAAAGGGGTTGAAGGGTCTTTGTGGTTCACTGAGCTCTTCTTGTCCCCTTTGCTGTTGGGGTAGTTGCTGGCTGGGCCCCGCAGGAGTGGGTGCTTGTAAGGAGGGGATTTTTCTTTCCTGCAAAGGGGGAGATAACAGAAAGAGAGAAGACAGCCCATATACACACTGTGATGAAATCATTTGTGTGCATGTCTATCTTCCCCACTGGACTGTAGCCTCCCAGGAACAGTAACCTAGTCTTCTTCCCACAGACACTAAAGGTGACAAAAATGAGCAGACATTGATACTGTCTTCAAGTTGCTTATAGCTTAGGAGAGGGGATAATTGTATAAAATAACTACACAAAACAATAACTATAATATGTGTCAGGAAGTGGTTAGTGTCATAAATATGAGAATCTCTTGAACTAAGTTTGAATTCAAATTGAAGATGTGGCTTTTGTAACCCATCAAGCTCTGACCTTGGTACACCCATTTTTCTTTACTGTTGATGAGTCATGAATAAGGTAAAGACAGAATAGGTGGCAGCACATAAAGGGACACTTTGCCCTAACATACTGCCCCCTCCACCAGGAAGCCTCACTGCCTGAAAATCCACATTCATTGAAGAGCCTTGCTAACATAACAAGGCTGCCAGAATAGGTGAGATACAGCCCTGGAGCACATGCATGGTATGTTACTTACGGGCAATGTCATCTTGAAGCAGTTCCTTACCTTCTCTGGACTTCTATTTCTTTATTTCTAAAATAGGAGAAAAATTCATGTCCTTCCTGCCTCTTAGGCTCTAGTAAATGGAAGTTGAAGAGGTGCTATTCATCTGTCATTGAAGGATGTTGTTTTTAACACCCAAACGGAGCATAGGACGTAAGTATGTTTTTATGGGGAAAAAGAAGAGGGAAGCCCAGATTTGGTCATAGCTGGGGCAGCCATGGGGGGATAGTGGCAAGGGGATAAGTTGTGCAGAGGCTAGAGAGGACAGTGAATGTGCAGAAGGACTTAGGGAGGGTGGGCTAGGAAGGCAAAAAGCCATCAACCAAAGATGGGGACACGAGAGAGCAAGGAGCCACTGGAAGGCAAAACATCCCATACCTTTAGGCCTCTGCAGAGGCTGTTTCCTTCCCTACCTCTCTAGTCTCACCTCTTTTTGGAAGACAAACTCCCACAAAATAAGCCTCCCCCATCCCCAGGCCTTTGTAGCACTTTGTACATTTCATCGCTCCTCACCCTGCTGTTTTCTAGGTTGTTCTTTGCTCATCTCTTTCTCTCATGAGACGATAAGTTTGATGTGTACGCTTTTTCTCTATAATTCCTGAGCCAAGTGCAGGTCTGGTGTGGAGTAGGTGCTTGAGGAGTATTTGATGACTAGAAATGAACTTTCTGTCTTATCTTTACCATATCATTTACTCTAAACGTTCTGGCCTTGTCACTGCCATGGAATGTGTCTTGTTAGGTCCTGCTTCTGTCTGTTCTCTACTCTATTCCCCAATACAGAATACCCTTTATCCCCTTTCTATTTCATCAGTCAAAATTCCATATGTCTGTTAAAGCCAAGTTCAAATGCCACTTCTTCTCTGAAGTTTTCTTGGACATGCCTGCCAGCTACAAAATACTTGCCAGATTTGGTAGGAGAGGAACTTCTGCTTGGGTCTCACTTTTCTTTTCTTTAGTGTGAAGGGGTTGAAGTCGGTAATTTTGGGGGCTTCTTCAGTTCTACCACAGCTCAGTAACAGTCATGGATTATTTAGAATTTAATCTATGCTAGGCCCTGCACCATGCACTAAGGATACAGAAGTAAGTAAGACTGAGGACACTGAAGCTACCAGAGAAGCCAGACATGCATAGAAGCCATGACAATACACCACAGGACATACCATGCTAGAGGTATGTACAAAACACAGTTAGGAGCTCAGCAGAGAGGAAGCAGCTCTGTCTCGGGCAGAGAACATGGACAAGGAAACAGGTTGTGATATTTGGACTGAGTTTTGAATGATAATTATGAGCTCACCATCTACAAGCAGAAAGGGAGCTCATTCCAGCAAGAGGAAAAAGGATGTACAAAGACATGGAGGCAAGAAAACAGCTAACTTGTTCAGGCTGAAGCATAGGGCACGAGGTGACAGAAATCAGGTGGGAGGGACAGGGTGCTCACAGGGGTGGAGGGGTGGTAGAAAGCAGTAAATGAAGTTTAAAATGTAGGCCAAGGTCTTGAATAACAAGAAGAGTTGAAACATTACCCTAAAGGTAATGGGGAGCCATAGAAGGTTTTTGAGAGAAGGCATAATCTGATACATAGTTGAGTACTTATACACTTTTCAGTATTGTTTGTTATGTTTGCATTTGTACTTGCCTTTATCCTCCATAAATCTGAGCACACAATGGGCAGGGGCTATTTATAATCCTCTAGCAGTTGGCACAAGGACTGGCACGTAGTGGGCTCCAGTGTGTTGAGGAGCTGACAAGCCCCGTTACACACACATACACACATCATAACCTCACCATGGAGCCAGCCCTGCCAGCCTGTGACTAAGCCTGAGTCCACCTCTTGCTCAGAGGCCACACTCATGCTCTGTTTACCTACAGAAGCACACCTGCTCTGTTTCTTCTTCCTGTCTGATTTTGTCCCCTTTGCTGGAGCATTTTGGGCTTGCGACTATACCACTGTGTGCTAAACAAAATGTGGGACCTCAGCTTTGGTCATCAATGCCATGCCCCTGAGCCTGAGCTCTTGTGCCCACATTGCTGCCCCTCCTGAGGGACCCTATCTGAAGGGTGTCCCAGTATCCAATGATGCCGGCAGGCTTCTGCCAGCGTGTGAGCAGAAAGTGACATATTGTAATTATCCATGGAGATGGGAGAAAACAAAGATTAGTTTTGAGTCAAAACATGTAATTTTCCTTTAAAGCCAGACTGCTCTTTCACTTAAACTATTTGATGCTTGGGTGGAAAATAATACAAAAAAGGGGAAGTATTTATATCCCAAATTAGAGCTCAGAGTCTTGTATCCTCCTGGGAATTCATTTTTAAAGGATTACTGACCAATCTAGAGCTAAATGGTGCTCACAGTTTGATGAGGCAGAGGTGTGTGCATAGGGAGGAGGTTATTAAGTTTTTTCTTAATTTAAAGGTGGGTGCATTTAGCTCAAGTCCTCAAAACTCTGAACTCATGAGGAAGGAGCTCTCTAGATCTTTTCTGAAGAGGGCTCCAAAGCTCAAGGCAAGGAAGTGCCATGAACAGTTAAACTCAGGGCCCTGAGATCTCCCCTATGTCCTTTAGATCCGTGTCGGGGTTCCATCCTCTCCCATCTCCACGAACTCTTCACTGGTAGACACTGAACACACTGCATGGCAGGGTGAGGGCCTGTGCTCCAGTCCTGGCTCTGACCACATGACTCTGACCAGCTCCTTCTGCTCCCTAAGTCCCCATGTCCTCATCTGTATCGTGAAGAGAGTCTAGAGGATCACTAAGGTCTCCCTGAGTGTCAGCACCATTTCATTGGTATATGACAATGCAACATGCAAGAAAAAAATGATTAAGGATCAAGATAATTTTATTTAGGCAGAGGACCTGAAAGAGACAATCCCCAAATTAACTTGTAAATGAGATTCTAAGAATTCTTTTGAGTTTTATAAAGCTTTAAACGTTTAAGAACTTTAACCAATCACGAATGACTTCTAAGAATGAACTGAGCATTTTCCTCTAGATGTGAGCTCCTCAGAGGCAGGGGTCATGCTTTAATCAGCCACTCATCCCAGCACTTCCCTCCTGTCAGGGGCCTGGTATAAAGTGTTGCTTTTCCTGAGTGAATGAATGAATGTATACATGCACGTATGCACAATGCAGGACAGGCACTTCAGGGGCACAAGAAATAGACGTGATTCTCCTGCAAGAGTTTCTAATATGCCATGGTGGTGGGGCACAAAGACCCTAGATGATTTAGAAACAATCTGGGACAGGGTATCAGAATACCTTGTCATGAAGACTCTATGACATGGGGCTAAGAGATGTATGACTCATAGCATTGTGGAACATAGGCCCTGAGACATCACCCAAACAAATAAGTCAAAGACTTGCCCTAGGTCTTGATGAGTTGGTTGGAAATCTGGGACTGCAACCCAGAAACTGGAGGACATGAAAACATTTATTGAGCATCTACTAGCTGCTGGGCACTATACTAAGCTTGTATCCATTCTACAAAACCATATTTAGAGATTGTTGTTATTATCCCCATTTATAGGTAAGTAGAAAAAAGCTTCAAGAGGCCAAGAAACTTGCCTAAGATCCTATAACTCACATGAGTCTGAGACAGAATTTGAACCCATGCTGATGAACTTCTACTTGCGGTGAACCTTAGCTAGACTTCAATTCAGCTTTCAAATCATAAAAGCCTAGGATGAAACCCTGGCTCTCCCAAAAACTCTTTGACCTCAGGCATCTCAGACCTTCTCATCATCTTTCTTAGTCTCCTTTTCCTCATTTGTAAGATGGGAAATACAATGTCTATGAGGAATAAATAATACAATGTACACAAAGTACTCTGTACAATAAATAACGGTGATTTATATTGTTTTTATCAATAACAGCGTAGGGAGGAAGGTGCATCAGTGCAAAGGCCCTGAGGCACCCACATACATGAGCAAGGTCATGGCAAAGGTCAGTGGAAAGAATGGTCTGGCAGGAGCCGGGAGTTGGGCATTGTCATGTCCTTCAAGTAGGATGGACCACTGAAGGAGTGGGAGATGAGTCTAAGAGGTAGGGCAGGGCCAGCACATTCCAGATGCCATGTGATGTCACTGTTCTCATGCTAGCTGGGTTCACAGCCAGTGGTCATGGAAGTGCCCAGTGCTTCAGGCTCTGGCCAAGTCCTCAGACAGGATGGAGGCTCACCTCCTGACCTTCTCTCCTCAGCAGCCCTGCAAGTTGGCCCCAGAAGAGGACCCAAGGTAGAACTTCTCAAGGGTGTGTCCTCTCCAGCCCAAATCTTTACATCTTGAGGGAAGGAGACTATCATGTACTGACAGCACTGTGCTGGGTGCTTTAACACATATCTCATAATAATCATGTATGTGAGGACTGCTGTCCTCACTTTATAGATGAGGAAACCGAAGGATCAGAGAAGTTCATATAGGAACCTCAGAGGATGAGGTATCAGGAGAGGTAGCACATAGAAACACCCAAATTTAGAACAATGACTGAACTCAGCTCCCCAGCAAGCCCCATCCCTGTGGATTCCTAAGTTAGAACCAGAAATGTGACCATGCCCTCACTGTCTGACCCCTTAATGACACTTTCTTTATGCTCAGGAACTATGCTCTTCTGCCCCATAAAATCTCGGTGGCAGGGCCAGGATTATCTTTCCTGCGGCACAGATGGGATGCTGAGTGTCAGCAAAAGGCTAAGGGAAGTTGCCCCTGAATACAGCCCGTGGAGCAGAACTCAAGCCGAAACCTCTCTGCTCTGCCACTTACCGCAGTCTCGGCATGGGAATTGCCACCTTTTCAACCACGGGGTTCAGCCGATAATAGTCCAAAAAGGTTCTTGCCACATTCCGCCCCAGCTTCATATCTGCAGGTGTGTGCATTAAGGAGCAACTTCGAAAACAGATTGAGACAGAGTGAAAAGAGAACTACTAATAAAAATAATAACAGTAATAAAAACAGTTACACACTCATTGTTCTAAGCTTTTTGTATGCGCTGTCTTTTTTGATCCTTGAAAAACCTTAAATGGTAATCACTATTATTATCCTAATTTTATAGATAAGAAAACTGAGGTGCACAGAAGTGAAGTAATTTGCCTAAGGTCACAAAACTGGGAAAAGGAGGAGCCAGGATATGAGTCTAGGGAGTCATAACCCAAAGCCTGTGCTCATAGCTTTCAGGGTACAGCCCTTTGGAAATCACTGGGCTGCTCTGGTCTAGCCTCAGGTGGCTCAGGATGGAGCCAGGTAAGCAAAAAACCCAAGGACAAGAGACATTTGTTGCATATAGACAAGGGCCTGCTTGACCCTTAGGGCTCAGTCATCCACTTTAGTAACCTCAGGCACAATGGTAAAACCCTGTGACCCTAAACAGTGTTCCCACTGCACCTTGAAATTCCTCTGACAATGAATCTTCCTGGTAAAGATTTGTGGCTGTAAAAGCACAAACTTCTTGGGGAAGGGCCAATTTCATATTGACCATTAACACCTTAATGTGAATAAGTACAACAATCATTATTCAACAACAGAATATCTTCTCTGTGCATTATAGCTCACATCTCTGGGCTTCATACATGTTATTTCCTCTGCTGAAGTACCTCCCTGCCCACTCCTGCCTTCTCCTTGGCTAATTCATGCCCCTTGCTTCTCTAATGAGGTGATATCTCTTTATTAGAGCCCTCCAGGATATTCTTCTCCTCTCTTCCCAGAACTGTGATTCGTGCCCTTGCCCCACACTTTCATGACTCCTGAACTGGCTTCATTCAAAGCACTTATCACTTATCTCACAGCAAGAGAATTATGTGTTTACTCAGCTTAATCCTTAGCGATTGCTTCTCCCTCATCTCTTAGCTCTGAACATCCAAGCTGTCACTAACCCTTCTCCAAGACACCTCCCATATCTTGAATGTTTTCACTTCTTTCCACCCCCCTAGAATAGGCCAGCATCATCTTTCTCCTAGATTGCTGTCATCCTGTCCTAACTAGTTTCCCTGCCACAGAATTTCTCCCCTCTGGTCCATTTTCTACCGTGCAGCCAGGGGGATTCTGCAATGCAGCTCTGAATATGTCACTCAGCTGAATAAAACACTTCAGTGGTTCTCAGTTACCTTCAAAGTCCAAATCTCTGAGTGTGATTTACCGTACTGTTCATAGTCAGGTCCCTGATTATTTTCTCAACATTATGCTTGCTACCTCCCACCTACTCCCCTTGCCCTTCACATTCCAGAAACACTGAGCTTCTTCTGCCTCCAGGCCTGTGCCCATACATGCCATCTTTCTAGATCACTCTTCCTCCCTTCACATGCCTTCCAGGACCCACTCCTTCTCAGCTTCAAGAGCTCAATTCAGTTGTCACTCTACTGGGTAAGTCTTCCTTGGCTGCCCTTGCTGGGATAGGGGTCTCTCCTAGGTTTTCCCACAACCTCTTCTTCCTGGCCTTCACCAACCAGAGTGCTAATCATACTGCATTTTACCTGTCTCTTCTTTTCAGTAGCCCCTTCTAGCCTGCAAGCTCTATGAGGCAGAGGTCATATCTGTCTTATTCATCACCTAAATACCCACACACTCATCTGACAATAAGTATGAAATATATATTTGTTGAATTAGTAAATAATAGCTGGGTGGGTGCAGTGGCTCACGCCTGTAATCTCAGCACTTTGGGAGGCTGAAGTGGGTGGATCACCTGAGGTAAGGAGCTTGAGACCAGCTTGACCAACATGATGAAACCCCATCTCTACTAAATACAAAATTAGTTGGGCGTTGGGGCGCATGCCTGTAATCCCAGCTACTGGGGAGGCTGAGGCAGGAGGCTCGCTTGAACCCAAGAGACGGAGGTTGCAGTGAGCCAGGATCGCACCATTGCATTCCAGCCTGGGCAACAAGAGTGAAACTCCATCTCCAGAAAAAAATAAAAAAATAAAATAAATAAATAATAGCTAATACTTATATAATGTTTAATACGTGCTAGGCAATCTTTTTTTTTATATATACTTTAAGTTCTGGGATACATGTGCAGAACGTGCAGGTTTGTTACATAGGTATACACGTGCCATGGTGGTTTGCTGCACCCATCAACCCATCATTTACATTAGGTATTTCTCCTAATGCTATCCCTCCCCTAGCACCCAACCCCCTGACTGGCCCCAGTGTGTGTTTTTCCCCTCCCTGTGTCCATGTGTTCTCATAGTTAAACTTCCACTTATGAGTGAGAACATATGGTGTTTGGTTTTCTGTTCCTGTGTTAGTTTGCTGAGAATGATGGTTTCCAGCTTCATCCATGTCCCTGCAAAGCACATGAACTCATTCTTTTTTATGGCTGCATAATATTCCGTGGTGCATATGTGCCACATTTTCTTTATCCATTCTATCATTGATGGGCATTTGGGTTGGTTCCAAGTCTTTTCTATTGTGAATAGTGCTACAATAAACATACGTGTGCATGTGTCTTTATAGTAGAATGATTTATAATCCTTTGGGTATAAACCCAGTAATGCGATTGCTGGATCAAATGGTATTTCTAGTTCTAGGTCCTTGAGGAATTGCCACACTGTCTTCCACAATGGTTGAAATAATTTACACTCCCACCAACAGTATAAAAGCGTTCCTATTTCTTCACATCCTCTCCAGCATCTGTTGTTTCCTGACTTTTTAACGATCGCCATTCTAACTGGCGTGAGATGGTATTTCATTGTGGTTTTGATTTTCATTTCTCTAATGACCAGTGATGATGAGCTTTTTTTCATATGTTTGTCAGCTGCATAAATTTCTTCTTTGGAGAAGTGTCTGTTCATATCCTTTGCTCACTTTTTGATGGGGTTGTTTTTTTCTTGTAAATTTGTTTAAGTTCCTTGTAGATTCTGGATATTAGCCCTTTGTCAGATGGAGAGATTGCAAAAATTTTCTTCCATTCTGTAGCTTGTCTGTTCACTCTGATGGTAGTTTCTTTTGCTGTGCAGAAGCTCTTTAGTTTAATTAGATCCCATTTGTCAACTTTGGCTTTTGTTGCCATTGCTTTTGGTGTTTCAGTCATGAAGTCTTTCGTGCTGGGCAATCTTCTAAGTGCCTTTTGTATACTGACTCATTCAATTCTCACAATAACCCAATGAAGTAGGTATATTATTCCCACTGTTCAGAGAAGATAAGGGATTTCCCCAAATGTTGGGCACCTAATGAAGAGCTGGGATTGAAAGTGAGTACCCTGGCTGCATGTGTTTATCGACCTTCCCAAACTACCTCTCCAGCACCTGCACCATTCCATATTCACTTCTGTGTCTCTCTTGCCTAATAAGTGGTAGGTTACCTTCCACGTACTGAGAAACAAGACTCACACCCCTGACTCAGGAGTAGGTGAGGGGGGCATGCAGGGTAATATGCAGAGGAGGAGGAACCTGAGGTTGGTCCTAGAGGATCAGTGGAGAAGGACCATTCTCAGCTGGGCTATAAAGGCTGGACAACTGAAGGGGCATTTCGGGGAGAAGACACAGAGTGAGTAACAGTGCAGAAATGATTTACCATCCATCCATCCATCCATCCATCCATCCATCCATCCATCCATCCATCTACCCGTCCATCCATCCAACAAGCATATTTGGAAGCCTCCAGTGTGTCAGGGCTTGTGTGAGAGGAGTGTTTGGTGGGAGGGGTCTTGGTAGGTCATAGTGGAAAGGACAAAGTGGAGTGGGAAGAAAAGATGCAGTTGCTTGCATTTGCAGGATTGTTGGGCAGTTGCCACAGGCCTTCCTTCAGTGCTGTCTAGGGCTGGGCCAGGTCTCCTGGGCCATTACTCCATCCAGGACCATGGAGATGGACAAGTGTTTGAGAAATGGGCAAGTGAGTTCTCAGTACCTTCTTCAAGAAGTCCCCAAGCTGGGGTTGGACATGGCCTAGGACATGAAACTTAGCATTTACGGAGCACCTACTATGTGCCAGGCACTGCACTGGCTGCTTTGCCTACAAGTGCATTTTAATTTTCAAAACAATCCAGTAATGAAGGCTATTTTATCTCTTTTTTGTTATGGGAGGTTAAGGAATTTGTCCAAGGCCACATAACTGGTAATGGCACTGTCAGGACTCAAACCCAGGCAGGTTTGACTCCAGAACCATGAGCTTTCCACTATCCTGGCCCATTTCCTGATTTGAAGGCACCTTTTCTGTCAAAGCCTGAGTCATCCCAGGCCAGTGCCTGATGGGAGAAGGAAAAACACCAGACAAGTTGTTTATGACAGTGAAATGTACTGCAGGCTCACTGGGCTCTGGGGCTGCCACCTGCTTTCTTCCTCTGGATGTGACTGACCTCCTCTGTCCTCTTGTTTAAAAAGTTCACAAGCTGGCATTGGGCATGACCTCTCTGAGCAGCAGACTCTGGAGGCAGTCTCACCCAGCTTTCACCCAGCCAGTCTCCATTTGGCTGGAGGAAACCAAATGGTGGTTGTGTGCGCCAGCAGTAAGAGCTACAGGGCAGAGAGGAAAGCAGAGGTTCCTGTGGACTGAGGTAAAAGATTGCAGCAAACATTGTGGAGGCAGATATATTTAATCCAAATCCTGGCTCTGCCACATGCTGTGTATGGCAGATCGTATTTTCCAAAGATGCCTGCAACAATATCTCCAATCTCACATGTTATTGTAGTACATGACCTTGCCACTCCTTCCACTGAGTAGTATACTTACTCTTCCCTTGAATTTGGTTGGGCCTGGGACTTGTTTGTAACCAAAAAAATGGCAGAAGTGAGAGAAGTGAAACAGTGGGATTTCTGAGGTGAGGCCAGAAAAGGTGAAGAAACTTGTACTTGCTTGCTGAAATTCTCAAGCTGGAATCCCGAGCCTCCATGTGAGCAGTCTGACTGCCCTGAGACCCTGAGACCCTGAGACTACAGAAAAAGAGAAGAGAGAGATTCCCAGCCAGCCTACAGCTCCCCCAGCACTGTACTGTTCCATCTCCAGCCATTGTCTGACTGCAACACACCACTCTTCAAGCTAGAACCACTCAGCTGAGGCCTCCTCAAATTTCTGACCCACAGAGAACATAGGAAAATAGCTATTGTTTTAAGCCACTAAGTTTTGGGGAGATTTTCTAATGTAGAACTAGAGAACTAGAATACTGTGTGACCTTGCATGAGCCATTTCGTTTCCCTGAGTTGCAGTTTCCTGCTCACAGCATTGTTGGGATGAAGAGTGTGACTGCACCTAGTTGATGAATAACATAGGGGTTGGATGAATGAATGAATGAATGAGGAAGAGAGAAGCCTGATCCCTTTCTCACCATTCCATACTGAGAGCCAGACTTAAAGCAACTGTAGGAGGTAGCCTTGTAAATCAATCCTCTTGAACTCTGCAAGGGAAAGGAGATGGGCTGTTCCAGTAAAAGGTGCCACTGTAAGGTGTTGATCATTTTGGACAGGATCTGTTTAAAAGCCAGTGTTTTAAAAATGGGCATTTTCTGGGACAACTCTCTTTCCCTTCCCCCTCCAACCCTATTACATATTCCCTAACCTTGAAAGCCTCACTCCAGATTATTTACTGCAGTGGCCCTGTTTGAGTCAAGAAACAGGACATGGGCAGGAGGAGAGGAGGGATTGATTGAACATTTTCAATTAAAACAAGCTGAATTTAAAATTCAGGCAAGGAGAGGCAATAATTCTCTTGGCTGGAATGCTTTTCATTGTATTGTAGAATTAATAGATAAAAAATTGGGGGTGAAAACTCCCAACTATTCATTATGAACAAAAATCTCAAGATGGTCTGTAAGTTAAAATTCTCATCATTTTCAGGTTCCTGTGTAGGTCATTGATCTGTTTCTCAAAAATGGCAGGGTATAGCCAGCCACATGGGGAAGATGGAATCAAGACACTCAAAGCAATAAACCAGGAGAATTCAGCTGGGATTGTCCTAAACTTGGACTGACTCCATGACTTCCATACAGAGCTCTTTTGAAATAAAGTGTGGGTGTAAGTAGCCCTAGCCTCCTATTTAATGAGGTCCTTCAACAGGTAATGAAGGTTTGAACATTTACTGTTCATTCTCATTCATTCACTCATTCCTTCATGCATCCATTCAAACGTTTGTTGGGCTCCTCCCATGTGTATACTGCTATGAAGAGGACAGGGATTGGGGTTAAAGGAAAATTAGACAGATACACTTTATAGCCTAGAGAAGGAAACTCACATGTTCCAGTTAACTATATTACCTGGGAGGCTGTTGCACTGTCATCTTCACAAAAGCAGGAACTATTTTTTTTAGAGTTTACTCCGCAATGCATACAGTGTAGTTACTATCACCAATCCTCACCAAAGCCCTGCAAAGTCAAAGTACAATTCGACATATATTTCACAGATGAGGAAATTGAAAATCAGAGAGTTTACATAACTAATTCAGAGTCTCGTGGCTTGAATGTAACAAAGGTAGCATACGAACTTCAGTGTCTTCTAACAGCGTGCGTATGTTGTTTCCTTTCTTGAGTGTAATCATAAATTCAAACACAAAATTCTGTGGATGTGTGGAAGGAGATTGAATTCCAAATGGAGGAATTGTGAAAGGCTTCATGGAGGTGCACATATAACAAAGATTTGAAGGACAAAGACCGGTCTTAAAGCGGGTGGAAGAGAAAGACAAGTATCAGCAGAGAAACGGAGTGCGGTCAGGCACATGACCTGAAATAACACAGAAAAGGGTCCGAAGGCCCATGTAGCTAACCGCGTAGAGTGGAAGGTGACGCTGAAATATTAGGCTAGAGACAAGTGAGTGAAGGCTTTGAATGCCAAGTTAAGAAACTTAAACTTCTATTCTGTAGGCAATGAAAGCCAGTGAACATATATGGGTTGTATCTGTAAATATGAATTTACTCAGTGTATATTTAATATCATCTACTATGTTTATTATGTTCAGGCTTTTTGGAAGGCTCAGGGTATACTATGGTTAAAAACAAAAGAAGACAAAACCAAGACAATGGTTCTTAAGTCTAGAAGCAGAGACAAATAGCGAGGTAGTAAAACAAACAAACACACACACACACACACACACACACACACACACATACATAATAGCAATTGATATATACTATGAAGAAAATGCACAGAGTCTGTACCTGCAGATAATGCAGGCGTGGGAAGGCCTCTCTGAGGAGGGGATATGAACTGAGAGTGAGCAGTGACTGCAGCGGTACCTAAGAAGAGGGAAGGGTGTCTGGGAAGGGTCCTCGGGTGAGAGACGGAAACTGGAAGAGGGCTGGCAGAGGGTGATAGGCAAGGGCTAGATCACCAAGAACTCTCGGCCACCTTAAGGAGTCTGGACTTTCTTGGTGAATGGGAAGCTACTGAAGAGTTTGAAGCAGGAAAATGACACGGTCTCATTTTTATTTCCAAAGTCACTGCTGCACTAAAAGAGAAGGCAAGAGTGGAAGCAGGCAGAGTAGCTAGGGACGACTGCAATGGTACAGGGGAAGAAAAGGGAGGTCCCAGCTGTACAGAGGCAGTAGAGATGGGAAGATGTATTTGTAGGAAGAGCAAACAGGACCTGCTTCCAAGTTGGATGTGGGGCCCAAAGGAGGGGAAGGAGTGAAGGATGACTCCTTCATCTTTGGCTTTAGCAGCTGGGTCGATGGGGGTGCCCTGATCTGGCATATGAAAGAATGTGGCAGGAATAGCTTCAGGGGAGAGATTAGGAGGTCAGTTCGGAGCATGTTGGGTTTGAGCTATGAGACATTAAGTATCCAGGTTCTGAATCAGAAATGGGAAAAAATCAGAAAATGGGAATTGTTTCTGAATTTTCAGCTCTTTGGGATTATTCATGCCACAAATTCTTGCTGACTGTGCAGTGTGTTCCATTCTGCTCAGGTCTCCACCTCTTCCTCCCTGCTCTTAGGGTGTCCCAAGGGCTTTAGGGGAATGGCAGTAACTGAAGGATCCTCTGTTCTCCTGTCTCAGGGCCTCAGATCTGGGGCCTTGAGAGTGCACACAAGTGGGAATCAAGAGACCAATGTGGTTTTCATCATTAACTAGCCATGTGACCTTGGGCCATTTCCCTTCACTGGGCCTAACTTCTCTGTGGGTAAATGTAGTCTCTTGAGTCCTTTTTCAGTTAACATGGTACATTGAAGCAAAGCCCTCAATACAATAAGCTTATGAGAAATCCCATCTGCATTCTTTCACTCACAAATATTTAGGGAGAACTGACTATGTGCCAAGTTATTTTAGACACTTGGGATATACAGTGAACAAAACTGGCAAAGACCTCTGTCTTTATGGAGTTTAAATTCTAGCTATGGGAAACAAGCTGTAGACCTAATAATACATGTGTAAATTATATAGAATGCTGGAACGTGATAAGTGCTATGGAGTAAAGATAAAGAGTAGGGTAAGGGGAGTGCTGGGGCCAAGAAGAAGATCGCAGCATTAAGTAGAGTGCTCAGAGAGGCTTCCTTGAGAAGGTGGGTGGGAATGGGCTTGGGGGAGGTGAAGGTGCTGGCCAGCACCAAAGCGGAGTTAATCCTCCTCATCTGAAACACAGCCCTGACCAGTCATTTCACAATTAGGCTCTTGCTAAATCCAGCCCAATCCCAAACTGGGGATAATAATCAACCTCAGGGACGAGTCCTCCCTCATGGGGTCAGGAACACCTTTTTCGTGGTAATGGCTGTTTTCTGTCTCCAGGTCCAGGTCCTCTTCACCTCCCAGAGCAGCTTCGGCAGAGACAAGCCTCACACACATCCTCCCGCCTGGCCTGCGGCCTCCCTTCCCTGTCCTGCTCCTCCCCTTGTGGACTCATCTCTGAAGCTTTCTCCATACTTCTCACTCCCTGCAGCTCTTCTAGAACCCTCAGCAAGCTCAGCTGGCCTGACTGCATTGAAGGGTGCTGAGCTCTGCCCCACTTCTCAGACACAATAACCCACTTCTCCTTTCCCCCTAGTTGTGGGCCATGGCAGCTCTGATTACCATCTCCATTTTGCAGATGAAAAATCAGAAGTCACTTGTCTGATGAGTCACATCAAGTATTGGCGCAAGGAGGATTGAAACCCATTGATTTATTCTCTCATTTGTTCATTTATATATTCATATTAAGTGGCTTCTATGTGCCAGACACTGTTCTAGGAGCTAGGATACAACAAAGAGAAAACAGACACATCCCTGTCCTCATAAAGGTCTTTTCTTGCCATTATCCTGCTTCCAAATAAGAAAATTGAATTCCTACCTGCTCCCTGTTTGGAAACTCCCACCTAGAATTCATTTTCTGCTCATACTCCTGCCCCTCCCAGCAACAGATGATCACCATTAAAGGGGGAAGATTAATTGTGCAGAGGGATAGGCCAAGGAAAAGTGATTTCTCTTTGGTAAGGCTGACAGCACTGCTAGAATATTAAGAGGCACCTGCCTAGGAGCCTCTAGGTAAAGCTAGAAGAAAAATGTGACAATGAAATATCTTTTGTCTCTGCCTGCCTCACCAATCCTCCCACAGTGTCAGACAAGTGCATGACTAAACAGGTGAATCCTTCTCTGAAGTGCAGTGTGGAGGCTGCAGATGCAATTGCAGAGTCCTTTCCCATTGCAGGCAAGTCCAGAGGCACCCCCTAGGTAAGAAGACCTGTGAAAGAGAGGAGAGGGAGAAGGAGAGGGAGAGGGAGAGGGAGAAAGAGAGAAAGAGATAGAGAGAGATGGATTAGAGGGTCAGGGAGAGACAGCAGGAGAGAGGAAGAGACAAAGAGGCCGCAGAGGCAGAGACCAAAAGCGAAAGAGATGCAAATGGACAGGAAAATACAGAGAAACTGGTCAGGATGAGGCAAGAAGATAAGGAGAGAAGGATAATCAGAGAGGCTGAGAGAGACTCAGGCTTGAAAACTGAGGAGAAATGGGGTGAGGAGCAGAGAGAGAAAAACAGGGAGCAAATGACAGAAAAGGAAAGAATCAAACTGAAAGAGGTGTGAGAGAGATATAAATGTAGGCAACAGGAGAAGGGAGGGAGAGAGGGGAGAAAGGCAAAAGATAAGACAGAAAGAGACAAAAGAAAAAAATGCAGAGAAGCACAGCCGCAGAGGACAGACTGTAAATGAGATGCATAAGACTGAAATAGAGACAGGAACAGTGAGAGAGACTGAGAAGGACTGAGAGAAGAAGGTGGAGAGACACAGATAGGGACGGGAAGGGAGGCCTCTTTTTTGATGGGTGAAATGCAATTCCACAGAGTAGGTATTTCCTGAAAGGCTCACTTCACGGAGGATGCTGGAGATGAATGCTTATACGGAAATTGTGAGAAGAGTGTCCAATCCATCACAGAATGAATTAAAGTTTGGGGTAACTATAAGGCTCGAAATTAGTTTTCCATTGCCACTGTAACAAATCACCACACACTTAGTGGCTTAAAACAACAGAAATGTATTCTCTCAGTTCTGGAGGCCAGAAGTCAGAAATCAGTTTCACTGGGGCCAAAATCTAGGTGTCACAGGCCTGCATTCCCTCCACAGGCCCCGGGGAGAAAACAGAGAAATAGTTGGTTTCTGGTGGCTGTTGGCATTCCTTGCTTTGTGATCATATCATTCCCATCTCTGCCCCCATGGTCACATTGCCTCCTCCCTCTTCAGTGTATGTCAGATCTCTCTCTGCCTGTCTCTTCTAGGGATACATGTGATTGTATTTAGGACCTATCCAGATAATCCAGGATAGTCTCAACCTCCCATCTGAAGAGCCTTAACCATAACATTTACAAAGACCTTGTTTCCATATAAGGTATTATTGATAGGTTCTAGGGATCAGGAACCGAATGTCTTTGGGGGTCATTATTCAGCCTATTCCACACTGCCTGAGATTTCATCTGCTTAGCTAAGAGCTGGCAGATGAAACATCCTGGCATACCCAGGATGAAGGTGCTGGGTATCAGGGGTGGAGTTCTGGCTCTGTGTAAGACACCTTGCTGGGTGCTCCACCAACTCCACCCCACCTGACCTACACATGCAGCAAGTGGATTTACCAGGATTCAGACCCAGATATGTCTAATTTCAGAGTGCTTTTTGCTGGCATTATTTGCTGCCTCTCAAGGGCAATGTTGCCTACCGTACTTCTTAAACATAGTAAACCTGCTCCTCCTCTTCCTCCACTGCTATTGCATTGTTCAGATCCTTGTCTCTTATCTGAACTATTGCTTCAGCATCCTAATTGGTCTTCTGGCTTCCAGTTTCTCCCCATTATTGCTGAGAATGATGTTCTCACAATTGCTGACCTTGTCACTTCCTGACCTACAACCCTACACTGATTCACTGTCACCTCCAAGGTAAGACCTAAATTCTCAGATCTGGCTTTCATGGCCTTCCATAAGCTAGTATAAGCCTTATCTCCTGACACTGTATTCCGTTGTGCATGTATTTAGAAGGCCAGGTTTAAAGTCCAAAAAGCATGGGTTTTAATCCTGGCTCCTACATGTTTAGCTGTGTGAACCTGGGCAGGCTATTTACTGTCTCTGAGCCTTAGTGTCCTCATCTCTAAAATACATAATGCTTCCTACCTCAGGATTATTGCATTGATTAGAAATTATATATCCAAGATACCCAGTACAATGCTGGTATGCAGTAGCTTTTTTATTATCATTACTACATATGAAACTGTCATCTCCAACAAAGTATGAGCTCTTCAAGGACAAGAGTGTGTCACATTCACATTTGTTTCCAGAGTTATTTAGCATGTTAGGCCTATGAACAAAGGTAGGGAGAAAAAGCAAGACAAAAACAAATCAAGATGAGAGAGAGAGAAAGAAAAGAACAGAGAGACAGAGACGGGGAGAGATGAAGAAACTATTTGTAAAATTCTGTGTTTTCTGGACGTTTGGTATAACATCTTGTAGGTTTCTTCCATGCTGTGTGCCTTGGTTTCCTCTCCTGTAAAATTGGCGGGCAGTTGAACTAGATGATCTCTAGTTCTAATTCTCACTCTCCGCTCTACCCTGGGAAAAACGTTTCCCTGGAGCAGGGGATATCCTTTCTGACCAAGCAGATGTGCAGCAGCTTTATCAGGTGTGACAGTGCTGCCCATCACCCTAATGGGGTCTTTTGAAGAGAAGCCAAGTTAGAGGCTGGTGGGCTAGATCAGATGGAGATCTGACCTCATTTTTAATGTGCCTGATTCTGGATGAGATAACCTTGGTGGGTATTTGGACTTCAGACCACATTAGGCAGGTTGCTGTTATTCATTCACTTGTTCATTCATTATTTATTTTTCATTCATTCATTTATTTTTGAGATGGAGTCTTGCTCTGTCGCTCAGGCTGGAGTGGAGTGGTGCGATCTCAGCTCACTGCAACCTCCGCCTCCTGGGTTCAAGTGATTCTCCTGCCTCAGCCTCCCAAGTAGCTGGGACTACAGGTGTGTGCCACCATGCCCGGCTAATTTTTGTGTTTTTAACAGAGACGAGGTTTCACCATGCTGATCAGGCTTGTCTCGAACTCCTGACCTTATGATCCGCCTGCCTCAGCTTCCCAAAGTGCTAGGATTACAGGCATGAGCCACTGCACCCAGCCTCATTCATTATTTATTACTCATTGATTCATTCAACAGATAAGTTATCAATCACCTCCTCTGTGCTGGGCCATGTAATAGGTATACAGAACATTCACACTGGCTATGTAGAGTAAACAAAACAGGAATGGCTGTGCTCTCAATCTGTTTATAGTCCAGGTACTATTGACATGTTTGGCTAAATGATTCTGTGTTGTGGGGGCAGCCCTGTGCATTGTAGGGTGTTTAGCAGCATCCGTGGTTTCTCCCACTAGATGTCAGCAGCACCCACCTCATTGTGACAACCAAGTGTGTCTTCAAACATTGCCAAACACTCCCTGGGGCAAACACACCTGGGGGTGAGAACCACTGGTCTAGTGGTTGTACAGTATCTGGTGGAGATACAGCAAGTGACATGAGAGAGGTGGGCAGGATCTTGACTGGGAAGGGTCTTGGCTTCCCTACTTAGAAAAAAGTAATCCCTGAATGGATCCTTGGAGACAGGGAAGGGGAGAGGGATACCACTCACAGGCTGCATTAATCTAGTAAGACGGTTATCTAATCACCCTCCTCATTACTTTGGCAGGGAAGAGTGTCCTCCCTCCATTTCTAGCACACCTCAATACCCGAGATGCCTCTCCCTTCTCTACTTGCCCAAGACTGCTGGTATTTATAGCTTGTCTGTCTAACTCAGACCCACTTCTCACTCAAGAGGGAAATTAATCTCTCTCTCCAAATCCCACACTATCACTTGCCTCATGGCTTCCTCATTCCCCTGCTCCTCCAATCCAGGCACCAGCAATTTCCCAGCAGTGCCTCCCTTTCCCCACTGACAGTTGACCGTGGCTCTGAAAATTGGCTCTTGGAATCAGCTGTGCCTGCCCAGCTGGGCCCCAGCTCAGCAGTGCCTGGGACTTTGATGCAGTTCAACCTGAGAGGGGGCTCTGCTTTTCTGAGAGATATTCAGCTCCTGCTTGTCTCACATATATTTTTAGAAGCTTCAACTGGATGCACAGTTAAAAATGAGACTGAAGACCAAAGTAAATATTTGCATAGCAGGATCTTGGAGTGGCGGAGAAGAGAGAAGGAAGAGAGGAGTTCTGATGGGCCTGGCTTCAGGCCTCAGCTCTGCTTCTGAGTGGCTGCACTTGCTTGGAGCAAGTCTCCTTTAGGTATCAGTTTTCCAATCTGTAAATTTGGAGGAGGGACTGGCTTGCCGATGTTTTGAAACATTTCAGCTCCGATGTTCTGTGAGCCTCTATATCAGAAGGGCCATTAAGGGGTTCCTGAACCCTCTGATACTACTGACAAACTGTGTAAATTTTCTGGGAAGAGTATTCATAATTTTCTACAATTTTCAAAAAAAAAATCAGCATCTTCTAAAATGTTAAGAATCTCTGCTCTAGGTCTGTGGATAGAGATAATTGAGTTTATCACCAACTTCCTGGTAATGTTCCTTCTTCTCATTTTCTAACCTGTTCCCTTGTTATAGTCTGACTCTTCTGCGATTAGTGAGAATCTGGCAGAGTGCAGGGGAGTAAAACCAAGCTAGACTTGAAATGGAATGAACAATATGAAGAATCTATCCTGAGTGCATCTGCATTAACTTAACTAGAAAACCTCAAAGAGTCCTGTGGCCCAAGTCTGCTGCAGCGGTCAAAGAACAGTGCAGCAAAGAAGATCCCTAGGAGGTAACTGCAAAACTCAGCTGAAGTCTGGGCCATTCTGTGGGTGAGAATTGGGGTTCGGTCTTTTCCTGGGAAGCATCAAATCCTGGGCTCAGAACTTAAAAGGTCCACTAAAGGGTTTGCTGGAGGGACAGGACATGGGGTCCTCTACCTTTAAAAGAAGCCCACTCCCCTGCTCTTGTGTCTTCACCCCTGATTAGGCCTGAATCTGAAGCACTTACATGGATTAATGGAATGAGCAATGTCCTGTGAATCAAGAGACCTATATTTGAGCAACAGCTTTCACCAAATGCTGTATGCCTTGGGCAGGTCACTGACCCACTCCTGGGCTTCAGTTTCTCCATTTAGACAATAAAGAGGAATTGGCTTGCTTCACAGTTTCACCAAAGAATGACTATTATTATAGTGAAACTCCATTATAATATCTCATTATTGGTCATTTCCTTGCATTTATTCCTCATTTTGAGACATCCTTGTTATATTTCAAGCAAAACAGCAATGAATCCCATGCCTAGGAAGTGTGTGATTATAAACTTAAATCCCAATCTTTAGGACCCTCATGGTTCTAACATTTTATGATTTTTTTTTTCTGCTGTGATGTTACTTTCTTTTTAACTGTTGTTTTGAACTTAAAACTTAGGGAATGAAATTAATGTTGATGACCACGGACTATTTTCCAGGTACTGTGCTAGTTTCATTTATTACAAGCAAGGTAGATTTTGGTATCCTTGTGTTATAGGTTAGAAAACTGAGGTTCAGAGATGTCACCTTTCTAATACCACTCAGTTAGCAAGCGGACGGTTAGGACTTAAACTCGGGTCTGTCCTACTACAAGGCCTGTGGCTTGAAAAATTATTTTTATGCTATAATTCTTTATTATTTTAACTTTCTTAAAATTAATTCATTTATTCAATATTTATTGAGTATCTGCTGTGTAAGGTACTGTGCCAGACGCTATGGGTTTGGAGATGAGAAATCAGTCCCTGTTCTTGAGCAGCCTTTAGAGAAGACATGTAAATAAAAGTTGCAAGTTAGGGCAATGACACTATGGCAGGGGAAATAAGGGAAGTCAGGGTGCAAAAAGTGGGATTTAATATTGGAGACACCCTGGAAGCTTCTCAGAATAGGAAACACCTGAGCTGAATTGAGGGGGTAAGATTGTCTTTTTTTTTTTTCCTGAGATAACTCTTTATTAAACAAGTTAGTCAACAATTAATTGAGAATCTATGATGTACCAGATACTTTTCTAGTTTCAGGAATACAATTGCATACAACGACAAACTCTTATAGAGCTCACAAGGGAAGAAAGGCAGTAAACCAACCAACAAATACAGTATAAGATTGAAATCCAGGTGACTGGAAAAGTAAGACTTGGCCAGGTAAAGAGAGTTGAATGGCATGAAACAGCATCCTGAATAAAGGCAGAGGCATGTGCAAGCATGCTGAGGCATGATGATCCCTTTGAAGATGTTTGTCACGGCTGGAATATCTTCTAAAAGATAAAGAAGGAAGCAAGAGAAAAATGCAAGCACAGATCATGAGTGCCTTGTGTGATGTTATGAGTATGAACTTTCTCCTGCAGATAATGGGAAGCCAGGGGAGGGTTTTAAGAGACAGAGGCACAATGCTCAAATTTGGTTCCAGGGTGATTTCTCCTGTGGCCCTGGTGAAGTGGGATTTGAAGGGGACCCAGACTGCAGACAGGAAGAATGGTCCTGGTCCAGGGAGAATGGTGAGTTAGGGCCTGAGCTCAGGCACTCTCAGGGGAGTTGTGAGGAGGACAAAGAATTAGAAATATTTGTCTAGTAAGAAAGATGATACTTGGGTGCTGGCAGAGGTGACTGGACTAGGAAAAGCATCAAGAATAGCACACCAGGTTCCTGCCTTGGAGAACTGCATGGTGGTGTTCCCATCAACCTTGGGAAGGAAGTCTAAAGGTGGCTCCTAGAAGGCAGGGAGCTCTGTGCTCCCTAGAGTACTTTCCATCCTGCCCTTCTTAGTAGTAATGTTGCCTAATTTTATTTTGCTATACCGATGTGCCAAGTAGCTATTATGATTCCTATAGTGAATCTCCATTAAAAGGACCAGTTAGTGGAATTTTCTTGTATCTAATGCTCTTCTTTGGACATATCAAGCAAAGCTGACAATGATCCCACTGACAGGATGGGTATGAGGCTGGCCTTAAACTCCCCATGAGGCCAACATATTTATCCAATCTTTAGGACAGAATATGTTTTCTCTGGAACTTTTCCTTTCTCTTCCATTCTCACTCCCCCACACCTCTGACGGGCCAGCTGGCCTGTCTGTCTGACTGACTGCCTCCCTCTCTTTAATATATGCTAATCAGGATCCACTCACTGTCAGGATATAAAACATGCCTGTTCCATGTCTCACTCCATCCTGCTCCATTTTAGTAACTATAAGAACAAGCATATTATATCCCACGCGTTCATTCACCCCATGGGCAACAGGATTTCTTAAACCAGTTCTATGCCACTTGTCATCTTCCCTCTGTGGCAGGGCCTCTGCCCAAAAGGCTGTTCCAAACCCCCTGCCTCGTTGCCTCTAAATAACTCCTACTAATTCTTCAGACGTCAGCTCCACTGCCACTTTGGCAAGACAGCCATCCCTGACCTCAGGGCTGAGTCAGTCTGCCATCCTATACTCTCCCAGAGCCTCCTGGCACTCCTTCACAGTTCTCTCATGATGGTAAATTTACATTGTATGTGTAATTGTTTATAAATACCTATTTCTTTTTTGTTTTGTTTTGTTTTGTTTTTGAGATGGAGTGTCACTCTGTAGCCCAAGCTGGAGTGTAGTGGCACGATCTCGGCTCACTGCAACCTCCCACCTCCTGGGCTCAAGCGATTCTGATGCCTCAGCCTCCCAAGTAGCCAGGACTACAGGGGCATGCCATCGAGCCTGGCTAATTTTTTGTATTTTAGTAGAGACGGGATTTCACTATGTTGCCCAGGGTGGTCACAAACTCCTGAGCTCAGGAGATCCTCCTACCTCGGCCTTTCAAACTGCTGGGATTACAGGTGTTAGCCACTGTGCCTGGCCAAATATCTGTTTTTTTCACCAGGTTACCAAGTTCTGTGATTGCAACAATGATGTCTGCTTTGTTCACCATAATTTCCCCTGTGTTTAACAGTGTCTGGCACATCAGGTGTTCAGTTAAATATTTTCTATGTGAAACAATAAATATTGCTAATGGCAGGTATTTACATTAGCTTCCATTCCTTTTCTTCTTCCTAGGCCAGGATTATCTCAGGATTTCATGAAGAGGAGAAATGGAGGTCATTTCCTAGAGATTAATGGATAATTTGATTGTGAGAAGAAAATTGTTTAAGGAGCAGGGGTGGGTATGGAGGCAAATGTCACACACTCCAGAAGGTAAAGTGACCTGGCTCTTCCCCTCTCACTCCTTGGAAAGAAGGAAAGCTCATCAGAGCCAGGACCCTGGAAAAGTGATGTGATGAAGAGAAGGAGGCCCTGAATACCACCATCTGAAGGCATTTCCAAGGAAGCCAGGGATGTGACTCTGTCTCGGTTGCAGAGATCAAAAGGTTTTGTGAAGGAAGCAATGGCTCTCTAGCCCCCTTCTGGGTGGATTCTGGGGTAGAAGGATCCGGTTCCTTTGATAACTGGTTAGTTATAGCTATAGGGTGAAGCCAATTGAGTAACATTGGTCTGGGCTTCCAGAGACACAAGGTCTTCTTGAACCATAAGCTCTCAGAACAATGCCCCACCTAGGCAGAGCAGAGAACCCTGAACCTTTTGCCTGGAGAGAACAAAGAAGCGCACAGCTCAGGAGCCACCAGACCTGGGACTACCCATTGGACCCCTAATCTCCACTGTTCTTGGCCTGTCTCTCTTTCCCATTAGATTGTGAGCTCTTTGAGAACAGAGACTACCTCTTCTCCATCCTTGTTTCCCTAGCCTAGTACACCATCAAATAATGCTGTGGAAAGAAAAAGTAAAGGAATAAATAAATAACCCTTAGATAAGTGGGTCATCCACCAATCCTCAATTCCTGATTAGTAAAATGAGAATAACAATAGCTACTAACAAGAGTATTGTGTAGACTGTATGACTTAATGAATGTGAAAGCACCCGTATGGAGTTTAACATAAAATAGATAATAAAAAATACATTATCCTCTTTGTTTCGGCTTTAATCACGCATCCTCGCTTTAAGTACTCCCTGAACTTTAGTGACCTTCATATTTTCTAGCCTTAACTTGACAGTGCATCAGTGGTTAAAGAATCATAAAATATCAGAGCAAGAGGGCACCAAAAGTGGACATTTGTCTTGCTTTGTCTTGTTTTATTTTCCTGCTCTTAATGTATTCCCCTCTCACACACATCATTTTCCTGTATTGAGCCCCCAGTCTCAATTCCATGACTCAGGAGGAGCTGACTCCACTCAGACTGTGGGTGGGGATGGAGTCAGCCCAATGGTGGCCAATCAGAGCACTGATATACCTCTTTCCACAGTGATTAGTGACGTATGGCATATGGCCCATACCTGACTCAGTTTTGGAACTTGTGAAACAGGGAATTACCCTTATGCTGAGAGGGTGGGATATCCACCAGGAGCTTCTGGCAGCCAATTTGCTTCTAGCAGGGGAGGGCTGGTTGAATAATGAAGCCAATGCCCAAGAAACAGTGCTGAGCGGTTGAGGACAGAGAGCTTCAGACCAAGCCTTGATGATGCTGAGTCCTTAGATCCAGTAATGCCTAAAACAAGTATCCCTTTGGACTTTTGAGTTTTATGAGCTAATTAATTTCCCTTTTTATTTAAGTCAGTTTGAGTTGGGTTTTCTGTCCCTTGCAACCAAATTTTGGCTAATACAAGATGTTGGAGTTTGTTTCATCACACCTCTTAATTTTACAGATGAGGAAGAGATTTGCAAATCATATGAGCAGTTTTTACACACAACCAATTTTCCAAATAAGTATATTGCTTCAATTCCTTTTATCCTTACTGCTGACCAGAACAGGGGCAGATTGTTCTTATACCGGGATAGGGTCATAGAATATTGATTTTGGTCACAGAATGCCTAATCTTTCTGTAACAGAGCAAATTTTAAAATTCAAGTCCCTGGGAATCAGTTTTATTTTGCATTACAATGTTTTTATCCCCCAAGCAGAACTGCTGATGGCTGTCCTTTTCCTTCCACACAGTATAATCAGCAGCAATTAATTATAATCACAAGGAGACAGCACAAATGAACAGAGCATTAATTGGACAGAAGTAATCAAAATCTCCCTTAGCCCACAGTTAGTACCTGTATGCAGGAAGATGTGAGGAGGCACATGCATGTGTACACACACACAAACATGCACACACCCCATAGTCAACCAGACAATAAGAAGAGGATACAGGATGAGCATGCTCTCTCATCAGCATGGTGTAGTAGAAAAAAAAATCAAGGACTTTGGAATCACAAAGATCCCACCACTAACCAGTTGCTTAAACTTAGCTTTGTCATTTCTAAAACAAGGATACACAGACCTACTTCAGAGTGGATGAGAATATTAAATAAGAGTACTGTATGTAAAGCACTTTTTACTGGTATGTAGCAGGAACTCTATACCTTCTAGTTCTTTTTCCCTCCACTGTGGCTGCTAGAGAATGAAGATCTAATAAGATCGGAAATTTTAGACCCTCGAATGTTCTTAATCCAGCCTAACCAATTTGATTGTCTCCCCCAGACCCTCCACTTAATCCTATACCATTCCCCTTTCCCAGTCTCTGCCCCCTCCCCTACATTCCTGCTTCCTCTTGCCTCTTTGCCTCTTTCCCCTCTTGGTTATAAATTCTGGGAGGGCAGCTTGGTATCCCTGTTGCCCCTCACAGGACCTGACACACAGTAAACAATGAGTGGACATTTGTTTAATAACTATTGATGGAGCCTGTGTCTGTGCTTATGTTCTCCTTTCACCTGCAGCATCCAGCCCTTCTATCTTGGTCTCAGTCTTAGTCATCCTTCAAGGCTTAGCCTAGAAGCTACCACCTCCTCCATGAAATCTTTGAAACTTGTCCCTAGGACCCCTATCCCCTCCTCTGAACTCGGAACCTCTTTCATGACACTTGCAGCTTTTTATCTTGTGTTATAAGATTTACGCAGGTGTTGCTTTTTCACTATGACCTCAAGTTTCTTCACTCAATCATTCAACCTCTTTGAGTTAGTGTATGCTGGTAACTATAGATACTGAGGCATCAGAAAGGGTATGTGTCCTTGAGATGCTCAGGTTCAAACTAGTACTTGAGCACAGCAACTGTGTCTGACTCATCTTTCAATACCCCATGCCTTGGGCCACTGTGGGTGATCCTCAAATATTTGATAATGGCAATAGGTTGCCTAGGAGAAGGCATCTGAGCTAGAATACTGGTGAGTCTTGTGAGGTTATAGAAGGCCAGTGAGCTCCCTCAGGTTGGACACAAATGCCCCTGGGCTTTCTGAAGGAAAATATTTTACATTATGGAGAGAAATCTGGCTCTAGATCATGCCATATACTATGTACTTGAATCAAAAAATCCCTGAATAAGCTGTGACTTGGTACCCAGGGATATACACCTTCAATAATTTACTTGAAGAAGCTCTGGCCTACAGTCAGTCCCAGCTTTGCCACTGGTTTCACAGTGATGTTGAACAAGTCATTTATCTTCTCTGGGTATCAGTTTAGCTACCTCAACTTTATGCAACCAACAATTATGGACACCTACTGTGTTTCTGGCACTGTGCCTAGTCCTGGAAATACAGAAATAACTCATATATGATTAGCAATTTTGAAGGCACTAATTTAGTAGGCACTATAAAAAGGGCCATCAAAGAGAGGTGTTGTAACAACTCTACATTGTGTAGCTCTCATTCTTCATTTCTTTCTGGATAAATTCCCAAGCTCCTTTACCTGACATCAAGCTTCTTGTGATTTGCCCCTGTCTAGTTTCTCCTCCATAGTGACCCTGCACCCTGGCCATACTGCAGTGCTAGTCATTCCCTAATGCTCCATTATCATCCATATCTTTGCCCATGCAGTATCACTCCAAAATTCTCTACCTGCTAAATTTATGATGATCCTTCAACAAAGTGAAAGTACCATAATTGAGGTGTACACAGAAAGAGCATCACATTTGTAAAGGAAGAAGAATTGTAATATTATAGCTTTTTTTAAAGCTTCTTTTATTCTTTTCTTTTTCCTTCTTTCTCTTTCCTTCCTTCCTTCCCTCCTTCCCTTCCCTTCTCTTCCTTCCTCTTCTCTCTCTCCTTTCTTTCTTTTGTAAAAGGAATAGATTGGATTAGATTAACTCTACCAACGCTGTACCACTGGATGATCAATGATGTAGTAATTATGTAATCTTTGTACTGGGTCTTTGGAACTCGTGATCACACTGTCTGACCTGTGCTTCCCTCATGGTGTTTGAAAATGTCTCAAGAGCCAATTAACCCATGTGATGGTTCATTTTATGTGTCAACTTGACTGAGATGCCCAGACATTTGGTCAAACATTATTCTGGATATGTCTGTGAGGATATTTCTGGGTGAGATTAAAATTTAAGTGAGTAGACTTAGTCAAGGAGATTGCCCTCCCTGATATGGGTGGGCCTCATCCAATCAGTTGAAGACTGAATAAACAAAGAGGCTGAGAGGGAATGCCTCCTGACTACTTGAGCTGGGACATGGGTGTTTTTTGGCTTTTGGACAAGAACTGAAATACAGTTCTTCTTGGGTCTCAAGTCTGTTGACTTTCAGATTGGAACTTGCGCCATCAGCTCTCCTGTTTCTCAGGCCTTCAGCCTCAGACATATCAGCTCTCCTGGGACTTCAGCTCATTGACTGCAGATTTGGGACTTCTCAGCCTCCATAATTGCATAAGCCAATTCTTTATAATAAATGTCTTTATGCATATAATCTCTTTACATATATATATGAAAGCAGGACCAATAGGTGATATATAGATGTAGATATGGATATAGACATAGACTTAGATACAGATATTGATATTGACATAGATATTCTATTGGTTCTGTTTCTCTGGAGAACCCTGACTAATGCAACCATATTGCAGACCTTGGGCTTGGCTTCCTGAAGAATGTTCCTCTCAATCGTGAGTAAGATGTCAAGTCTCCTCAACCACACCCAACTTTTCATTTCCTATATTCTTGGCTCTGCTGTTGATTATTGTTTTCTCCCTAGAAGAAAGATCCCCTAAGATATGGGAAAGAACGATTTTGTAGAATCCTGCTACATGGAGCTAACAGGACCCTTAGAGATAATTAGGATTCTTATTTCAGAGCAGTGAGGTGCCTGTCCATGGTTTTGTTCTTTGTAGAAACTTGTGGAATGCCTTCCTGTTCCTCCAACTCTCTCTTCTCCTCTTATTGAAGGCTTAACCTCCCTTTTAGACCCAGCTCAAAATCTGCTCCATTTAGAAGGTCTTCCTAGATTCCCCAAGTTTGAATTCATTGCTCTGTTTTCTGTATCCCCACAGAGTTCTGTTCATATCTTTTACTTAGCTTTAATTTGTTTTATAATTGGAGATAGATCAAGAGGTAAGTTAGGCAGATGGGGTACAAGGTATTATTTGTAGTGGGATAATAAAGCATCAGTAAAAACAGAACAAGTTGGAGAAAATGATATTTATCAGAATTCTTCACCAATATGTAACTGGAAGAAAATTTGAGACTCAGAGAGATAAGGAACTTCTGCTCAAATCATTCAGCTAGAAAGTAGCTGAGCTTGGATTCGAATCCAAGTCTGACTGCAAGAGCCATGCTCTTGTTGGTTATTCATGCAATAATTTGTGTAAAATGTTAACTGTGTGCCAGGTACCATGCTAGACACTGGGATGCAAAAGTTCAAGCCTGGTTGTTCAGGGTTATGGCAGGTAGTGGCAGAATACAACCAAATTCCTTGTGTTAGTCTTTGGTCTCTAGGTCTGAGACTCTTCTGTCCCACTGGGTGATTTCACCACTAGGATACTCCACAGCCAGTTCCACAGGCTTCTTTCTTTCCAAAAGCAGACAAGACACTTTCTTAGAATAACCCCTTTGCCTGCCCCAATATCTTTGGCTGTGCCCACTGTGGAAAGAGAGCCAGGCTGCTGCCAAGTTCATTAATAATTTCGGCTTTCTGGAGGAAGGAGTTGGATTGCTTTGCTCTTCAAATATCAAAACATCCAATTAACACAGCTAATTAGCATCACTAGCAGCAGTCAAAAGAATGGCAATTTAGATGCAGAATTTCAAAGGTTTCCTAGTTGTAGGCCAAGGCAACCCATCTCTTGCTAATGACAAGAGTTACTCACTTAGGCAATTCTATAGCAGCCATCAATTAACCACTGGGCAGAGACTGGCCTCATCCCTGAGTCATTTGTCTAATCAGAACTGTGAATAGAGAAAAAGAGGCAGAATGAAAATGGAGAGAGGAAGAGAGGGAGAGAGGGAGATGACAGAAATGGAGTGAGGGGGTCTGAGAGAGGAGAGAGAGAGAATTAAAAGAGATAAACAGAGAGGAGGAGATACAGAGAGTAACAACACACAAAGACAAATTCTCAGAGAAAGTGACAGAGAGAGAGAATTAGAAGGAAAAACAAACAGAAAGGGTGACTTACAGATAGATAGACAGACAATCAGGTAGGTACATAGAAAAATACATTTCTTAAAACATACAGAAGGACAGGACAAAAAGCTTCTAGCCACCAGTAGCTTTGGAAAGGTCGGTGATCACTGGGAAGCCTCAGCATTCTGATCTGTGAAGTCAGGCCTAGCTGTAAAAGTTTAAATCAAAAGCTTGGCTGCTGTAGTGGAATTCAAAAGAGGAAGAGACCAGGAGACTCAAACCAGAACTTTTCTCTTCCCTTCTCACACTGACAACTGGATTTCCTATGAGCCTTGATTTGTCTGTCGAAAGTCAAATATGCAGCCAGTGCTCCCACATTTGTGTACCTTCTCCTGTAAACGCAGTAAGCTCAATGATCGGGCCTATGATCAGCCAGGGGGGTATTGTTTTCTCCCTCAAGGAAGGAAACACCAATGGATCTCCTACTGATTCCACCTCAGACATGACTTTCCCATCTCTCCTTCTCTCCATTGCACAGCCTCTGCCCCTGTTCAGGCCTCATGGTCACTTCTGTAGGTTACTGCAGCAGCCTCTGGTCTCTTCTTGTTGCTATCCAATCCGTTCTTATCACTGCTGCCAAAGCCATATGCCTAAGATGCAGAGCTGACTGTGTCCCTTTCTGACTTAAACCTTTTCAACAGTTCTGTACTTTCCCTGGATCAAGTCCAAACCCATTAATCATGGTAGTCAGGGCCTCTGTCTAGGCTCCTGCTGCCTTCTCCTGACCCATCTCTCCCTTGTCCCCATTCCTCACTGACGGCCCCACCACACTAGATGACATGGGGGCTCCTGGATGCTCCACACTGTCTTTACCTCTGGGCTCCTCCTCATACTACTTGGCCCCTGCAATACCTCAAATCCCTGTTCATCTCTGTGCCTTTCTATGTCTATGCTTTTGTTTCCATACTTCCCCTGCCTATCAACTTGTTCTTTGAATGACTTCATCTCTTAACCAGCATGTATACCAGTATCACAAATTCAAATGTCTTCAGAGGATGGATTCATAATGTAAATATGTGCAATGATAAGTATGAAACAATAGAGGGAGCAGTGACAAGTGAGACAGTAAATGCCACGCTCAAAAACCTCAAACTCAAAACTCAACCAACCAACCAACCAACTCACCAGACAACAAAACATTTTCCTTGCCATACCCACCATCTACAGGACGGAGTCAGCCATGGGCCACCAGTTGATGACTGTTGATGGCCCTCCATCTGTAACCTGACTCTAAGCTTGGCTTGGCCCACAGGGTCTTCTGCGCTCAGACTCTACTTTCAACTCTTGCTATCTCCATGCATCTGGCTCCCTGTTCAGGGGAATTTTCACAGTCTGTGCTGTCTCCTCCCCTTTGGACCTCACAGGGATGTTCACTGTGTGTAAATAGCTGAAAAGAACACTAACATTTACAGTGAGTAAGCCAATCCCATCATACACCTGGCCCAGGCAAGACGTTATTAATCAGTATCTTAATGAAGCCTAATTACAGCAGACGATGCCTCCTACCAGGTAAGGCAATGGTTACAGATGGGAGCAAACCAGGAAATCACTGCCCTCTCCCAAGAGCTTGATCCACTGCAGCACTGGAGGGTTAACTCTGGGGGTCTGAATGGCTGGACTCCCAGAGTCCAGCCGAGGGCCCTATTAGCAGTAAGAAATGACCTCTCTCCCTACCGCCAACATAAACGCAGATGGGACAGGAAGTGGAGCTGGGCTTCTAGTTGGTCAGTGACCACCTTCTCTTCCAGCTGACATTCTGTGTATTTCCAGACATGACTGGGTCTCCTTGTTTCTAGTATCTACCCCTGAGTCAGGCCTTGGTAAGGCATTATAGTCTTCAAAACATGATCTTTGGTTCCTCAACTTCTTGTTTTTTTCTTTATTCCTCCATTTACTTCTCTTTTCTCTCTACAGCACTCAAGCATCCAGGGTCCCTCCCAATCCCACCTTCTATTGCAGTTCAGTGGGTTAATAGTGCAGGCTGTGGAATTAATCAGCTCTAAGGTGAATTCTGACCCTCCACATCTACCAGCTGTATGACCTTGGGAAAGTTATTTTACTCTCTGGACTTCAGTGTCTCATAAGTTAAATGAGAACAATAATCTCTGTCTTGTCTTCTTCACATAGTTGCTTTGAGGTTGAATTGGGGAAGCCGTCTAGGGCAGTACCTGCCACATAACTGACTGCCCTCCCTTAATCCTGCAACTTCACTGAGAAGTCATTAGGGAGGAGAAGTTCTTGGCCCTTGCTAATTGCTCCTTTCTTGACTGGGGAATGAAGTATGGGCTTCACAATTCTCTCGAAATCATACTAAGGATATCCTAGACCACTGGTCTAGGATAACTCTAGCTCCTTCTGCATATACCATCCACTCCTGTTAATACAATAATTTCCTCATGTTACTCTCCTGCTCAAGAACCATCTCTGGCTCCCTGTTGCCTACGATCTAAAACTCGAAATTAGTACTATGGCATTTAAGGCTTTCCATGATCTGACCCCATATAACTTTTTCAACTTTAGTTCCTAAGCCTCCCTTGTATGAACTCAGCATTCAGGCCAATTTCTTCACATGCTCAGTTCTGTCACCGAGCCTTTATTCATCATGACCCACTCTTCACAATGTTTTCCCTGTTTTGTAAGTTCCTTCACTAGACTGTGAGGGTAGATGTTATTTTTTAAAATTTCAATATCAATAGAGCTGATAAAATGAAACTCTCAATAAATAGTTGTTAAACTGGGCTAAATGCCATCACTTCAAATACTTCTTCTCTTGTAAGTTCCAGAACAGATCCTTTTGGATGGTCTAATGTAGTCAAGTTCAGACTCTGAAACCAAAAGACTTTGGGTCAAACCCAAGCTCTACCACTGTGATGGTTAACTGTACGTGTCAATTTGGCTGGGCCATGATGCTCAAATAAGTTGTCAAACATTATTCTGGATGTTTCTGTGAGGGTGCTTGTGGAAGAGATTAACATTTAATCAGTGGACTTTGAGGCAAAGAGATTGTCCTCCATAATGTGGGTGGGCCTCATTCAATCAGTTGAAGGCCTGAATTGAACATAAGACTGACCTCTCTTGAGCAAGAGGGAATTCTGCAGCAGATGGCCTTTGTTCTTGAAAAGTAACATTGGCTCTTCCCTGGTCTCCAGGCTGCCAGCCCACGCTTGCAAACTGCCAAAATTGCATGAAGGCTAGGTGTGGTGGCTAATGCATGTAATCTCAGTGCTTTGGGAGGCTGAGGTGGGAGGATCGCTTGAGGTCAGGAGTTCAAGACCAGCCTGAGCAACATGGAGATAAACTGTCTCTACAAAAACAATTAAAAAACTGCATGAGTCAATTTCTTGAAATAAATCTATATATACATGCACACACACACCCTATTTGTCCTGTTTCTCTGGAACACCCTGACTAATACAGCCACTTACTGTCTGTTTACCTTCATCAGGTCATTTTACCTCATTGAGCCTTTGTTTTCTAATGTATATAATGAGGATGATTGTTCCTCCTTCACAGGGTTATTGTAACAACTCACTGTGGCCCTGACTGTGTATGTCAGAGCACCTGTAATTTGTGAGCTATTTCACCTTGCTAAATCTTATTATCAAGGTCCATCACCTCCAGGAAGTCATCTCAATTGCTCTAGCTCTCTTTTCACTTTGACATTCCTGGGGTCCCAGAGGAAGCTGGGCCCACACCACAGCCCTGACTTTGCCCTTTCTTTCAGCATCCAAACACATGTGATGATGCCCAGCACTGCATGAGCCTGGTGAGGTATGGAGGGACTGAGGAGGGGGCCTAGTAGAGATGTTAATACAGAATAATCTAGGGGCAGCTCTCAAAGCTATAGCAGAGGCTGCTGAGAAGGACTCAGACACAGTGCTGCAGTCAATTGGGTCCTGAATTGAAATTCATCCCATTGCTTTTTGTCTCGACAGGGTAATAAAAAAATCCTCAGACAGTATATTACGAATGCAAAGGTACAACACTGGCTCTCTGCTCTCCACCACTGTCTGAGAGAAGGGGACCTGTTGGGGGCCTGAAGAAAATGGGCTTTGAGAGGAGGATAGTGGGTAGGAGCAGATGGCACGTCTTTGGCTGAGCAGGGAGGGCTGGACCCTCACAGTGCTAAGCCAGTGCTTCCCGACCTTTCATGTCATGACTCTCCGAGAAATTTTTGATACTATTTGCAGACTGAAGGAAAAGGTGAGGGGCTTCCTTCTGCTGGAGGTTATTGGCCCTGAGGCTTGGGTCACTCCAGGCCTTGTGAGGCTGTGCAAGGGATGAGGGACCTGTACGTTGGTACAGCAGCAACCCATTCAAGCACCGAGGCTGGGACTCTATTTGATATGCTTTCCTTCCAGCTGGAAGCAGAGAAGATGCTGAGGTCCTCACAGGTGACTTGAAAAGCTCAGTTTGGAAGTCTTATTCGGGCCCTCAAGCCCCACTGGGTCTTACAGTTGCTGTTTTTCTTTTTGGATCAAGCATCCTGCAAATCTGATCATGTCATTCCTCACTCAAAATGACTATCACCTACATGCTTAAGCAGGGAACATAAAACAGGGACCCCACTTCTCCATTGCATCTCTTGCACTCTCTCCCCTAATGATTTCATCTATTTTTTTAAACAACACTCTTCTCTCTCTCTCTCTCTCTCTCTCAAACCAGTCTGCAGGTGGCTGGTTTGACTGATCTAGAATCAATGACCAGAAGATAGGGCTTTAGGCTAGCTTGGCTCCAGGCCACAGTGGAACTCAGGTCTGCCTTTCTCCCTGTTCATCCTGGGGTAGAGCTGAAGTGGCAGTGGCTCCCGTGACATGCTCTTCCCGTGGAGGATCACTGGAGTGGCAAGTGCCAGCCCAAACCACACAGGCACATGGAAGGCCTCCATCTGAGTTAGTTCCATTAGTGTCCCTTTGGCCAAAGCAAGTCACCTAGGTATGCCCAACATTAGTGGGGCTAGGAAGAATACTCCAACCACAGCCCTTCCCTGTACTTGAAGCTCCAGACAATTCCAGCTCCTGAAAACAGCATGTTGTGTCATGTCTCTGGGCATTGGCCTAGAATGTCCATTTCATTCTGTGAGTTTCAGCTCACGGGCTCCTCCTCTATGAAGTCATCCCTGTCTAAGGCAGAGTTATGTACTTTCTCCCTAATGTCCCCTCTCTACCTTATGTGTCCTTTCAGGGTACTCTTATTAATAGTAATGTTTGGATGTCCGTTTCTCCATAAGATGGCACTTTTGGAATGCAACAGCCTTTCCTGACTCATTACTGGGTCCTCAGCCACCTTGTATGGGGCCTGGCACAGAAGGAATGCTCAGAAACTTTTTGTTAAACAAATGAGTGAATAATTGAATAAATGAATGGCCAGTGTCTGGTCCTTTTGATTTCAATGTGCTCACCAGCCTCTTTACCTGGACCCACCAGTCTCTGTGTATGCTTTGACCCTGGGCCCATTAGGGTACAGCTCAAAACCCTATGTCTAGGTTATAACAGACCTAAGTCACACTGAATAGAGTCGAAGGTCCTTGACCCATCATCCATACTTGTGGTTGCAGTTTGAGTTCATAGAATGTCTGATCAGGGAAGAATATAGAGACTTCTTCATTCAACTGCACCTTAAGGGAAGAAGCAATGTCTTACTCATCTTCGATTGCCAATGCCCAGCACAGGGCATGTGACAGAGTAGGTGCTTGGTAAATATCTGTTTTGTGTTTTTCACTCTCACACTTTCACAGGTAGAAAAGTGAAAACCCAGAGCGGGAAAATGGAGTTACTGAGTTACACAGGCTGTTTCTGGTAGTCTGGATTCCAGCCTGGTTTCCCTGATTTCCAGGAGCCCAGAACCTAATGGACTGTTTCTAAGGCCTTATTTCTTGACACAGACCTAAGGTTACATGAAGTAGGTCCTTACTAACTTCTTCCAAATCCTTCTTAGAACAAATTGATGGGTCACTGGTGGGTCTAAACATGGATAAGGTCATGTTGCTTTAAAGCCATGAAGTCAAAAAGCAGTGTACTGTGGTAGCAAAAGAGCAGGCTTTGGAGGAGGCCGACAGACCTGGGTTTGCGAATCAGGAGAAATACTTGCTATGTGACCTTGGACAAATCCCCTAATTACCTTGAGCATCAATCTGCCCCGCAACCCTCCGCCATCACCAAATGGGACCATAATGCCACTCTTTTGGGGTTGTAGTAAAGATTCATGCTAATATGTGCCATTTACCTAGAACATCTTAATCTCAGGTGGTCAATCACTTACAATGAAGTTGTGTTTTCAAATTGTACTTCAAATCTGGCCTGCCGCACTTGCCATCACCTTTGGAGATTGTTTGCCCTTACAAAGACTTCCAGTCTAGATGCCCTGCCATCCTGGTAGTTTAATATTCACTGTGCTGCTGCTCACTGTGGAACAGCCACTGACCATAAAGTTTGACATTTTGAAGATGAAAGTTCTTTGAATTAGTCATGCACATGTGAAGTCATTGTTCCTTCTTGTCCTGCTCTGGAATCTAAAAATGACTTTCAACAGAGCCCAGTAACTTTCCCTCAACAATCACCTTCCGGTGAAGAGGTATGGAGGAGTTTAGGCCAGGTAGAAACTCTCAGTCACTCAGAAGAAAACCAAAGCAGAGTGAAGGCAATGTGCACCACATTTGGAGAGAGGGGTCTGTCCCGCCACAGCTTCGCAGTCTGCTGCCTCTTTGAGGAGCAGTAGGGGCTGGAGGGCTGTGAGAGGTGGGACAGGGCAGGTGAAATCTCACAGGCAGTCTGGATGTGAGGACAGGAGGAAGAACAGTGCTGTGGAATCCTGGGGCTTTGGGTTCAGAGCTTGGCTATGCCTCATACAAGTTTGGTGACTCCAGGTAAGTTAATATCGTGGGTTAACGTTTTTTTTTTACTTGTAAGATATAGTGACTGCTTCATAACGCTGCCATGAGAATTAAAGAAGCCATAAAGCACTTAGCACAGTATCTGGCACATAGTAGGCAAACAGTAAATCTGTCTCTTCTCTCGAGAGATTCCCAGCTTTCTAAAACTCAGGCGCCTTCCTCATGCTGTAAATGTTGTGCATTCCCAGAATCCCAGACATCCACTCGCACATACTATCACTAAAGTGCTTAGCCAAGGGGATGTGTGCTTGAGATTTTCCAGTCTGCCTTAGTGCGTATAAGTAGGGGTCGACTACAGTCACACTTTCTTATGAGGGAACTCAAAAGAAGAATCCTCTTTTGCTTTAAAACTGGTCATCTGGCTTCGTGTGCCTCTGTAGTGGTGCAGACAGTTCTCCATCCAGGCAATCAGATGGCCTCCCAACCACCTGGTCAGCAGATCCCTGACTTATTGGGATCCCCATGAAGCGAGCACACAGAATTGTAAGGCGTAATAATAGATATCATCCCTTACCAGGAGCCAGTCACGGTGTTAGGTACTGACATGCATTAGCTCATTTAATTCTCACCACAACCCTGAAAAGTTTGTACCATTACTTGTATTCAACAGATAAGATATATGAAGTTCAGAGCAGTGAAGTAACTTGCCCAAAGTCACACAGGGCCTGGAAGTGGCAAAACTAGGATCTGAAACCAGACATGTATGATTTCTGAGTCTGAGTTCCCAACCACTGAGCCACATCAGCTCAAATCCCCGCATTCCTGGCCTTTGCCTGACCCTGCACCACTTAGTTGTCCTGGCTTTCTCCATAGCTGGGCTGAAAGATGTGATAGTCTCAGAGGATGGTGTGAAGGATGCACTTTACTCACATTTGCCTTGGTGTAGTGTCTAGCTAGACTTCAGACAGCTGCGTGCTTGCACTGTGTTTTGGGACTGTGCCCTTGGCATTCATCAGGGGACACTATGAGAGGCATCCTCATGACACTCATGTTGGCATCTGCTGAAGGAATGCTCTTGAAGCCAGAGGCCACTGCCTCCTACTGGGCCCCCACATGGATTCCCAGGTGAGATGTTTCTTTAAGAGCTCAGGGCTAGGAAATGCCTTTCATTGCTTTATTGTGGCAGGTGCTTTTGTTATAATTTACCACAAGTGATAAATAAATGAGCAAGCAAATTAAAATAACTGGCCCATGGACACATCCACCAGGATGTCATGTGGGCCTCGGGAGATTACTTTCTCACCACAAACCTTTCCTGTAGGACACACTGGGAACAGAGACTCCTCTGGGCATGCTGACAACCTCTGGTTGTCCCTTAACTCAGTTCACAGTTAATTCAGCCCCTCATCAGACACTCAAACAAGAAGCTACTCTGTCCTCTCTTGGGGAGGCAGAAGTGACAGACAGTGAACCCCAAAAACAGTTCCTTCAAGGTGAAGGTCAAGTCCCCAATTTATGAAAAGCTCAATAGGTATTACACTATTTGAATCTGAATCTGAACTATGGTATGAGGAATGGGGAAAGTGAAGGAGGGAGAGAGGGAAGGAAGAATTGGAAAAGAACAAAAGAAGGAGGCAGCAGAGTGGGGCTGAAAGGGATATGAGGAAGGACAGGGACTACCGAGCCCCTGCCCAGGTCAGAGGCCACTGTAAAAGGCACTGACACAGGTCCCCTCATTCAATCCTCAACATCAGTTAAGGTGTCAGAGCACAAAGCATTGCTCAAGGTCATCGAAGTGGAGAATACTTAATTCTCCACTTAAGAGAGGACAGAGTGGCTTCTTGTTTGAGTTTCTGATACTAAATATGTATTTAGTGCAATGCATTTCCACTATTCGCCTTGAGAGAGGGAGCTAAGGCGGAAGAAAAAGAGAAAAAAAAGTGGAAGAGGTGGGAGGAAAGAAGGGAGGTTGGGTGGGGGGAGAAGATAAAAAGTGGAGAAGGTAAGAGAGGGTGTAATAAAGTTATGTGCAAATTGTGTGTGTGTGTGAGTGTGTGTGAGTGTGTGTGTGGGAGAGAGAGAGTCAAATAGAAAGACAAAAAGACAAAAATGAAAACAAAACGGGGAATGAAAGAGGAAAGAGAGATGACCTATCAGGGAAGAGGAATGCTATGCAGAGAGAGACCTGGGAGAACTGAAGGGGGGGTGCGTCTCCTGTCTCCAGCCCCACAAAGATAGCTCAAGCCCTCCAGAGCATAGGTCTTAGCCCTGACAAAGGACCAGGCTGCCTTCCAATCCTCGATGTGGAAGGGAGCCTCTCACAGCAGCCATGCACCCTGGGGGCCAGGAGAGGGCACTTCAACCTCAGGCAACTGCAACAAAGCCGCAGCTTGTGGTCCCCCAAAGACAAGTGGCAGAGGGAAGGAGCTGGAGAGAGTCCAGACTGTTGCTCAGTTCAGTGGGTTACCAGCCCTGTGGCCAGTATCCTTCTGATGGAGCTAGGTTCTGATGCACATCCCTACTAACACAGGCTGGGAATTAAACTGACTTGGGTCCTCTGTGGCTGCCTCTACACCGGCCCAGCGCCTCCTCTAGGCCCTGCCCCTGCCCCTTCCCTATTCTAGATCTTTCTGTCCAATAGAGCAACATGCTTCCAACTTCTCCCCAGCCCCCTCCTGCTCTTCCCCTTCACCAGGAATCATCCCTTCTTTGAGTCCAGGGTGAAACGGTTTTCAAAATCATTTCTCGCTTACTATGCCATTTGATCTGCCCGGATATTTACAAGGTAGGTGCAGTAGGGAGAGTGGGAAACTGGCACAGATGAAGTGTCAGCTGTCTACATTCACATTAAAAAATTAAAATCACTGGACTTTCCAGTTCTTAAATTCCATGATGAGAACCCAAGTGTCTTAACTCTTTATCATAACATATTTCCTCAACACCAGACTAAGGAGGGCTAATATATGCTGTTTCTAGCAGAGCATCAAATACCAAATCCCAGTCACAGACTGAACCCTGGCTTTAGTCACAGATCTTGACTGTAGACTGAGTCCTGAGACTAATCCTAAATGAATTTGTCCTGGTAAAATTTCCAAACTATGCACGTGAGGACAGAGATTTCTATTGGGGTATCAGAGTACTCTGAACACACCTTTAAGAAAGCTGTTATTTAAGAATCTGAAGAACCTCTTAGGAATCTTAAGAACCCTTCATGGAAGTTTCCATGAAACCTATAATCCAAACAGATTTCATCTCTTCTGATAACCTAGGAATTTATTATTCAGATTTCATCCAACTGGGTACTTGGCTAGTAATAATAATAATAAGAGCATCGTTTATTGAGTGCTTATTATGTTCCAGGTAATCTATTAGGCACCTGAGAATTTGTTTTGCTTCCATCTACTCAAAACAACACTGTGAGGTAAATATAATAATCATTGTTACAGATGGACAAACTGAGGCTCAGAGAGATTAGGTCACTTGCCTAAGTTCACACAACTGGTAAATAGCAGAACCGAGATTTGAACCCAGGTCAGCCTGGCTCCAAAGACTATGCTTGCTTCATTCTATTATTAACGATGGCATCTGTTATATCTCAGCTATTAGCTTCTCAATCATATGGCTGATTTCTTCAAAGAAAGTGTCTTTTAGTGGAGCAATCAGAGGATTTAATATCAGAAGAAACAAGTTCAAGCTTCTGTGAGGATATTGCCCCACCACCTATGCACTGTTCCACCTGGACAGGCTTCCTCTTAATCCAATTCTGAGTTTCTGTACTTCTAGAGGCTGAGACTGGTCCTGGCTTAGGATACGAACACAGAGACAAAATGCACCTCCTTCTCTGACCCTTGAATTCCTTGTTTGTAAAATAGAGATAATAATACTCATCTCTACGGATTGCTGTGGGGATCAAATGAAATGATGGTTCCGAATACACTTTATACACTGATGAATGCTGTTTATTTCTGGATGGCTTACCCAGGTCTTGGCATTCTGCAGGAGCTTCATAAATACCATAAAAATATGTATATTTTTTTCTTTTCTTTTCTTTTTTTTTTTTTTGAACTGACATCCAAGCATCCTTTACCTCCTCTCTCTCCTCTCCACTGACTCATGGCCAAAACTGCATGGATTGAGAGCAGTGGTCCTGACCTCCTCCTCCCTCTAAGTTCCAACTTGCATCCCTCCCAGCCACAACTCCCACCTCCTGTCTCTTGAGACATATCAACAAGCCAAGCACGGCCACAACCCCAGCTAAAGGCCCTTGTCTCAGACAGAGTTGGCAGCTGCCTCCTCTTATTGGCAGCACATTTATCATCTTAAGGAAAATATTGATGGATAAGAAATCCCAGACAGGCAGCATGTCTTGGCTGGGCATGCAGCCTGAAGTGAGGTATGAGATGCTAGTTTTAGCGTCTTTCTGAAAGAAAGGGAGAGTTTGTGCTCCTGTAGAGAATGGCCCTGTGGCCCCAGGGGTCACAGCAAATCCTAAGATGACCATGTCCTACACGTAGTCGATGTTCAATAAATGTTATATCTAAATTAAATAAACCCTTTGAATGAGCCTGAAGGATGGAGGCCCTTTGTCCAAACCCTTCATTTTACAAATGGGATCTCGGGCAGGGTAGTGATTTGCTCGAGATCACAGCAAGTCAGCAGCAGAGACTGGATTAATAAAGTATGTGGCTCATGAATCTCACATCAAAATACTGTCCAATACCCAGTATTCCACTAGGAGATATCCCAAACTTCTGGCCAGACAGTATGATCTGACAAACTGGATCTGGGCTCCCGAGGGGAATCAGGAGGAAGGAGATCCTTAGATTTACTTTCAGAGCCGATCTCCCAGGAACACATCCTTTTAAAGATGAAAAGAGTTAGAAGGGCAGGCGGGTGTTACTTGGTGAGGTGCTGTGGCATTTACTTACGATATGTTCACCTATCTCCAACTGACCCCATTCAACTCATCCTGCCCGCTGCTGCCACAGTGACCTCCAGGCAGCACTGGTGTGGTTGTGGGTCACTGGTGCTTCACTAGCTGGTTCCCATAGCCTTCTCCGGCCTCATTGCCTCTCACTCCCTAACTCACACCCAAGGCCCAGACATGTCCACAGGAGGAAAGCAGCTCTCTGGACTGGGCACAACTAGTCTCTCTGCCTGCAGAGCACTTTGCTCCCTTCTCATCCTTCTAGACTTGGTAAAAGTGATGGTGCTTCCTTCCTGCACCTCCTCCCACCCCTTGATCCCCTCAAGGTTAGGTTAGATGCTTCTTTTCTCCATGTCCTGTGTTCCCATCTGTCACAACTGTCCTGCAGTCACTCTCCTGCCCATCTCCTCCACCACCTGGGAACCTCACCATGCATAGGCTACAGCCACTCAGTTCTGCATCCCCAGAAACCAGCATAGGGCCTGGTACAGCATAGGTGCTCAGTGAGTGTAGCCTTGGATTCCAGACCCTCCCTGTCCTTATCTTCCCCACAAAAGTTCAGAATGGAGCTATCTCCCACTGGCTCTTGTTCTAGCCTCTAGAGCCACAGAGAACAGATCTACTCCCTCTGCTTCATGAGAGCTCTTTAGAGCAGGGGTCCTCAAGCCCCTGGCCATGGATTGGTACTGTGGCCTGTTAGGAATCAGGCTGCACCGCAGGAGGTGAGTGGCAGGTGATGGATCATTATGACCTGAGCTCCTCCTCCTGTCAGAACAGCACTGGCATTAGATTCTCATAGGAATGCAAACCCTATTGTGAACTATGCATATGAGGGATGTAGGTTGTGCACTTCTTTTAAGAATATAACTGATGCCTGATGATCTGAGGTGGAACAGTTTCATCCTGAAACCATCTCCCCTCCTAACCCTGGTCCATTGAAAATTTTTCTCCCATGAAATCGGTCCCTGGTGCCAAAAAGGTTGGGGACTGCTACTTTAGAGATTTGACCAAAGCATATATGTAGCCCCTAAATGTCTTCTTGCCAAAGAAAATATCCCCAATTATTTTTACCAGTTCCTCATATATCATAGCTTTGGGTAGGGTGACCAACCATCTTTGTTTGCTAAGAAATGTCCTGGTTTTGGCACAGAGTCCTCTGTTTTGGGAAACTCCTCACTCAGTCCCAGGCAAACCAGGGCAGTTGGTAAACCTAGCTTTGTGTTCCCTTTCCAACCTGATGCCTCAGGACCTGTGCACCATTTTATCAATATTCGACATAGAGTAGGGGCCAGAAATGAACACACAGTTCCCAGGGTCGTTGACATAACAGGGCAAAGAAAGGCCAACACCTCCTTACTCCCCAAATCTATTTCTGTGAATGCAGCCAAAATCAGCTTCAATTCTGGCAGAAGGGTAGTGTGGTGGATGTGGGAGTTGACACATTGCCCTGTTGATCAATATCAAACTTAATAGTGTCAGTTAAGATGCCTAAACCATTTTACTGCACAGGAAACCTCATTTCCCCAAATCATTACTTCCAAAGCTGCTTTCGTTTTATTCTTTTTACTCTAAAGGCAGAAATGACTCAACATCTTTGTTCCAATTATTGTCCAATTAAGCCCCCCTCAAATGTTCCAGGCGTTCATGCATTCAACAATTATTTATTAAGCTTCTCCAACATAGCAGACAGTCCCTCTCATTGTCCTTGGACTGATAAAAGTTAGGCCTAAACCTGAAACTGGTTGGAGCTAATCTTGGGTCTTTCCACTTTTGGGCTCTTCCCACACTTGTGCAATAAGAAGGTGGGAACACAAGTATTATATGCATAAGTTGAAGGGAATATTCATATAGACAAACAGGTTCAAGTTACTTAGGAACCAACCAGGATTTATTTTGACCGTAAGCTAACAGCCATAATCCTGAAACAATATCAACTCTCTTTATCATCGACTTGGTTTCCATGGAGGCTTGCGGGTGCTGCTAGTGAAGGCTGACAGTTATCACTATAAAGAAACTTTACAACTTTGTAATTTGTAGCTCTCTGCTGACAGTAATATTAACAGCATTTCAAATTATGGCCATAAACTTGACAACAGCAGATAAAACCCTTAGAAACCTCATTTTAGGGGATGAGGGAGGCTAGGGGAAGGTAATAATGTTTAGGTTTTCCAGGCCTGGGCAGGAGACATTCAGAAATCAGGGGCACATTTTGATCTGGAGGTGAGAGGCAGTCAGCCCAAGGCAGGGCTCACAACAGGCAGCAGCTCAGCCGGGCACTGCAGAGAGAGAGTCTGGGCAGCATCCAGCAGAGCTGCAACTGGGCTATCAGGGATTGCAAATCGGTCAAACTAGGGACGCTGATCAGAGAGAGGGGTGAGAGTGAGGGGTGAGAGTAAGGGCTGACTGGTAGGTCCCAACCTCTGCAGGGTTCAGAAAAGGCTCTTGTCCAACAGGAAATGGATGGAAACTGGGAAGATTACAGAGCAGGGAGGAAGGTTAGATAAAAACCTAACAGGCAGAGTGGAGCGAACACACACTTTGAGCTGGATCAATCTGGATTTTACATTCGCACTCTACCACTACTAGCTGTGCAGCCTGGGGCATGTAGGTTGATTTTTTTGGGCTTCAATTTCCCTGCTTGTGAAATGGAGATACTATCTCAAAGGTCCAAATCAAATGATTCTCTATGTATCTGGAAATAAACTTAAAGATCACATCATTTCATCTTCTATGCTAAAGATAGGAAAATTAGGACCCAAAGCAGGGAACAGACCTCCTCAAACCTACACCACAAGTTACAGGCAAAGCTTATGCTCTAGTGCAGGGACCTGAGCCTCTTCATGAAGCACATTCTCAATATTATTATTTTTACCATTACTGCTACTATTATTATTAGTCATTCATTCAGCCAGATAGTCAATCAGAAGGATTCATATTTAAAGATCAAACTCTAGCCCATGTCTGTAGGGAGGAGAAAAAAATCAACAGACTTCAGTACAGTTTAGACTTCGGTTCCCAAAACCCTCTGATGGAAGCTTTTTTCACTTATGAATCTTAACAAAGCTTTGACCTTGGGTATGACACACAAGAACTGAGAAGTACCTAGGTATCTTTAGATGCCAACCAATAGGTGAAACTTGACTGCTTCCTACTCTTCTGTCCTCCACCGAAAATTTAGTGAAGGCTCTCTGGCAAGAACAAATATCTAGGCAGTACCCATCCCCAACCACATACAGATGCCGATACTGTTTCTGAACAGCAGAGATCACATAACTCATTGCCTTGTTCTTGATCCAAGTGGATTAGCAGATGTTGGGTGAGGCCTGCTTCCACTTCATTCATTCATTCATTCATTCATTTGCATTCACTGAGTATCTACCTAGTATCAGGCTTTAGCTAGAGAGGTGAAATGATTTAACCAAGTCCACATAGCTTTATGAGGGGGTCAGGGGCAAAAGGTCATACTGGAACTGGGGTTTTAACTCACAGTCTAGCTTTCTTTTCACCAAGTTATCAAGCAGAAGCCCACCTTGACTGTGTACACCAAGAAAATCTTTTCTTCATTGTGACTTTATAGTACCTCGTAGAAAAATCTATGTTGAGTCTATCCAAAGCCCAGGCCTGTCTCCAGAACGTCAGGCCTTTAGAGCCCTCTGCCAACCAAACTTTTCCATTTGGATTTTACATAAGTCCCTTATACTCAATATATTACATACAGAGCTCAAAATATCCCCCTCTCCAACCCTTTTCTCCAATAGTCTGTAGCTAAATGATTGGCCTTAACAGCTATCATCTATCATATTGTTTTTTATTTTTATTTTTATTTTTTTAGATGAAGGCTTGCTCTGTCCCCAAGGCTGGAGTGCAATGGCATGATCTCAGCTCACTGCAACCTCTGCCTCCCGGGTTCAAGTGATTCTTCTATCTCAGCCTCCCAAGTAGCTGGGATTACAGGGGCCCGCCAACAAGTTTGGCTATTTTGTTGTTGTTTTTGTTGTATTTTTAGTACAGATGGCGTTTCACCATGTTGGTCAGGCTGGTCTCGAACTCCTGACCTCAAGTGATCCACCCGCCTCAGCCTCCCAAATTGCTGGGATTACAGGCATGAGCCACTGCGCCCAGCCCCATATTGTTTTCGAATCAAGAACTGGGCATCTTACTTGACTCTTTCCTCTACCCCGTATCCAAATAATCAGCAAGAATACTCAATCCGGCCAGGCATGGTGGCTCACGCCTGTAATCCCAGCACTTTGGGAGGCTGAGGCGGATGGATCACGAGGTCAGGAGATCGAGACCATCCTGGCTAACATGGTGAAACCCCGTCTCTACTAAAAATACAAAAAAAAAAAAAATTAGCCGGGCACGGTGGCGGGCGCCTGTAGTCCCAGCTACTCAGGAGGCTGAGGCAGGAGAATGGCATGAACCTGGGAGGCGGAGCTTGCAGTGAGCCGAGATCGTGCCACTGCACTCCAGCCTGGGCGAAAGTGAGACTCCGCCTCAAAAAAAAAAAAAAAAAAAAAAGAATACTCAATCCTACCTGTTAGATATTGGAACATGTTAAAATGGGACTTCTAAAATTGTAGTTTCGACTGAGATCTCAAGACTATAGACATTACAGTTCAGAGTGAAGTATGAAACCACCATGCAGGACTTGCAAAAGTAACCCAGAAAACCAGTTTCACCATCTTTAGCTCACCTTCAGACATGAGAGCCAGTGGAGGGGAATAGTGACCCCAACAGGGGTAAACCATCAGATCACCAGAGGCTTAGGAAGGAACCATAAGCAACTGAACTGAGCAGACACATCTGCTCACATCAACAGAGCTCAAGCACCAGGAGAGGGTGTGTCTAAAGAAGTTCGTGAGGGACTGCCCATGCTGTCTCATGAGAGTACTAGTCCCCTAAGACCTTTCCTGTTCCTTTTCTCCTCTCCCTCATCTTGCTCAACCTTGGAGGAGTAAACAGCTACTGTTACCCAGATTGAGGGGAAAGGCTGGGAAGCCAAGTCAGGGAAACAGAAGTGAGCCAGACCCTAACCCCTTGGTCACATGAGCAGCCTATTTGAGACAGGTCTGAGCTAGAGGATGGGGAGGGTTTTTACTTAGAAGAGGTTTGATGTTTTTGATTGGATCAGACATAGTCATTGCTAAACTGAGACTGTTTTGTGACTAGAATTAATTAGAGAACTTTTAATTTCCTGAGAGTGACTGGAGACTCATGGGGCCTGCCAGAGCTTTTATGTCTCTAGATCTATAATCTCTATCTATCTATCTATAAAGCCAATGGGAGACAAAAAATAAAGTTGTTTCATAATTGCACCTTGTGAGTACTGCCTGTTCAATGTACCTGTTACATATTTCACAAATCTTTCTCTTTCTCTCCATGGTCTGGCTCTGCCTATATTTATTAATCACCTGCTGCTTCTGGCCCAGCCCCAGCTACCCTCCAATCCTTTGGATGTAGCATCCTCTCTCTGGCATCTGGGTTCTCCCCTGTACTTCTCCCTCTGCATTCCATTCATCCTAGAAGTCTGAGCCCTAGTTTCTCTTCCTCCACGAAGCCTTTCTTCCGACCCCCTCCTGCACCACCCCAGCTGGTTTAGGTGACTCCCACTGCTTCCCCAACCAGCAGAGTTCCCCTCTGCCAGAACTTTTATCCCTCTGTGATGCTATTGTCTCTTTACCTTTCTCCCTCCCCTCAAAACTGTCTTCATCTTGAAAGCAGAGACCAAGCTTTTTTCATCTGTCTTTTTCTAGTGTCTAATGTGTTTGGTTGGATGGATGAGTAAATAAACGATAGCTTCAATGTGTGATGTAGGCTTCAGAGGACGCAGTGCAAGGCATATATGGGCTCTGAAATGAGACTAACCCAATTAACTGAATTTGATATCTCAGCATCTTCTCTTGACCACATCAGCCATACCCTTCCCCTTAAGAGCCAGCATTTTCTTATTTCATTGTGTCCACAGCTACAAGCCTGGGTGGAAACCAGTCTGCTCAGGACCCAAGGTCTCTGTTCCCAATGTTTTTCTCATCCATTATGTCAAAGAGCTATTTCTTCTTGGCTTGTAACCAGACTAAAAACAAATGCCAGATAAGCTCTGGGTTACTTTATGATTCCAGTTTAGCCTTTCTCTCCCTCTTTTTCAAATCGTTTGAACAGAGCATATTTATTACTTGGCAGGCCAGTAAAATGTAAATAGGGTTTCCTGAAGAATGGTTCAAAATTCGTAGGAATTTATCATTTCACAAAAACAACAAATGACAGGAAGGAAAGGCAAGGGACCTAATATTTAATGGCACAGACTATATGCCCGGTGATTTATCTGCATGCATTCTCCCATGCAGCCCTAACAACAATCCTGTGATGTAAATAATCTTCCTCACTTTACAGATGAAGAAACTGAGGTTCAGAGTGGTTAAATATGGGATTAGGGTCTCAGCGAGAATGACGCAAAAGAGAACTCACACCTAGGACTCTGACACCAGCACTGTATTCTTGCCACAGCATGGACAGGAGAGAGGCCAAGAGGCCACCGGCCATGGCAGAAGCCTCTGAGGATGTCTCTCTTTTAGGTTCTGTTGAAAGCTATGGGCCTTCCTCCCAAAAAATGAACTCTGCATATTTACTCACAGCTTTGCATACATTTTAGATGGTTCACAGGGTTTTGTTGAAGCCATCTGTAAGCCCCTCAATTAAGAACCCCTAAACTAAAAGAATGAAGGTAGCTATTGGTTGGGCCTGACTAGCTGCCCGGGACACTTTTGTATTGATTTTACCTATTAAATTAGAAACTCTTATGTTCATGGAATCACTGAATATTAAAACTCAATAAAAAAGTATGCATTATTGATAACATGGAATATTGATAATCCATGGATTATTGATCCAATTAATCTAAGCATGGAATTATATAACTTACATTTTAGAATCAGGAACATCTTAGAATGTCAGAGCTGGAAGGAACTAGAATAGTGATCAAGTCCACACATAATTTTATTCCACAAAACTCTGATGGGTAGGAAGTATTACACACACAGGCTGAGAGAGGGGACAAGACTTGCTGGAGGCAACCCGTAATAGCGTGGAGTCAGAATTCAAATACTAGTTGCTAGTTCCAAAGCCAGATTGTCAAGTTAAAGATTCAACCAACAGAAGGAAAGCCATGTAGTCTGCATGGGGCTGAGACAAGTCAAGACAAGAACATTTGTTGAGTACCTACCAGATGCCAGGCAGTACCAGGAGAATGCAGATATAGTGCCTTATTTCACCCTCCCAATAACCATGCAAAGTGAGTACTATTTTTATTTTACAAATCGGGAAACAGATTCAGAGTGGTGAGATAACCAGTACAAGGTCACACAGCCAGGTAAGCACCAACCACCATGTCCATTTATTTATTTCCCAGATATAGTAGAGAAGGGAAGTCAGAGAGCAAAACCCTGGTCATGTTTGGCTGGTGCTTTTCCAAGGAGAAGAACTGAACCAATGGACACATATGCTCTGGTCTGTGGAGCGGCGGACACTATTCTGGACCTAGATGAAATATCCCTTGGGATTCTCTGCAGCCCCAGCCCTTCCTGATGTTATACTCATCCAGTATCCTCTAGCTAATTAGTCTGGCCTCCATGATACTAGGAAGGGGGCACCCTGGATGACAGAAACAAGAAACTCCATCAGTGGAACGGCACATCTCCCACTGTGTGAATCAGTCACTGTTCTGCGGTCAAGGCAAGACCCTCAACTGTGATGACCCCACCAATGCTCTTTGCCCTACAAACCCTAACAACAGCTGCTGATTTCTTGCTATAACAGCCCTATCTATCTTCTTTCACACAGACAGTGGTCCTCATTCACATTCACATAAACCTTTTCAATGTCACTTAATATTTAGTTCACAGTGCACACTCACAAAAGCTATTTCCTTTAACCTCACTGCAACTCGGTGAGGTTAAGTATTATTATGTCCTCCTGCTACAGATTAGGAAACTAATCTGAGGCCCAGTGAGGTTATACAACTCACCCAAGGTGACACATCTAGTAAGTGGGTGAGCCTAGGATTCAAACCCAGATATGTCTGAATCGAAAGTTTGTTCTGTTTGCATAATACCACATCTATACTTTAAATAAATATCTCTATTTAATTCCCACAGCAGGGGTTAGACAAGTGTGAAGGTCCTTGGTCCCTTTGTAATGGTGAGGAAGCTCACCTCAGACAGGTTACAGGACTTGCTGAAGGGTGCTCTCACGGATGATGTTGGTGCTGTCATCAGAATCCAGGTCTCCTGATTCCTAGTCTAGAGGACATTTTCTCCCAGACCATATTGCCTTTCCCATCAGACCATGTAATTTCTTTTTATGATTGGGACATGGAGCCAGCAGCCAACAAAGATCACAATCTGTCTCCCTGAAGTCTCCCTCTGTTATGAAATGAGAGTTTTTTTTTTTTTTTTAAGTATTTCAAACAGAACCCAGGTTAAATCACCCTTGCATGCATTGAATCGGCCTGAGCTTCCCTGGTGCAGTTTGTTTCCTCTTCTCATCCTCTAGAGGACAGAACAAGGCAGGGTAGGTCCATCAGTATCACGACCTGCTCAGCTTGTGCATAGCCTCTCTACTCACCTTAACCCCTTCCAATCACGAGCTCCCATTCCCTGTCGCCACTCCCAAATAGTCAATTACCAAGTCTTCTCAGTTCCACATTCTAAGTATTCTACAGCCACCACTCTGGTCTTGGCCTGGATTATTTCTCACCTGGATTTTTATAACAGCCTCCTAATGCATGTCCCTGTCTACAATACTGGCCCCCTCGAATCTGTCCTTCCATTGTCTACATTCAAGATCAAACTTCTTACATCTTTCCACTTCAGACTTATCATTGAGTCTGAAGTCCTTCAGCCCTAAGGGACCACTTACAGCTTCTGCCCATACCTTCTGTACTCCCCTCTCTGTCTACCACATCCTCCCTTCAACAACACCCTCACCCAGTTTGACTAGTTCATATTAAAAACTCAGTTTAGGCCGGGCTCAGTGGCTTACACCTGTAATCTCAGCACTTTGGGAGGCCGAAGCAGGTGGATCACGAGGTCAGAAGTTTGAGACCAGCCTGACCAACATGGTAAAACCCCATCTCTGCTAAAAATACAAAAATTAGCCGGACATGGTGGCGCACACCTGTAATCCCAGCTACTCAGGAGGCTGAGGCAGGGGAATCGCTTGAACCCAGGAGGCAGAAGTTGCAGTGAGCTGAGATCATGCCACTACACTCTAGCCTGGGTAACAGAGTGAGACTCCATCTCAAAAACAAACAAACAAAAAATCTCAGTTTAGATGTCTCTTTTCCTGGGAAATCTTCCCTGACTCCTAGGACTGCGTGTGAGTTCCCTCTTTCCCCCATGTAAAGACATTCTTGTCTTTAGTATGTTCTCTGTTACATTCCCTGTGCCTAGAACTTTACCTGACCTATGACAGGCACTCAATATATACTTGTCAAATGAAAATGTCCCAGAGCCTTCTGGAATTCCTCCACCAGAATTTATCACATACATTGTAATTATCTCTTCCCTTTTCTGTCTCCCCAAGTAGACTGAAAGTTCTGTGAGTCAGGAATCATGCCTTTTTATTCAGTATTTTACCCTAGGTGCCTTTTATGATTCCTGGTATGTACTAATGCTGTGTTTACTTTTGATAAATGAGTGTTGGCTGTTGAGGGGTGGAAACCTTGGGCCTGAACCAAGGGTGGGCTTTCTACTAAGAAACACATTTTCTTCTAAGACAGAAGCATGTCAGAAGTGCTAAGAAAAGGTAGGAGAGCCTGTCAGATTGGACAGCAAAAAACAACAAACTAAGGGCAGGCCTCCTCTGGAGGGACCCTCATCTCACTATGAATAAGGGTTGCAGAATCCCCTTTAGTGCACAAGCTCAAACTCTTATTCCAGGCAGCTCTCTGTCCCTTTGCCATAATATTATGGGAGAGCAAAGCAAGTACAATGTGGAATGAAGCATATGCATGTGTTATAGGAGTTAGCAGATTCTGGAGAAGGCATAGGCCATATGCATCATCTAAGGTGTGTATGGGGCATGAAGAGGGGCAATGTGGCACATAACAGGTGGCCAGGACTTTGGAACCCACAGACCCTCTTCCTCAGAGCAGAGCCTACTCCCTTGGCCTTGCTGAGTCAGGTGGGTATTAAAGCAGACTGCAAGATGACCCTCAGTCTTGATGACTGTACATAGGGAACTCTCAGTTCCAATCATAATATCTCTGTGTCCAACAGGATGTGGAACATTGCTCTAACACCTGGCCTACCCCCTGACAGCCCCTCCTTCTAGGGCCATTGCCCTACTTCCGATGTTCCTGGCAAGGTACCTGGACACCATACCCCCAACCCTCCCAAACACACATACAAACAGAGCCACTAAGTTGCAGTTGGCTGGTGGGACTAGCCCTAAGTCATGCCACGTTCAGAAAAGATGTTTTCCTGCACAGAGGAATTCCATAAACACTCACCAAGGGTTGAAAAAATGCTAAAAGAGCACTTCTACCTCCAGGGAGGGGGAATTTGCAGAAATACAGAGTTCATTTCATCTAAAGTTCCTTCCTCCTCCCTCCACTTCTCTGAGAAAACTAAGTGTTAGGAAAGGAGACATAGATCAACCCGAAAACAAAGGATCAAGGAAAGCAGAATCTGCCACGATCTGTTACAGCTCTGATGCAGTGACCTTGATATTAAAATCAACACTCGGGAAACTAGAGTTACTACCTAATCCTTAAAAAATTAGGCAAACTAGAAAATAACTTCTAATTTCATCATGGAAGGCTTTGGAGTTTTCAGAGAAATTTTATGAAGAAACTAAGAGGAAAAGGAATTTGTCAAAGGAAATGCAAAGGCAGAGAGAAAGATGCACAGAGGATGAGAGGGGAAAGACAAGGAAGACAGAAGACAGGCAAAGAGGAGAGAAAGAAAAGGAGGATGGGATGAGAGAGAGGACAGAAAGGAGGGGAGGAGGGGGAAAAAGAAGTAAGGAAAGAGAAGCACAGGACAGGTGAGGAGGGAGGAGGAGGGCATAGAAGGAGAGGGAACAAGGGTGAGAAAAGTAAGTAGAAGGGGAAATAGTGAGTAGAGGGAAGAGAAAGTGGGAGAGGATAGGTTAGACAAAAGATGAAAAGAGAACATATGTTTTTGTATGTTCAGGGTTAGAAGGAGTCAAGATCATCAAGCTCTTCCTCAGCAACCCTGGGGATGGTCATCCAGCCTGTGGACTTGCATAGCTTAGATGGCAGGAGACTCACTGCATCATGAGAGAAGAGAGGGGAGAGAGATGGAAGCAGAGTAAGATATGGGCAGGCCATGGGTCCGGCTGGCCTGGGAAAGATTTGGAGCATGGCAATTGGGGTAGGAGTATCATACTAAGGGCTGAGGCAAACTGGACAATCCAAAGACGCCACCAGAAGAAGAAGCACCTCCATCCTCACCTGAGAGTCTCAGCCCTTACCTGAGCTGGGGGCCTAATTCCTGACCTGTCAGACTTGGATACTCTCGGCTGGATGAGGGCTGGCCCAAGGCTGGGTGGGGACTAAGGATACAGGCTTCTTCAGTGTAGGGCACAGCAGCCGTGGTGCCACTGATGATGTAGCTGTAGAAGGAGACCTCTAGGGTGTAGCAATAGGAAGTGTGGTCCAGGAGTCCACCGAGGAAGCGACGGCCAGTTCCTGCTTTCACAGCGTCCCGGTTAAAGGATGTGCTGGACTGTGAAAGACAGAGTAGGGAGGAGAGAATCACGGCACCTGCTGCAAATTGGATTGTGGGCAAATTTTACAACACCTCTGGGTCTCAGCTTCACTGTCTGAAGAGTGGGATATTAGCCCCTCATCACATGATTATTATAAGGACTGATTAAATAAACATAATTAATGACAGAAGCAAGCAGAGTTCTTGAGGTGCAGTAACTGCCACTCAACGAATATTTGTGGAAAAATGAATGGAGAGAGAGGGAGCAGGGAAAAGCAGACAGAGGAAAAAGAAGCAACTACATTTTGATGATAATCAGAACTAACATTTGGAGCCTGGCATGGTGGTGTGCACCTGTAGTCCCAGCTACTTGGGAGGCTGAGGTGGAAGGATTGCTTGAGCCTAGGAGTGTGAGTTCAGCCTAGGCAACATAGTGAGACCATGTCTCTATTCTTTTTATTATTATTATTTTATTTATTTTATTTTATTTTATTTTATTTTATTTATTTTTTGAGATGAAGTCTCGCTCTGTCACCCAGGCTGGAGTACAGTGGCGCGATCTTGGCTCACTGCAAGCTCCGTCTCCCTGGTTCATGCCATTCTCCTGCCTCAGCCTCCTGAGTAGCTGGGACTACAGGTGCCCACCACCACGACTGGCTAATTTTTTGTATTTTTAGCAGAGACAGGGTTTCACTGTGTTAGCCAGGATGGTCTCGATCTCCTGACCTCGTGATCCGCCTGCCTCAGCCTCCCAAAGTGCTGGGATGTCTCTATTCTTTAAAAAGAAAAAAAGTAAAACAAAACAAAAACAAAAATAAAACCCTAAAATTTGGGCAGTGCTTTCAATTGTATGATATTGTTTCCCATGCAGTATCTCATTTAGGCTTCAAAATAACCACTTGAAGTAGGTGTTCACATTTTATCTCTCTATAGATGAGGAAACTGAGGTTTCCTCTCTATAGATGAGGAATATGAGATTGCTCATAGAGGTGGAGCAAGTAAGTGATACAGCACAAATCTGAATCCAGAACTAAGTGACTCCAGACAACCAAAGAATCTACTTCCTTTAGGGATAGCTGATTCATGTCCAGAATCACTAGAGCATAGGGATCATGGCTGCTTCTTTACTAAGATGTTGACAGCACCCATCACAGTGGATAGAGAAATGAACAAGCATGTCACTCTCAAGTCCTCTGTTCAAAGACATGCTCTACTACCCACTGAGTACATGATGTCAGGCAAGTTGACTTACTTGTCTTAGTCTCAGTTTCCTCATTTGTAACTTGGAGGTGAAAATAATATCTCTTTCACAGAGTTGTGAGGGTCAGTTCACTTGGGGTTAGAAGGGCATTCTATGCTAACCCCTGGAAATTTAAGCAAATGAACAGACCATGGTTTTAATAAGAGAATACATGTCTTATTCGGCAGGAGATAAAGGAAGAAGGAAAAGAGATAAAGTAAACACCAATACAAGAAAGGCACAGAAAGACTGTGAAAGAAACAGAGAAGTGTGTGTGTGTGTGTGTGTGTGTGTGTCTATTTTAAGGTAAAGGAAAAATCAGAAAATCATAGAATGTCAGATCTGAAAGACCTTTGAAATCCATGTAGTAAACTCCAACTCTCCTGTTTTAGAGTTGGGCATTGAGGATCAGAGAAGAGAAGAGAAGAGAAGAGAAGAGAAGAGAAGAGAAGAGAAGAGAAGAGAAGAGAAGGGAAGAGAAGAGACAGCAATTGGACCAGGACAGATGACCTTGACTCCCACCCTTAAGGAGGCTGCAATGCAGAAACATCAGGCAAGCCCAGAAATAAGGCTGTCAGACTGTGCCCCTTTTGTAGTCCCTGGAAACTTCACCCACATGAGGAGGGTCTCTGAGGCCTATGACCCAGCCTTCCAGGGAACTTGGACTAAGGAGGCCACATTCTTTTCTGAAATTGCAGTGGTCTCAAATAGACAGGGCCATCCTATAGAGATTCTTACAGAAAAAGGTATGGCTGTTTCTGCCCCACAGCTGCAAATGGGGAGCTACCTGCTTTGATTCTATCATTAAATGCTGGGTGACCTTATGCTGAATACTCATCTTTTCTGGGGCCACTCTTTACTCTCAGGTGTAAAGAGGGGACTGGACTAAATAATCTGCCAATTCCTTTCCTGGTTTGACATTCAAAAGTTCTGGGATTCAGAGTGCATCTTAACACGCAGAGAAATTCATCATCTCCACTAATGTCCTGGCTTGAAGCAATGGGCAGGTGAGTTTTCAGCTCATCAACTTCAAAAATTGCTATGACCTTTGTGGGCCTCTGCCCCTCTGGCCACATGGAAATAACAGGCCCCAGAGATTTAGTATCAAAACAAAGGAAAATGTGCAAAAGCTCTCTCCCTACACCACATACTGATCCCCTCCTTATCTCCTCTTCCTGCCCTTTTCCAATATTGCTTTTGCTATGAGTTTTTCCCACCCCACAGCCTCTCTAGTTCTCAGCATGTGAGATTGGTAGTAACAGCAACCGTCTCTGGAGTTTGTTAAGGTCTTTACTGCCTGCAAAGAACTTTTATATCAAAAACTGCATTTGCCCTTCCAGGAAGCTATAATGCAGTGAGGATAGAAATTATCGTCCAGCAATTACAAAAAAATTGAGGCTGAGAAGGAGTCATGGAGAAAAGAATGGTGGGCATACAACCTCTGTTAGCAGATGTCTTGTGCTCATACAAAAGAACTGGGATTGGTAAAAGCAGACCCTGGGGAAAGGTCTGACATGTGGTAGGTGCTCAGTGAGCTTCCTTTTCTTGTTAATGCTGGAGTCAACTCCATTAAAGAAGGCCGGGAACAGTAGCTCATGCCTGTAATCCCAGCATTTTGGGAAGCTGAAGCAGGTGGATCACTTGAGCCCAGGAGTTTGAAACCAGCTTTGGCAACATAGCGAGACCCTGTCTCTACAAAATAAATAACTAAATTTTTAAAAATTAGCCAGTAGCGGCCAGGCGCGGTGGCTCACGCCTGTAATCCCAGCACATTGGGAGGCCGAGGCGGGCGGATCACCTGAGGTTGGGAGTTCGAGAGCAGCCAGACCAACATGGAGAAACCCCGTCTCTACTAAAAATGCAAAAAATTAGGCGGGTGTGGTGGCGCATGCCTGTAATCCCAGCTACTCGGGAGGCTGAGGCAGGAGAATCGCTTGAACCTGGGAGATGGAGGTTGCAGTGAGCCAAGATCATGCCATTGCACTCCAGCCTGGGCAATAAGAGTGAAACTCAGTCTCAAAAAAAAAAAAAAAAAAATTAGCCAGTAGCCCCAGCTACTCAGGAGGCTGAGGTGGGAGGATTACTTGATCTTGGGAGATAGAGGCTGCAGTGAGCCATGATCATACCACTGCACCCCGGCCTGAGTGACAGAGCGAGATCCTGTCTCAAAACAAAACAAAACAAAAACCCCAAAACAAAAACAAATGCCAGCTCATCAGCCAGCCAAAATGCTACCTTCTCAAAGAGTCTCCCACCCTGACTGGTGATGAGCAGCTTGAGGACATGGGCACATCTTGTTTACCTCTATCTTCATCACCCACACAATACCTAACACAGAGTTAGGTGTCCCGTGGAGCTTAAAGCAAACTGAACTGAGTGAGAAGGAAGACGGGGAGGCAGGGTGTGGGGGGCTGGGGCTGGCTGAGAGAGAACTCCTGGCTTACATAGGAGAAGTCCTCAGCATTCTGGCAGAGGAGCTTGGGAAAAATGGCCTGCCTCTGGAACCGTTCCTCATCCTCAAAGATGTTGCCATACATGAAGCCATTCATCATGGTGGAGTGGGCATGGATGTCAATATAAAACTCCAGGCTTGTTTTCTGTTGAGAGAAAGGATAACAAATGAGAAGTCTGGGCTGTAGAGCTTGTGTATAAGGGACCAGACACTACACTACACACACACACCCCCCACACACACCCACCCACCCCCCCCCACACACACACACACATCAAGCTGACCCTGTGTGTCAGCAGATTTAGCAGCCATTTGCAATGTGAGGGGAGGGTTTAAGACAGGTGACGACCAATTCCTCCTCACTTTTAACATGGTTTTCCCTCAGGGTCTGAAAGCACTACTATTAGCATCCCTTTTAAGAGGTCTTCAGAAAAAGTGAAATTTATTAGCTTGGGTTAAGTCATGATGTTACTTACTCAGAACAGCTAACACATTCATGACTAGACATTCGTGGAATTTATTTCTCTGATTAATGAGAAATACCTTCCAGGTAACACAATTGTATTTACTTTGGGCCTGGTTGCAGTTTTGCCCCAACTTGGCCATTTCTAGCTGGGAAGCTTGGTGTAAATCATGTCCCCACTTTGAGCCTCAGCTTTCTTATCTGAAAAACGAGTATTTTAATTCAAACCTCAGAGCATTATATCGGGAATCAAACACAGCAATAATAATTACTATATTTCTTGATGATGTAATATAAATAAAAAATAATAATTACTGTCTTACTGTATATATAATGCATGCCCAACAGCATTCTTGGAACTTTACATATAGAGTCTTAGTTAACTCTTTGAGTTAGCCTTGTGTCATGATGCCAGGTCTACCCCACAACAGCATATAAATAATGCATGAAGGAAAATGCCTTTGCAGTCTGTAAAGATGGCATTGACCAGTCTACCTCTGCTCTTTACTTACACATATTTAAGGCACTTTCTTGGTTCTTATGGTATTATTTGTTAGCCTTCCCTGAAGGTAGGAGGATTGTCTATAAAGAGCTCAGTGCCTGTAAGTAAAGGATGCTCAGTAACTACATGCAGAATGATTGAAGAAACAATCCCAGAGAGATTGCTCCACATACTGTAATGGACTGACTGAAACAGAGGGTGTCAGGGGTGGGGTGATTTTTAGACCATTAGATCTTCAATTGCCCTCAAATCCAATCTTCCCTTCTTATATATCAGCCCAGCTTATATCCATTAACCCTTTCTGAGAATAAGGGAAGACTCGCATGGGGAGGGGACTTGACCAAGCTCACAGAATAACGGGGACTGACACTCAGGCCTCCTGCCCCCTTGCACAATTAACTTATTGTCATCAATGGCCAACACTAGAAACAGCCAAGGCAAAATCTAGCCACCTCTCCATCCTCTTTCTAGTACATAGTCCTGGGAAAGAAGAAAAGTGCACATTTAGAAGGATTCTCCCTCCTTGGGATGCTTTTAAATGAAGTTAAAACCAAATGAAAACCATGTTGCTTCTAGAATGTGGGCTCAATGACTGTCATTTCATTTACCTCAGAGTTGGAGTGAAAAATTATGTCTTGCCAAGCTCCCAGTTCTCTGGGTAGCAAAAGCTGTCTTTTGGGAGATACAAGATGCACTGCTCTGTGTGATATTAAACTCATCATTTTCAGCTTTGGAGGTGGAATACACAATGATTCAACAGGAGCCCTATAAAAGTCATCTTCACAATTTTATTTTCTTCAATTGTCTGTCTTTTCCTGTGAGCTTTTGATGAGCTGCACAGGAAAGGAGGAGGTAGAAAGATGATTTAAGAAATGTGTAAGGAAAGCTACAGCTTATATCTCTCGATGTCAGAGCTAGAGAGGCCCTTGGAAACCAGTTTCTCTGACCTTTCTCAGACCTGCTCTGAGTGGGGAGGTTGCTTGCTTAAGGTTGGCCAGCAAGTTAGTGAAGAAGCAAGAATTAGAACCTAGCTTTTCTTTTACTTTTAAATTTTTTTGAAAAAAATTAAATTTAAAAAACTTATTCATATAAATTTATGGGCGTACAAGTGTAATTTTGTTACATTTTTCTGATAACCATATAGGTGTGGCTTCCACTGTCCCATCCTGACACCTGGCAGCTGATGTGACTTCACTTTAAAGAACCAGCACCTGAATTATGTTGATTGATCATATAATCTGAAAGTCAAATGATATAAAATAATTTATAGTAAAAAAATCTCCCTTCTACCAGTCACCCAGTTTTGCTCCCCAGAGACAGCTAATGCTATCAGGCTTGCATATATCTTCCCAGAGACAGTTTGTGCATATACAAGTAAATATTTCCTCTCACACCCAAACCCCCTGCTCCAAACACACAAGTGGTAGCACCATAAACACACCATTCAGATCTGCTGTTCTCTGAATATATCTTGGAGGCGATTCTTTCTTAATAAATAAAAAGTTACCTCATTCTTTGTGACAGCCATATATAAACTAACTAGTTACTTATTGATAAACATTTAATGTATTTCCAATCTTTTCTTGTTACAAAGAATGTCTTAGTGATGAAATTTGTATATATATTATTTCACACATACACAATTGTATGTAAAATAAATTCCTGGCTGGGTGCAGTGGCTCATGCCTGTAATCCCAGCACTTTGGGAGGCAAAGGCAGGCAGATCACGAAGTCAGGAGTTCGAGACCATCCTGGCCAACACAGTGAAACCCCATCTCTACTAAAAATACAAAAAATTAGCTGGGCAGGGTGGTGGGTGCCTATAATCCCAGCTACTCAGGAGGCTGAGGCAGGAGACCCGCTTGAACCCAGGAGGTGGAGGGTGCAGTGAGCCGAGATCACGCCATTGCACTCCAGCCTGGGCGACAGTGCGAGACTCCGTCTCAAAAAAATAAATAAATAAATAAAATAAAATAATAAATTCCTAGAAGTGAAATTCCCAGATCCTATGTGCATTTGCATTTCTGATTTATATTGACAGACTGACCTTAGAAAGGCAGAACACCCCTAGCCTATTACCTTGACAATATAGGTGGAATAAAACTTTTTGATATTTGCCAATTTGATGGGTGAAAAGCAATATGTAAGATTAGTTTTAATCTGAATTTCTCTTAGTACTGTATAATTATCTTTTACTGTATAGTTAAGAATCTTTTCATATGTTTAAAGATGATTTGCAGCCGGGCATGGTGGCTCCCGCCTGTAATCCCAGCACTTTGGGAGGCTGAGGTGGGTGGATCACCTGAGGTAAGGAGTTCAAGACCAGCCTAGCCAACATGGTGAAACACCGTCTCTACTAAAAATACAAAAAAATTAGCTGTGGTGGTGGGCACCTGTAATCCTAGCTACTCGGGAGGCTGAGGCAGGAGAATTACTTGAACCCTGGGCGCAGATGTTGCAGTGAGCTGAGATCGCACCATTGCACTCTGGCCTGGGCAACAAGAGTGAAACTCCATCTCAATAAATAAATAAATAAATAATAAAATAAATCAATAAAAGTAATTTGCATTCTCTTTTCTAAGAACTCTGTTCATTTCCTTTGACCATTTAAAAAATCGGATTGTTGGGCTTTATTTCTTATTGACTTAGAGAAGCTATGTATTATAGAAATTAACCTTTATGTGTAATATAAAGATACTTTTGTCATTTGTCTTTCTATTTTACTTCTGTTCATGTATTTTTCATGTAGAAATTTTTAAATTTCTGATTTTTGACACAGTTTATCCATCTTTTCTTTTGTGGTTTCCTAGCTGAATTATTTTACTGTTGCTTCCATTTTATTATTTTGTTGTTTAGTTTTCAATGTTTTGTTTCAGTTTCAATTTATATGGTCATGGAATGTGAGGTAAGGGTTAAATTTCACTGTTTCAACACCATTTATTGAATTGTGCATCTCTTCCCCACTGACATTTCTATCCCCCTTGCCATTTGGTTGGGATCAAATGGAATGTGGGCAATGACAATAACTTCCAGACCTGCCCATAAAACTCCTCGTACACAATCACCCACATTCTCTCTTGCCCTTCTGCATGGGTAGCTACACGTAAAAAAATGATGATATCCTAAGAAGAAAGAAGCCTATATCCTCGACTCAACACTTAGAGGACAACAGCCAGGAGAGTCACCTGCTCCGCATCAGACTGATGTAAGAGAGAAGTGAATCTTCACTGAATTAAGCCACTGAAATTTGGGGATTGTTTATTATAGAAGCTAATATCATTCATCTTGACTAGTACAAAATCTCAATTCAAAAAGCCTTATTTTATCCCTCAGGCTGAGTTAACAGCCTCCTCTGCGCTCTTATAATTCAAGGTACAGATCTCTCTCATGGCACTTACTACATGAGATGATAATCTTTTATTTTCATTTCCCTCCAGAATGTGAGCTCTTTGAGGGCAAGGATCTTATATTGCTGATTTTTTTCAATCCACAGGACCAGAACACGGCCTGGTATATAGTAGGTCATCATTAAAGGTTTACAAAGGAATGAATAAGAAAATGAACTGAAGGAAGGATAAGTGAATTAATGAGTAAACAAATGCATCTTAAGTTGTTCCAACAGTAAAACCAGGTACTTTTCTGTGGCTGTGCCGGGCCAAGGGGTGTGTGTCACAAATGTAGGGCCCTGAATTACAATTTGGGAATGAGAATAGAAGGTGGGGGATGGGGAGAGCATCTCCGTTCTTTCCTTCCAAACTTAAGGACCTTAATTAAAACAGAATGATGAAGGGCTGTCCCCTTGCCAGCAGCCAGCAGCTCCTCTTGCAATCAGGGGCCTAAAGAGTAAATTAAAATCAGTGCCAATAAAATTAAAACTACTTTGGGGCATATTTGCAACATAATTTAGTGTGGAGTTTGCTTCCACCTAGACACCAGGGAGGAAATGGGTTTTCTTTCTCTATTCTGAGCTGCTACCCTGCTTCATCTCACTTGGCACAGGCCAAAACCTGAGCTTGGTGCTCTGATGTGGGGCCGTATCCTTCACATTTCGGCAGCACTTCGGAGTTTATCACAAATTCAGTTCAGTGAAGGAAGGACCATCCAGGGCAATCCAATCTAGGAAGGACAGAGGAGTTTTATCTCAGGTTTGGAGACGCCATGGGGAAGAAACTGAAGCTTAGGCAGGAATAACCGCAAGTTGAGCAGGGTGAGCTTTGTTATTATTTCTGTTTTACAGAGGAGGAAATGGAAGCTCAGAAAGCTCAAGTAACTTGCCCAGCATTACGCAGCAAGATGTGGCAGAGTCGGGACTGAAACCCAGGCCTCTGGCTATAAACTCTCCATGTCCTGTACCCTGCTGTCCTCACAGGAGCTTGCAGCCTAGCAAAGCAATTACTTGATTATAGTAAGGCAAGCCCCATGCAGGTTCCTTCAGCTCTGAGCTGAAGGATTGTGGGGATCTGTGACTGAGATTATTGTCCTTAGACTCTCAAAAAGGCATTGAGGTATGTGTGTGGGAGGAGCAAGAAGTGTTGGAGAACTCCCAGACACATTCCTCCTTCAGATTTACCCCAGGAAGATGTTTTCCCCTGGGACTGAGACAAAAAAGCCCCAAATCTATTCTTTTCATTATTAACTAAAATGTCTCCCTGTCTGTTTTTTAAGGAATGAAAGCTATTTCTGTGTTCTAAGGCAGGAAGGAAAAATTTTCAGAAAAATTGAGGACTCTTTCTTTAATATCAACCAAGCAAATCAAATAAACAAAATAATGCAAAGGTTCTTTATCATTCATACTGTATATTTATTTAAAAAATTTTTTTTGTAGAGACAAGGTTTGCTATATTGCCCAGTATAGTCTGGAACTCCTGGGCTCAAGCAATTCTCCTGCCTCAGGCTCCCAAAGTGCTGGGTTTATAGGTGTAAGTCACTGTGCCCAGCCCATAGCATATACATATATATATTTCTGAAGTGGCACAGTGAAGGCTTTCTTCCTCAGATATGTCCTGAACATGGCTGGGCAGAAATTCCTGCCACAAAAAAAGGGATATAATAAGTCAAGGGGACAAAGAAAGGAACAACCACGTAAGAAATCCAGACAGCCAGCTCAAGGAACCAAGGGGATGGGCCACGGGCACTTCACCTCCTGCCTCTCTCCATCCTACACTCTGGCCTTCTAGAACCGCCGTAACTTCCCAAGCACACTGGTGTTCTCGTACTCTGGGCTTTTGTGTCTATTCCTCCAGGTGAGAATGCTTATCCTCTTCCTTTCACCTTCTGGCAACATCTTGTTCACCTTTTACTGCTTATCCCAAATGGGCCCTTGACAGAGAGGTCTTCCTGGACGCTCTCAGGGATAGCAGCTCCCTTCCCTGGAATCTCACAGATTTAAAAAAAATATCCTTCTGTTAAGGTATTTATCATCTAGCTTATTCATTCATCCATTCATCTGGCAAATATCTACTGTGAACCTACTATGTTCCTGGTGCTATCATAGGACTTCAGGGTGAACAAAACAGATAAGATTCCTGCCTTTAAGTAGCTAACACCCAGGTGGGGTTTACAAACTATAAACATCAGATAAGCAAGGTAATTGCAGATTGTGAAACATGCTAGAAATGCACTAGGATAAATAACATGATGGTGAATAACACAGTGGATGGGGGGAAAGTCTACTTTAGGTAGTGTGATCAGGGAAGGCCTCTGACATTTGAATTAAGCCTCAAAAGATGATAAGAACCAGCCATTCAGCCAGGTGTGGTGGCATGCACCTGTCAAGCAAGAATACTCTTCCTGGCAAAATTGTCTTTCAAAAAGGAAATGGAGATAAAGATTTTCCTGTACAAACAGAAGAGAACAGGGAGAAGGAGAGGGAAAGGAAAGGGGAGAGGAGAGGAGGGGAGGGGAGGAGAGAGGAGGGAAGGGGAGGGGAGGGGAGGGGAGACAGAAAAGGAAAGAAAGAAAAGGAAGAAAGGGTGGAAGGAAGGAAGGGAAGAAAGAGAAAGAAAGAGAGAGAAAGAAAGAGAAAGAGAGAAAAAGAAAGGAAGGAAGGAAAGAAAAGAAAGGAGAAAGAAAGAAAAAAAGAAAGAGGGAGGGAGGGAAGGAGGAAGGAAGGAAGGAAGAAAAAGAAAAAGAAAGAAAGAGAGAAAGAAAGGGAGAAAAACCAGACATTCAAAGAAGTCAGCCAAAGAATCCTGGGCAAAACAAAGGCCCTAAAGCAAGGATGAGTGTATTGTTTTCAAAAACCAAAGGGAAGGCCAGTAGCCAGATTGTGACAAACACTGGAGCTAAGCCTGGACAGGTTTGCAGGGTCCAGATCACACAGGGCCTTGAAGGCCAGGGTTAGAATTTGGAGTTTATCCTATGTACAGTAGAAAGACATTTTAACAGGGGAATACTGAAAAACATACCTTGCCTATCATGTAGATAATGGATTTTAGGGGGGCATGAATGAGGCAGTTGAGACAGTTCCCCTAAGCAATCACAGTACAGTCATGCAACACTTACTGATGGAGATAAATTCTGAGAAATGCATCACTAGGTTATTTCATCATTGTGTGACCATCATAGAGTGTACTTACACTAACCTAGATGCTATAGCCTACTACACACCTAGGGTATATGGTTATAGCCTATGGCTCTTAGGTTACAAACCTGTACAGCATATGACTGTTTTAAAATAAATTTAATGAGGCCAGGCATGGTGGCTCACACCTGTAATCCCGGCACTTTAGGAGGCCAAGGCAGGCGGATCAATTGAGGTCAGGAATTCAAGACCAGCCTGACCTACATGGGGAACGCCTGTCTCTACTGAAAACATGAAAATTAGCTGGGCATAATGGTGCACACCTGTAATCTTAGCTACTCAGGAGGCTGAGGCAGGAGAATCACCTGAACCTGGAGGTGGAGGTTGCAGTGCATTGGCACAATCTCGGCTCACTGGGATTACAGGTGTCAGCCACCACGCCTGGCCTCATTAAATTTATTTTAAAACATTTTAGTTCTTCAATAATAAATCAACCTTAGCTTACTGGGACTTTTTTACTTTATAAACTTTTAATTTTTTAAACTTTTTGACTCTTGTAATAACACTTAGCTTAAAACACAAACACATTATACAGCTGCACAAAAATATTTTCTTCCTTTATTACTCCATAAGCTTTTTTTTCTAGTTATAAATTATGGGTTTTTTTAATTTTTAAACATTTTTTGTTGAAAACTAAGGCACAAACACAAACATGAGCCGAGAGCTACATAGGATCAAGATCATCAACATCGCTGTCTTCCACCTCCACATCTTATCACACTGGAAGGTCTTCAGGGACAATAACATGCATGAAGCTGTCATCTCCTATGATAACAATCCCTTCTCGTGGAACACTTCCTGAAGGACTTGTTGAGACTTTTTAGAGTTAACTTTTTGTTTTAAGTAGAAGTACACTCTAAAATAACAATAAAAAGTATAGTATAGAAAATACATAAACCAGTAACATAGTTACGTATTATTATTAAGTGTTATGTATTATACATAATTGCATTTCCACCTTTGTATATGACTGGCAGCACAGCAGGTTGGTTTACCCCAGCATCACTACAAACACGTGAATGAGTAATGCATTCCCCTAGGCCTTACAACAGCTGTGATGTCACCAGGTGACAGGAATTTTTCAAGTTCATCATAATCTTATGGGACCACCATTGTACATGTGGTCTGATGCTGAAATGTCATTATGCAGTGCTTAACTACAGCTTAAGTAAGAGAGGTGGTGGTAGAGGTGAGAAGGCATATTTAATAAATATTGTGGCCACATCTCCATAGAACCTGCACATAGATTACATGTGGGAAGAATCAAAGGTTTATGACTTGAACACTAAGTAGATGGTGGTTTCATGTACAGAAATGGAGAAGACTGGGTTGGAGCCCAGCTGGGATAGTGGTTAGGAAATTGAGAGTTCTGATAGGCTCTTCACAGTTTGAAATGACCACTGAATGCAAGACAGGAAGTGTCAAGTAGGCAGTTGAATTCATGAAAGAAGAACCCTGGGGGAGAGGACTGGACTGAAGGTATAAATATAGGAATCATTATCATTGAGGTGTGTGTAACACCTCTGGGAGAAAGCGTGGACCGAGAGGAGGTCCTGGGACTGAGTCTGGAGGCCTCTAAAGTTGAAAGTTTAGCTAAAAGAGAAGGAAAGGAGACCGTGGAGTGGTCAGAGAAGAAAGAAGGTGAAAGAATACAAGGAAAGTGTGGTTTTATGAAAACCATGAACAACAACAGAAAAAAAATTAAGAAGGAGGGTGTGGCCTGTGAATCCTTCGAAGCCTAGAACTGCATCTGGTTCACTTCCATATCCACAAGGTATATCATAGGGCCTGACACACAGTAAGTACTCAGGCAACAATTGCCAAGTGACTAAATGAATAAATAAATGAATGGGCCAGCTATCTTAGACTCAGAGAAAGGGGTATAGGGGTGTGGGAAGTTCCCAGGGCCTAGATCCTATCTGGAAGAGCTATGGGGGAGGATAATAATAACAACATAGCCCTTACTTTATGCCAGGGGCAGGCACTCATTAATCCTCCCACAACCTTATCAGATAGAAACATCATTTACAAACAAGAACACTCAGGAATAGGGTGGTTGTGTGGGAACCCGAGATCACACAGTGGTAACTGGCAGAGCCCAAGCAGTCTGGCTCTGCAATCCATGCACTTAAACATGACACCATAAAAGCTGTTGATATTTATGCAGTACTTCTTAAGTATGGTTCTGTAATTATAACAATCCTATAAGGGTAATAACATCATATAAGGAAACCAAGGCAAAGAGCTTGCAAGTGGTAGATCTTAGATTCAAAACCAAGTGTTTCTGACCTGGGGCTAAGCTCTATTCAGAATAGCCCAGCCCTGTATTTGTGGCCTCCTTGACCTCAGCAGAATATATTTCAGGATTATTCTGAGACTAATGCTTAGGTGTGGAGAAAATGCATCAGAAGCAGCAAGATGAGAAATAAAAACGTATTTTTTTTCTACTTCTAATTAGTCTCTTACAATCTGACTCTACTTGCACATAAATGGAGGCATTTCTGCATCTCCTAGAGATCCAGGAAGAGCCAGGTCTGGCCTGGCAGGAAGGAGCCTTCCTTTGCTTCCATTCCCTTTCTCCACGTCTATGCCTGGAAACAGAGAGAGATGAGAGGCTCAGCCCAGGAGGTTTGGGTTTATAATAGACCTTCCCAGGGCAAATGATGAACTCCTGACCTCTGCCTCCTGCTCCCTTCAGTGACTGGTGATAGCCATAATGACTATGATAATGATAATGGTGATAAAAGGGTACTCATGAGAGTAGTGTGGTTTGGGGGTCTGGTAGACTTGGCTTCAAGTGTTAGTTTCACCATGGTTGAGCTTTAAGACCTGTAGAATTCACTTTCCCTCCCTGAGTTTCAGTTTAATCACTTGAAATTTGAAGATAACAATCACAAATTCACACACTGTCATAGAGGTAAATGAAGTAACTGGCTTTGTGCCTACCAAAATGTGTGACAGCTTATACACTGTCAATATATTCTTTTGAATCACACAATGACACTATGTGTAGGTGCTGTGCTTGGCACTGGGGATATGGACCTCCTGGAGCTCAAAACCTTGTGAAGAAGAAAGACATTTTACAAGTAACTTTCTGTGCAATGAGGAATGTGAAGAAGTGCGAGTACTATGGTAGCATAGAGTTAAGAGGAGCTTGGGGACAAGCTTACATATATGTACATTTCTTCCTTGTTCAATATGAAATCTATTGACAATAACCACCATCTTGCACATTTATACAGTTATAAACCATTTTCACACCAATCATTTGATTCTTTCAACACTCCATGGAAGTAGATAGGATTATGATCTTAGTTTCTCAGAAGAAGCTCAGAGCCTGGCTTATCAAGATCTCACAACAAATTATGAGTTGAGATGGGATTCGAGCTTACATCTCACCACTCCAAAACCTCTGCTTGATCCTCAACTTGGGAAGTCATCCTATGTGCTCAGTTCTGTATTGAAAGTGCACACAGATACAAGTAGAAAAGCCAGGCCTTCCCTCAGAAAGCCCCAGTCTGAGCAGGAAAACAAGACAAAAAAATCAGGGAGCTCTCAACTAAGAAGAGGACTGAGATACAATTTTTAAGGCTGTGAGAGCTGAGGAACATTTTAATTTGATAATTAAAAGTTAATGTTGCTTCCTTATAAATCAAAGGCTGATAAAACTAGGGCACCCTCAGGCACATATTTAGGAACTCAGTAAATAGTTGTGGCCTGAATGCTTGGGGACACCTATCTCAGGAGATTGCTAGCTGGCTCATAGAGGTAATGATACATGTCTAACCACTCAGCTGCAGGGACAGGAGTCCTTGGTCTATGCCAGGATTTTTCTTCCTAGGAAACTCATCTTGGCTCTCTACTAAGCTGCTACGTGACCCTGGAGAAGTCCTTCTCTCTCTCTGGACTTCAATTTCCCCACTTAGAGGACGGATTCAGTGACTTCTCAGGGCTCTTTCCACCATTATATCCTGAGTCTTATATCCTTCCAAAATCTCATCTTCCTGCTTTGCAGTATTCCTGTTGTTGTTGTTTTCTCTTTCATTTGGCCTCTAATTGAGGACAGATCTTGTCAGTCTTTCTACCTTATCTCCTTCAAGACACAAGTGCAAGGTCATTTTCCTTGGCATGGCCCTGTGGGGAGAGCCTGCTGCGAGACAGCAGTTCAATCATTCCCCTACGCTAATGCAGTCTTTCCACTTGGCAGAGTGCACATCACTACTTTTCAAAGAAGTGTTCGAGGGTGCCAACATTCATGCTGAAATTATGTACTTTATCCTAGGGAAAAATAAAATGGTTCCTATCTGCTTTATTTGGTGTAGGCAGCTGGAAGAGCGAAAACAGGAAGAAGAAAGGTACAGGCAGGCACTTGGCATCTCTCCCTTCATTCTTTCTTCCTCTTTCTTCTCTAACTCTCTCATCTTGCCCCTTTTCTCTTCTCCCTCTTCATTCCTTTTCTTCTTCTGTTCCCCCTTTCCCACCTCTCTCTTTCTTCACTTTATAGTAGGGAAGGCAGACAAGGGAACAGTTTAAATGTACATATGCCTTTCAGGTGCTGTAAGAGACATAAGTGAAGACTGGGTGAAAGTATGGCTGAAGGAACCATTCAATTAGTGGTGGTCAGGAAAGACTTTACAGAGGAGGTGACTATTAAGCAAGGTCTTGACAGATGAGAAGGTGTTCACCAAGGGAATAAGGAAAGGACCCTCCAGTGGAGAGAAAGACAGTGTAGGCAGAGGGAGCCTGTGGGCAAAAGCCCCAAGCCTAAAACCACTAGCCCATTGAGGGAACAATACATTGGGGCCCAGCGCAGTGGCTCATGCCTGTAATCCCAGCTCTTTGGGAAGCTGAGGCAGGTGGATCATGAGGTCAGGAGGTCGAGACAATCCTGGTCAACATGGTGAAACCCTGGCTCTACTAAAAATACAAAAATTAGCTGAGTGTGGTAGTGCATGCCTGTAATCCCAGCTACTGGGAAGGCTGAGGCAGGAGAATTGCTTGAACCAGGGAGTCAAAGAATGCAGTGAGCCGAGATTGCGCCACAGCACTCCAGCCTCGCAACAGAGCAAGACTCCGTTTCAAAATAAAATAAATTAAAGTGTTTAGCACAGTTGAAGAGCAGGGGAGGGGACACAGAGGGGGGTGAGGAAACAGACTAGAGAGGCTTCCAAAGACCCTTACATGGAAGGCCTTGTAAGTCACTAAGGAGTCATGAATTTTCCCTATAAAACGGAAATAGAGAGCCACAGAAGTGTTTTATGAAATTATAACAGGATTACATTTACATTTTAGCAAGATTGTTCTGGAGGCTGTGACGAGAATTAGTGGTCATAAGACTCAAAGGCAGGTAGACTAGTTAGAACATTTTTGTTATAATCCAAGTGAGAACTAATTTAAAAATGATAAGGTCCTCAATTAAAGCAAGGGCTAGCTAGGACTGAGCGCGGTAGCTCATGCCTGTAATCCCAGCACTTTGGGAGACCGAGGTAGGTGGATCACCTGAGGTCAGGAGTTTGAGACCAGCCTGGGCAAAACACTGTCTCTACTAAGAAAAACAACAAAACAACAACAACAACAACAACAACAAAAACCAAAAATTAGCTGGGCATGGTGGCACGCCTGTAATCTCAGCAACCTGGGAGGCTGAGGCACGAGAATTGCTTGAACCCAGGAGACGGAGGTTGCAGTGAGCCGAGTTGGCACCACCGCACTACAGCCTGGGCTACGGAGCGAGACTTCATCTCAAAACAAAACAAAACAAAACAAAACAAAACAAAACACAAAGCAAGGCCTGGGAGGATGTGAAGAAGCATCCAAACATGAGACCCACTACAAAGCAAGATTGACAGTTTGCAATATGGGACCTAAGTTTGGACTGATTCCCAGGTTTCTGGATTGAGGGGGGGCATCCACTGAGATTGGAGATGTCACCATCTTATAAGTTTGAGCTGTATGTTTGCCTCCTTGGTACGTGTTCCCAGTTAGAGTGAGATGCTATCAGATGTGCTATGGTTATGATATTTTGATCCAAACAAGTTGATTTTTTCTAAATATGGCTATTTGAATGAAAAGAACGTTTCCCCCATGTAATCATGTGTTTTCCGTATAAATAGAACTCTTTATTAATATAAATTAAGCATAAGTGACTACAGAGGAGGTCTACCAAAAAAAAAAGTTAAGTATAAGCATTGCACACTTTTGTTAGGATACAGAATCAAAGGTTTTTTTTTAAAAAAAATTCAAACACTTACATACACATAATCAAATACTTAGGCCCTCTATTACAATGTAAATGGGATACTGGCGGGCTTTTCTGTAGCTATTGCTCTGCTATAGACATTCACTCCCTCCAAAGAGAGGACTTTTGATTTTTATGAACTGCTTCACTTAGCCAGAAAGCAGCAAGGAGTGAGGGAGTGGTTGTGAGAGTTAAGCAAGGGTTGGACAAGGAGGTGTGGGTAACAAACAAGCTTTATGTCTTGGATTGAAGGGAAGTCCCACAACAATGCAAGCCCCTTCATCCATATCTACATAAAAACCTTCATCAAAATTAGACAGAATGAATTTGTGTCTTTTCTGGCTCTTTGAATTGTTTGGAGTTTTGCTCTCCTAGCCCCTTTCCTTTGACACATGAAATACTATCAACAACCTACACAACTTGTTTATAGTCATTATCTCATTCTTAATGTACCTGTTTTACAGATGAATGCATTGCTTAAGTTTACACAGCTAGTAAGCGTCAGAGCCAAGGATAAAATCTAGATCTATCCATAATACAAGTTCTTACCACTCTATCACTCTGTCTTGATTCCTTTATCTTTGGGTTTGTCATGGGGAGCCAAGAGCATGAATTATTGGTAGGCAAGGAATATATTTTCCACATGTGAATATCAGGTCCTCAAGAATCTGCCTTCGTCCCCAACCTCATTTCCTACTCTCTGCTGATAGGCAATCTATGCTTTCTCCATGCCAAATTGAGAGCTTCCAGACTGTGTGATGCTCCTCTGTGCCCTCCAAGGCTTTGCTCATTTTGTTCCCTCAGGCAGGAACACCTTGCCCTGCCCAGCCTTCCTCCAGGACCCAATATAAGCATCCCTTCCTCTAAAGGCTTCCCTACGCCATGTCCTTCTTCACGTCTATTGTCACTCAACCCTTCTTTTTTATTGTACCTATTTCACTGTTTCATTATTATTGCTTTGTGTCTCTATTTCTCCCACTGGACCAAGCACTCCTCAGGACCTGAAATCACATTGTCTTCATTTTAATAGGTCCAACATCTAGCGCAGTGTCTGGCACATAGTAGGTGCTAAGGAAATCCTTATTGAATGAATAGATGGATGAACTAATGATGGAGAAGATATTATCTTTGAGCAGAGACTCTCTCCATCCTTTATCTTCTCTGAGAAATGCTATTGTTTAACAGGGAGAGAGAAAGGCAGACCTCAAAGTGATACAACGGGTAAAAAATTCTTCCCTATTCTCTGGGTTCTTTCTCTTTTTTTCTTCTTCTTGCTATTGGAACAAAAATAAAGAGTACATCATAAGCAAAGCTGTATTTTCTGTTTATTGCCACCAGGTTAATAACAGTAATGGTGTGAGAAGAAAATGAGGTGTTACGTAAAACCCCGCATTGCAGATTTTGCTGCTGATGTAAAGAACTCAATAAAGTGTAACACTTTAATCATGGAGATAAAAATCACACAGCAACTTCCCACAGGCTTTCAGAGCCTTAAGACAAAATAGTTGTGGGGAAATGAGAGATGAGAGAAGAATATTATCAGGCATCAGAAAAGTTGTGCTTGGGCTTTTTTTTTTTCCTTCTCTAAAAAATGGAATAAGCTTTTTATATCTACTTCCAAGACACCTTGCATGAATTTCTGTATTCTCTGGAGGACATGCTCAAACTTCTGGAGGAGGATTTGCTCATTCTTTGTAAAAATGGATTTGTTTACAGAGAACTAAAATTCCTGTCTCTTAGTTGACTTCATGGCATTTTAGGAAAACAGAGGCAGTCTCTAAAAATGAAAGAAGGATTTAGATGGAGGTAAAGAGGCTGGTGATAATAAAGTCTCGGTTTCTATGATGGTCTGGAATTCAGGAAAAACATCATAGTAGAAGATGGGAACTCTTGTGCCAACTCTGACACTTTGGAGAAATCACCTTCTTGCCTCTGTTCCTCAGTTTCATCATTCTTCAAAAAAGGATCTCCAAAGGGATGCACTACATGATCTCCAAAGGGATTCCAGATCTGACACTCCATAGTCTGTGAGGCTCCCAGCAAGAAGGCCAGTTGGTGGTTTAGCTCTTGGCATTTGCTGTTGTGGTTCTGGACTACTGCAGTAGGCTCCCAGCTGGCCTCTCTGTTTCTACTCAAAATACCTCCTTCCTTTCCCCATCACCTAAATCCATTTTCCATCCTGCAGCCAGAGTGATCTATGAATAACAAGAGGAAACTATGCATACACCCTGGAAACTATATGTGCACTGCTGTAAGATGGCACGAGGAGGGGTCATGCAGAGAAGGGGTCTAAGATTAGAGATCTGGGCTCAAACACTGAACTGTCTGTGTGACTTTAAAGGAGTTACTTTATGTCTCCAATTCTCAGTTTCTTTACCAGTCAAAAGAAGGTTACAATGAGATCACTCATGTCACCAAGCTGACATGGGTTAAATGAGCTAGTGCATGTCCAAGTGCCTGAAACATAGGAGGTGTTCAGTAATCTTTTTCATACCATAATAATTATTTCAGGTGTAATTAAAAATGAGGGCATATTCTAGGGCTGTGCTGTATAAGTAGTCATTTGTGACTACTTAAATTTAAATTAATTAAAATTAACTTAAAAAATATAGTTCCTTTGTCCTACTAGCCACATTGTAGGTGCTCAACAGCCACTGTGATAGACAACGCAAAGGAAATCTAACACCATCATAGAAAGTCTATTGAGCAGGCCAGGTGCGGTAGTTCACTCCTGTAATCCCAGCACTTTGGGAGGCTGAGGCGGGCGGATCACCTGAGTTCAGGAGTTCAAAACCATCCTGCCCATCATGATGAAATCCCATTTCTACTAAATATACAAAAATTAGCCAGGTGTGGTGGTGTGCGCCTGTAATCCCAGCTCCTCAGGAGGCTGAGGCAGGAGAATCGCTTGAATCCAGGAAGCAGAGGTTGTGGTGAGCTGAGATTGCGCCATTGCACTCCAGCCTGGGTGACAAGTGCAAGACTCCATCCCCCCACCCCCAGAAAAAAAGAGAAAGTCTGTTGAACGGCACCATTCTAGTATCTTAGCCATCATAAACAGTGGATTCAAATGTAAAGCATATATCCATATACAACTATGCTTACACAAACACATCTACTTTTATACACACAAACTCACACTTGCATACAAAACCACAAAACAGGGTGTTAAGGAAAAATAATCTAAGTCCTGACTCCGAGTCAATCCATCAAGCATACAAAAAATCAGGTCCTGTGTAAAACAGCTCACATTGGACATCATTTAATCCTTATGACAACTTTAGTAGGAGGTATTATCCTCATTTTGCTGATTCTGACATTGAAACTCAGAGTGGTTGAATAACTTGATTGAAGTCACAAAGCTTCTAAGTGGCAGAACAGGACTTATTCCCCACGATAAAATACTGCTTCTGAAGGGGCATTTCAGAAGACAAGGGGCTCAGAGGACAAAGTCATCACAAACTCTTTACAATCTTTGTTCAAGATGCCAATGATTGGAACTGCCTGGGGACTATCTGGCAGTCCCAGGTTAGTCACAGAGCCTATAGAATTCAGTGAAATTGACTCTAATTCTAGGTTGAAAGCTTTCAATCTAGTTTTCTTGGCTTATGGAGTGTGGCAGTGTCAGAGCTATGTGAGATTCAAGTCTTCAGAAGAGGCCTGGGAGCACATGAGAAAGGTGAAGAAGGTAATAAAACTGTAAAGAAGAAGGGATCTTCTAAGCCATCTAGAGACGTGTTCTTTTCACAACTTATTTTTCCTCTCTTATTTTAAAGACATGGGCTGTCAAAAATTGCATGGTGAGGGGTGGTCTATGGTGGAGAGGAGATTGCATGTGAGGATTATGGTAACTTGAATGGCTCTATGTCAGTAACTGCCTGTGAATACAGACAAGAACAGCTAATGAGTCAGAGAAGTGGATGGATGGATGGATGGATGGATGGATAGATGGATGGATGGACGGATGGATAGATGGATGGATGGACAAGACAGGCAACTGGACATATAAGCAGTAAGTTAGAAACACATAACAGAGTTAGAAACACATAACAGAGGCTTCTATTCTAGCTTTTTGTGTACTTCTGCTACACTCTGATCCTCTAGAAGGCTGGTATTGTTTCTGATTTATTATAAACTCCCTCTTTCACCAGATATAGCATGATATCCAGCCTAGAGTCAGCACTAAAAGAAAGTTTGTTGAAAAAAAACCAAACACCCGAGAGATCAATAGCTAGATAACAATAATCCTTCACATTTGTATGGTACTTTGTAATATATAAAAAGATTTGCATGCAATATAACACTTAATCCCAAACCTAACCTTTTGAGGTTGGCGTTATGATCCTCATTTTATTGATGAGGGACCCTTGGCTCAGTGTGGTGAAGTGACTTGCCTAGGGTTACGTAGGGAAGCCAAGGGATCAGATAAATAGGCCAGATAGAGGCTGATAACCAGGCAGACACAGGCAGACAAGACAGAGGAGGCCAAGATGTGGATAAATGACGGAGACAAATGGAGATGGATGGATACATGCTGAGAGAGCCTCTAATCTCTTCTCATTCAATCCATCCTCTATGCATGGCTGGAAATAAATTTCCGAAGCACAAATCTGAGCATGCCACTCCTCCACTTAACAAACTTCTGTTACTCTCCTGAAGCCTGAAGGATAATGCTCTACCACAAAAAGCCTTCATGATCTGGCCCTACCCACTTCTCTAGCTTTATGTCTTACCACTTTTCTATAATGTTTTTCACTCCAGTCATAGGACTCTCTTTAATTCCCAAGAAAGTCATGCCATCTTTTTGTTTTGAGACACATGGTCTCACTCTCTTGCCAAGGCTGGAGTGCAGGGGAACCATCACAGCTCACTGCAGCCTTGACCTCCTGGGCTCAAACAATCCTCCCACCTCAGCCTTATAAGTAGCTTGGACCTATAGGCACATGCCACCGCACCCAGATAATTTTTGTATTTTTTGTACAGATAGGGTATTGCTATGTTGCCTAGGCTGGTCTTGAACTCCTAGCCTCAAGAGATCCTCCCACCTCAGCCTCCCAAAGTGCTGGGATTACAGACATGAGCCACCATGCTTGGTTGCCATTTTCATTACTTCATGTTTATTTCATGATCTTCTCCATACCTAAAATTCTCTCCCCACTGCATGCGGATGTCTGGCCAACTCCTATTTATCCTTTAAGACTCAATACTGGCGTCGCTTCCTTTCAGAAGCCTTTCCTGACCATTGTCCTAGATTTGGTTCATTTTCTGTCCTCCGAGGTCACCCTCTTCTTTATTATAAGAGCCCATAGGATGGGAATAGGAAGAACGCAGACCTTGAAATAAAAGAGAACTGGACTTGAACCCTGTTCCCCCACTTACTAGCTGCATCATTTGGGGCAAGCATTCACCCTCTAAGACTTGGTTTCTTCATCTCTGAAATAAACCTGATAATATCTGCTCCAGAATTGTGTCTGGATTAGAGATAATGTAAAAACAATAAAAAATAAAAAGAGCACGTGCCTAGTGGAGAAGCTGCTGCTGCTGCTGTAGCCTGACTACGTTGTACCACAATAATCCAATATTGGCTTTGTCTCTCCCATTGGACAGTGAGCTGCCTGAGGATGGAAGCTGTGTCTAACTCTGCATCCCCAGTGCTCAGTGCCTAACACATGACCGGGGCTTGCTGCATGCCAGTATGAATTATCCCAGCTACCCACACTGGGCTACTGGTTAGGATGCATTTTTCAGGCACTAGACAGTAGAGACTACAGTCATACCACAGAATCACTGCCAGGTTGGTGGGGGGCATTGAGGAAGTAGGGCAGTGGGTGCATCCCTAAAGGTGAGAATGAAGAAATGGATGACTGAAACCTGTTTTACAATGTAAGATTCAAATAATTTGTATAAATTCTGAAGATAAAAGATGATATTTAAATAAATGTTGTTAAGGGGCCACTTTGTCCCCTCCCCTGAAAACCTCCAGAATTGCTATGTTCCATCTTCCTTGTCATTATGCACATTTAGATGGAAAGGTCTGATATTCAGTGCCTAAGATATTCTATGTATTTTCTTTCACTTTCCAAGCTTCCTTCATTTCCCTCTAACTTTTACTTTCCCAGTGGAATCACAGATTCCTTGTAATTTTCCTCCTGCACTCTCCCTCTTCCCACACTCCCTGTCTCCTGCACCTCAGGAAACCAGCTTCTGATGAATGAGGAGTCTCTCCCTCCTCCTTCCACACACACACAGCCTGGAAGAAGGGGGGCATCAAATACAACTGAACAGCATTCAATATGGTTGAGGACAAAAAACCATCAAAATACAGAAGGGCAGGGGCTGGCAGCTGGGTCCTGAGCCAGTAATATTTATTCTCCTCCCTGACTGCCAGGGCAGGGCCTTCTAGGGTCATTAACACCCACTACAGGCTGGGCCAGAGCCTTCATTGAGATTCTGCTCACAGCTAAAGCCATTTCTAAGCCTGCCCAGCTCTGTCAGCTGCCCTGATATCTGTTTGTGAAAAACGGATAGGCCGCCCAGCCCTCTGGCAGCCTGACAAATGGATTAGAAGCAGGCTTGAGGCTTCCTGGCAGAGGCCCACACCTCTGTGCTTCAATGAAGGGTGGGAGAGAAAGGTATTTTCCTGTCAGATGGCCTGACTTCCCAGGCAGGGAGTATGGAGAGCAGGAAAGAGTAAGTGGAGGGAGAAAGACTCTTCGGGGAGGGTCATGGCCTGAGCCAATGCTGATCTTGCCCTGAGGGCAGAGAGATGTCAGGACCCAGTACACTCCCTGGGTACAAGAGCTGCCTGTAGGACTGCAGGGACAATTACTTTTATTTTTTTCTTCATCCTTAAAATGGGGATAATAATATCTACTTTGCAGTGGTGAGAACTGAGTTAATACAAATAAAGGACTTTTAAAAATAGTACCCGGCTAGCTGTTAGAACTCAGCAATTCTTACCATAGAATGAGAATGTCGGGCATCTCATTTAATTTTCACATAAGCCAGAGTTTTGGCCATTATCCTCATTTTAAAGATCAAGTTTCAGAGGGGCTACCTCACTTGCCCAAGATCACACAGCTGAGTAAGAGAGAGAAAGGATTTAAAATAAATCTATGTGACTGCAAAGCATATGCCTTTAACCACCAGGCAACACTATATATAAGCACTTTGTGTGCCGCTTCGGATCTGTGTGAGACTATCCCTATGGGTTTTAAGAAAATAAGATTTTTAAAGCTCCCTAGTCTGAAACAAACAAACAAAAACTCAAGATAAAAATCAATCCATTTATTTTTAAAGTTCAAATCCTGCCACATTTCATAATGAGAAAAGGAACATAAACAGCTAGGCTCAGACACAAGGAGCTCTTCTGGCCCTAGGAAGTGGAGGAGAGGGAGGAAGTGGGAGCTGCATATAATGCAAACCTGCACAGGCAGTACTGAGGAGCAGTCACTGGCTTTTCTAACTGCCAGTGCGGCCAGGGGCCTGCTGCCAGAGTGTGCTCAATACTTTGTGGGAATCAACTGCCTGGTTGGACAGAATATAACCACATTTATTAATTCATTCAACAAATATTTACTAAGTACCTACCATGTTCCAGATCTTACGCTAGGTGCTGGTATCAAAGAAATTAATAAGCCCAATTCTTACGTCAGAGGAGTTTACACCCTTGGTGAGGATACAGGCAGAAATCAAACAACTCCCATTCAGAGTGATTGATCAGTAAGTGCAGTGATAGAGACCAGCACAAGGGGTTGGAAAGTTCAGGGGAAGGAAAACTGGATGGCTGGGGCAGAGAAGGCATCCTGAAGAAGTGCTGTCTACATGAATGGTTCAGAATCCATTGCAGTTATAGAGATGAAGGTCAAGAAAGGCAGGGAGGCTTCTTTCTACAGTCTTACAGCCAAGGCCTGGACATTGTCTCAGTACAAAGATCAAAGTTAAACAAATCTCTTGAAATCCTACAGCCCAGAAACAATGACCATTAACAATATCTTGCACCTACAGACAGATTTTAGTATAGCTGGTTGGCAGAATAGATGGCTAAATAAAAGTGCTTTTAAAAAACAGAAATACACTATAAATATTTGTATTAAAAGAGGTGTTGAATTCAGTTTTTCTTAAGTTTAAAAGAACTTAAATGAATTACATCTTTAAAAAATGTTTTCTCACAAGAGACTTTTTTTTCCCCTAAAAGATATTTCTAGGGTTAAAAACAAAATGAGGGCCAGGCACGATGGCTCACGCCTGTAATCCCAGCACTTTGGGAGGCCAAGGCGGGCGGATCACCTGAGGTCAGGAGTTCAAGACCAGCCTGACCAACGTGGCAAAACCCCATCTCTACTAAAAATACAAAAATTAAGCAGGCAAGGTGGTGGGCACCTGTAGTCCCAGCTACTCGGGAGGCTGAGGCAGGAGAATTTCTTGAACTAAGGAGGCGGAGGTTGCAGTGAACCGAGATTGCACCATTGGACTCCAGCCTGGGCGAGAGAGCAATACTCCGCCTCAAAAAAAAAAGAGAGATTATGAGACACTTTAAGAGGTATGTGTGTTTTTTAAAACTATAGTTTGAATTTTTGAAGAAAAATGAAGAAATGAGAGAGGTTAAATAACTTACCTAAGATCACACAGCTAGTCTGTGGTGCAACTGGAATTTGAACTTAGATATATCTAATTTTTTCAGAATATTAATTTGCTTCCCTAAAGAGGCAAAGTTTCTCATTTTAAACAATCAGAAACTGGGGTCCAACGAGGGCAAATGATTTCCCTAAACTCATATTCTGATTCAGCAATAAAGTAATTTTGGTTGATTAGATCATTGTTCCTAACTATTCTTCCCTCCCTGTAATAAGAAATCTCCTATTGTCATTTTTGTTTGCCTAAGAATCTAAGAAGAGTATATATACCCACCATCTCACTGACTTTGGCCTTGGCTTGAGGACACGCTTTGGCTAACGGAATGTGAGCAGTCATGATATTTGCCATCTCTGTGTGGAAGCTTTAAATGAGATTGTGTTCCTGTTCTCTGCCATAAAACAGCAGGTCCCAGATAGGGGTGACACCTTTAGCCTGGGCCCTAGATGAGGGATACATACAGCTGAGCACAGCCAGCAGAGCTGTGGCTGGCTCACTTACAGCCCTTATAGAGCATGGACATGAAATAAATGTTTGCTGTGGTAACCTACCAAGATATTGGGGTTGTATTCACAGCGAAAGCTAACCACAATAATACAGCACAGTTTCGTGCAGAAATGTATTCTTCATTTTTCCCATTCTCAAGGTTGCCTCCAGTTGTGCAATAATTATGAGTTAAGGCCATGAGATAAATGGCTGTGTTAGTGGGCATTTTAATTTTAACTACTAAATACATAAGAAATAATTAGAGAAAGAGTTGGAAAGCATAAGGCACAAGAGGAAAAACCAGGTGTCAAAGGTTTAGATTTCCAAGGTCACCCTCTGATGAAAAGAAAACTGGTAGAAACCCACTTTGTTGACAGAGAAACAAGGGTGAGTCAAAGAATTGAGGTTTATTTCTTATTCTTCTGCTGCACACAGAACTGTTGGCATCAACTAAAATACACATTCACCCAGAAGCACCTTGTTCAGAAATGGAAGATGCTAAGGAAAAAAAAGGTAATAAATGCCAAATGAATCTCTGCCACCAAATCACCAATGACCTTGGGGAAGTCATTTTCCTTCTAGCATAAGTTTTCTCATTTGTAAAATGAAGAGGCTGAGCAAGAATCTCTCACTTTCCTTCTGGCTCCAAGGGTCTGTGATTTGATTGCATCTAACTCATTAATCCTAACTAACTTGAATAGGACCCAGTAGTATTGAGGCTGATCATAGGAATACATCAAAGTGTAGCCCAAAGAAGGTGATCTTGAGAATCAAATGAGGATAATCTAGAGAAGGTGCCTGCACACTGCAAAGGGCTCTCTTGTCGCTTTTCCATTGAAAAGATGTGGGCAAATATGCCCCTTATCCCCCAGTTTGCATTACCCTTGCAGCCTTCCCCCTCACTTTTAACATCCAGCAGTCTTTTAGGTTGTTCTATCTACCTCACCTTCTTAACCCAACAAAACTACATTCTCCTCTCAGCAAAAGAGAAAAATAACTCTAAAACAAAGAAATATGTGATTATAATACAAGAGACATACAAACAAAGTATGGGGGGAGGGTAAAGAAGGAGAGAAGAAATCAAGACTTCAGAGTTCAATAGATCTAGGTTGGATTCCCAATGTCTCTTATTGTTCATATATAAAATGGGGATGATATGGTTATTCTTAGAAAATAAATGATATACAAAATGTATAAGCCTATACTATGTGCTCATTTACAGCTGTGACAATGACAGAAGGCTTTCTGGAAGCAATGGCATGAACATCTGAAGGCCATATGGAATTCTGAGGGCTAGAGAATAAGAGGGGAGGGGTAAAAGTCCAATCAGAGGGGAGTTTGTGGGGGTGCAAGTGCAGGGATGGGTAGGAATGCAACAGGAGTGGCAATATGAATGTGGGCAGGCCAGAAGTCCTTCTGGGAGAGGAACAGGCATATTAGGATAAAAGTAAAGGTTTTAAGCAAAGGAATGTAGAGAGATGAGTCTGAATCTTTGAATACCAAACTGGGAAGTCTTACCCCTGTATGACTGGGAAGCCCTGAAAGCCTTTAGGCAATTATGCTTTAAAAAGTTGTGGCTGTGCTGGTGCATCTTGGGAAGGAAGCTGCATCTTACCAAGATGTAGGGAGGGAAAGGAGATAGCCTCCTCCCCATAGGAGAGTAGTTGTTGCACCTGCCTGAGATAGAAATCTGAGCTACAGGGGAAACACCAGATTGAAACTTGAATTAAAACAGATGTGATCTCAGTATAAAAAGTTCTTCAAAACCTTAAAAGTTCAGTTTTCTTCCCTTTAATCTCTTAAGAGAATCACTGCTTTTAAACCCAAGAAAGTAAAATTTCCAGGTAAGAAAATGAACCCAGAACTCTATTTGCTGACCAGATCTGAGTAAGATTGCTTTTCCTATTTGCATTTATTTCAACAATCTTAAATCTTACATCCTCGGTAGTTCTACCCTGGACCCAAAAGTTTGCTTCTGCCATCGGTTACACCGTTGCTACTCAAAATGGGGTCTCAGTTTGTTTGTGCTGCTATGATAAAATACCTGAGGCTGGGTGATTTATAAATAATATAAATTTATTTCTCACAGTTCTTGAGGTGGGAAGTCCAAGATCAAGGCACCAGCAGTTCAGTGTCTGGTGAGGACCTGGCATTTGCTTCCATGATGGGGCCTTGAAAGGTGTGTTCTCACATGGTGGAAGTAATGAAAGGGTGAAAGGGCAAAATGTTCTTGCTAGTTCCCTTTTATAAAGCACTGACCCCATCCATGAGGGAGGGGCCCTCATGATCTGATCACCTCCTAAAGGGCCCACCTCTCAATACAATTGCACTGGGGATTCAGTTTCAGCATATGGATTTTGGAGGGGCACATACGTTCAAATCATAGCAGGGTACTTGAACTGGCAATATCAGCATGCCCTGGCAGCTTGTCAGAAATGCAGATTCTCAGAACCTCACTCCAGACCTACTGATCAGAACTTGAATTTTAATAAGATATCCAAGTGTTTCCTGTGCATTAAAATTTGAGACGCACCAGGTTACACCATGCCCTCAGATTCCAGGAGGCCTCTACAACCAGAGACGTTCAGAGCTCGTATAACCTCTCCATTGAACAAATGAGAAACTGAGATCCAGAGTGAGAAAAGAACAGGGTTTTCTAAGGTTATACAACCAGTAAGCATAATTGGTACAGAATAGTTCATAATAGTAAAGTACAATTCTCTATAGCTAGCTGGAGATGAAGCACAGCGCACTGCAAGCCACCCTGATTCTGGAGTCAACTCTATGTATAAGGTTTACAACCCAATTGGGCCAAATTACTTCATCCCCCGAGCTTCATATTCCTCTTTTGAAAAAATGGGAAAAATAAGACTACTTTGATAAAGGTGTGAGCATTAAGTGAGATAATGTGTGTGAAATCCTTACCATGGTCTGGGTGCTCTGTCCCTAGTAATTACTGTCTAATTACCAGAGATGGGAGTAGAACCCAAAGCTTCAGAATCCTTAGTGTCTTTTCTCCTTCACAAAAGTCATAACCCAAGTCCTACTACAGGGCATAGTTTCCAACTTTAAAGGAGGCCTTTGCCTCTGCAGGATAAACAGCTCCTCTACATGCTCCCTGGGTCCTTCGTTCTTTCCTCTTGTGGCATTTAGACACACCTCCAACGGCTGGTTTCTTTTCTGCCTTTCCCACTAGAGTGAGTGTTGCTTCAGAGCAGGGACCATTTCTTTTATCTCTCTACCCCCAAAGCACATCATAGTAGATGTGTTGGCAGATGGAAGGAGTGAGGGATGGGGAGAGAGAAGAAAGAAAGGAAGAAAGGAGGGAGAAAAGGAGGGAGGGGGGAGCTGAGAAGATGCTGAGTGTTAGAAAGCAACCATTGCACAGCATGATGGATTCATTCAAAGAAATAGCTTGACAGAAGAGAATTCATCTTTTTATGACTGTGACAACACTAATATATTTATTTCCCTTCTGAAATTAACTTTCTAATATTAAAAAAGGTCAAAATGAACCGCAGCAAAATGAGACATTTTGTCATTTTTAACAAATTATACCAAAGCAGACTGTCAGATTAAAGGGGTCACTGTTTTGAGGTCTAAACACTGGTGCTGATTGCATAATCAGAGCTAATGCTTGTCAGTCTGCCCTTTTCCTGCCCACAAACCTCTAACAGTTGCCTTTGGCCAAAATGATGAAATTCAAATCTCTCAGTCTGGTATTCTGAGGTCCTTTAGAATCTGACCACTTTTCTTTTTTTAATCCATTCCTTCCCCAAAGGGACTCTCTAAACTATGCAGACCCGCCTCCTTCCTGCTATTCTCTTCCTACGTGCTTCTGTTCATGTGATGGCTCTTGTTTTAACTGCATCCCTCCTACCATATGCCCATGGGGATTCTCTCTACCTTTTTTCTGTCCTACGGGCTGGCCGTTGTTTCTCAGAATTTGACTTACTGTGGCCTTCCGTCTGCCACTTCTGCCTTGGGGCGGCCCTTGGGCCGGCCATGACCATGGCTTGGACCCTTGAGTACCCTCTGCTTCTCTTACACCTTGCTCTGCTCTACCCTTCATTCCCTCAGAGACATCTGGGAAAGGTATGGTGGTCTGAGAGGGGACCCGAGTCCAGGTGCTTTTTTAAAAAGGTAAAAGAGGGAAAAGCAAGAGATGAGACTCTACCTTGCCACTCCTGTTCCTCTCTGCCTCTGACTTATCAGTGGGTGTGCTCACCTCTGGGCCACCTAGAGTCAGAAGAACCGAGATTCAATACTGACTCTGTCTCTTGGGAAAGTTACTTAATAACTTTAGGTCTTAGTTTCCCCATCTGTAAAACAAAACAATAGGCCAGCCATGGTAGCTCACACCTGTAATCCTAGCACTTTGGAAGGCTGAGATGGGAAGATCGCTTGAGCTTAGGAGTTTGAGACCAGCCCAGGCAAGATAGTGGGACCTTGTCTCTTAAAACAAAACGAAACAAAACAATAATCCCTGTCTCACAACGTTGCAATAAAGGGTCAAGTGAATGCTTGTATGTGAATGTGCTCTGAAAACTATACATCTCTGTGACAAATTAGTGAAAATAGTTATGACAAGACCCACGTGCTAGTGATTCATCCCCGGGGCCTGGAGTGCATGTGCTCCAAGTTTGGTAGAAATCCTGGGAACCTGAGTTTGATTAACAATTCTATAGTACTACAGTCCCACTGTGTGACCTGGAGCAAGCCATTGCCCTGCCCTGGGCTGAAGTGTTCTCTCTATATGAAGGGTTAGTTTGGAGCACCTCTTTAGTTCATCCAGCTCTGAAGTTTTCTGGCTCCACATAGGGCAAAATGATCTCTGAGATCCTAGAAGGCCAGAATTACATTATTAATCCAAGGTCAAAAGTAGCCAAGTTGGGGATGTGTACATCCTCAGGCTATGGCAACAACCTGTGGAGGAACAGGAGACATCCTAAGGTCAAAACCTCTTGCCTGTGTTAGTATTAGCCAGCCCCTCTTAAGATCCCAGATCCTAATTTACCTAGCATGCTCAATCTTTGGAGTTCATTCTGGACTTTTCGAACCAACGTTTCTTACAGTGGTCGGGGGAGGAGTGGGGTGCCCAAGGTAATGGAATAAATCTATTTATAATATCATGTTAACCAAAAGATAATGGGGGTAATTCTGAATTTTTGTGCTTAAAAGATGTCATTATACCAAGAAAAAAAAAAACGGGAAATCAATAGAATTTCTCCTTTCTAGGTTGGCTGCTTCCATGCATTTTAAAGCTAAAACAAGAGACTCTGAGAAACAAGGGGCCTCTGGCTGCTGCTGGGCCCCTGGTGAGCATGCCCACCCTGCTCTGCACTAGGGTCGTGGGCCTTGGGATCAGGCAGATCTGGCTTCCACTTCAAGTCCTTTGACTACCAGTTGTGTGACCTTGCAGGTTTCAACTGCTTTTCATTTGTTCTGCCATTCATCTGGCATTTTACTGATGTATTAGGCGCTATGCTCTGTGCAAGAGAGTGCAGAGGTGACGGAAACAAGAGTTTCATCCCTCAGGGAGTCCACATTTGAGGAGAGAAAACAAGCACGTAAACAGATTAGTGTGGTGTGGAGTCATAAATGTGTGCAGCAGGAGAGATTACGGTTAGGGGAGGGACATTCACGCCGAGCCTTAGTTTTCTCACCTTAGAAATGGGGATAATAATGCTCATTTCTAGAGGTTGTTATATGGACTAGATGAAACAGTGCCTGGCACTTAATGGATGCTTAACAAATATCAGCATTTTCCCCCTTCCGCTCTGCAGGGTCCTGAAGCCCTGCTTTCATTCACCCCACCCATGCCAGGAGGCCGAGTCACATAGCAAAGATGACTAATAAAGATTCGCCTTAGCAGTTGGAGGCTTTTTCAAGGTTATAGCCTGGAGCTAAACTCTAAGAGGAAAGAAGTTTTCCTCTTGTAACTGGGAGCCTGAGTAAGTCAATCCTCCCGACTGCTGAGTCTGCATAGGTGGTGCCAGGAGTTTAAAGCAAAGCTTTGCCCTTGAAGTGCCCTGTAGGATCAGCCGGTGGGGGCTGCTGTGTACAGTGGCCTTAGCTGCCAATCAGCGTACAAACTCCGCCTCCAGCCTCTGTGAGAGAAGCCCCGCCCCAAGCCTCTCCTGGTGTCTGGAATCGCCCTTGGGGGATCTAGAGTATCGCATTTACTGATAATTCATTCTAGAAGCATCCTGGCTGTCGTCAGCCCTTAGGGATTATGGTGAATTGCCCCCAAAACACACATGCACACATACCCAAACTCTCGGAATGAAGGAAATCGGCTTGCCCTCCGAAGGTTAAACCGTAAAATCCACTCGGAATGAATTGAAACCGACAAATGCAGGAAACCCTATGAAAGAAAAGCTTCTGGAACTGGGCTGATTGTAACCCAATTAAAGATATTAGCACAGCTGTAAAAAGACTTTGCAAAGATGGGGATGGGGAGTGGCCAGAGCATTTGAGCTAATGGCTCAAACTTGCTTCTAATCTGTCCTTATTTATTTACGTATTTAAATATTTTTTAAGAGACAGGGTCTCACTCTGTCTCCCAGGCTGAAGTTCAGTGGCATGATCATAGTTCACTGTAGCCTCAAACAATCCCCACTGAGCTCAAGCAATCCTCCTGCCTAAGCCTCCCTAGTATCTAGGACTACAGGTGCGCACCATCATGCTCGGCTTTTAAAATTTTTTTTGTAGAGATGGAGGCTCTCTCTGTCTTGAACTCCTGGCCTCAAGCAATCCTCCTGCTTGGGTCTCCCAAAGTGCTGGGATTATAGGCAAGAGCCACCATGCCTGGCCCAGTCTGTCTTTTAAAACCTACTTGCATTGCTATTTCAATAACCAGAGCTACAGCTGTTTTTAAAATGCTTAAGTTTAAAGATGGTGATAATTGGTGATAATGAAATATTATTCAGAAGATTCCTTTGTGAAATCAACATTGAAATAGTAGCTATTGTATATTACTAGGTTTGAGCTGATAATAAATGCTAACATTTATTGAGTGCTTACAATTTACCAGCCTTACAAAAGACCACACTATATAAGTGCTTAGTGGGTTTTTGTGTGTGTATGTGGTGTTTTTTTAATCCTCACAACACTTTTCTAAGAGATGGTATTACCCCATTTTGCAGATAGGGCTATGGAGGCTCAGAAAGGTGAGGTGGCAGGTAGAGCCGGAACTGGAGGCTAGAGACAATTTTTTACTTCAGAGTCCTTGCTCCTAATCCCTATCAGATTAAAGAGTCTGTCTCCAGTCCTTCTGGCTGACAGGGCAGTGCTGGGAGGCCAAAGACTTAGCTGACCGAGAGGGATCAAAGTAGGAAATGTGAGGTGTGCTCTAGGGAAGGGATAGGGAAATTCCCTATTGTACTTACAAAGAGGGTGAAGAGTTAGAAAATTTCCTAGGACATTAGGAGCCTGAATATGGGGAGCCTTCTGGGACAGGAATTTTGAGCAGAGAAAGTAGAGATAAGATAGATGGAAAGAGAGATAGAAGGATGGCTGGTTAGACAGACGAGTGGATAGATGGGTACTGAACCCAGTTTTCTTCTATCATATGGGTTGGGCTGGATTCAAGAGGCTTTTATCCTATGGACTGACCTAGAACCAGGCAATGGACTCTAATGAGTTTTGTTCTGTTTTATAAAATAAAGCTCCTCCTCATATGTGGGTGGCTAGGTCCCCTCCTCCTTCCATAATTTTTTTCTAGTTATAAAGTTAACATATACTTGTGGAAAATTGTTGGAAAGTATAAAAAAGCAGAGGAAAAAAAGCACCCTAGGACCCAGAAATACCACTGCTAACATCTAGTTTACATCCATTCTTTTTGCGTATGTTTTAAACCTAGTTGTTATATATGTCTTAACATATAATACATAAGCAACTTTGTCTTCTGCTTTTTTCCACTTAAAATTATAGCATAAGCATTTTAACAATAATATAAAACTCTTCATAAACATCCATTATATGAATGTATCATGATTGACTCAGTTTACCACTGTTAGGCATTTAGATTTTCCTGGGTTTTTCACTATTTTTAAATAATTATTCTGTGGCCATTTTTTTTTTTGCATAAATCCTTATTCACACTTCAGATTTTTTTGAAGTCTAGGTTTCTAGTACTGCAATTGCTGGCTCAAAGCTTTAAACAAAACAATATATTTTACAACCCAGAAACTCATAGTAAGATTTTTTTTTCTCTCTCTCTTTTGAATTCTGTGTCTTTCTACTCCCTGAAGTGTTGTCATCCATGGCTCCCAGGGTCACATCCAAGCTTCCTGGGGTAGCCCACAGGGCTCTCTATGAATCATCTCTGCCTGCCACCCAGCCTTGCCTCCTGCCCCTTCTCCACATGCTCTCCTGGTCCAGTCCAGCAAACCAAACTCCTTGTAATTCCCTAAGTATGTTCACCTGCCTAATACCTGTGTCCTCACATATGCTGCTTCCCCTGCTGTAATGCTTCCCCCAGTCTTTGTCTAAAAAAATCCTACCCTTCCTTCAAAGCTTATCTCAGAGATTACCTCTTCCAGAAAGCCTTGCTTGACCCCTAAGTCCAGTTCAGATGACCCTACTTTACCCACATGGTACCCGGAGCCCTTGTCTATCATTAACATGTGCTACCCTGTGCTTCAATCATTGGTTGATTTGGTTTGGAACTCCAGACCAGAAGTTTGCAAACTTTCTATGCTCAAGGAATCTTTTATTCAAATACATTTTTTTTTTTTTTTTTTTTTTTTTGGAGATGGAGTCTTGCTCTGTCACCCAGGCTGGAGTGCAATGGCACAATCTCGGCTCACTGCAACCTCTGCCTCCCGGGTTCAAGGGATTCTCATGCCTCAGCCTCCCGAGTAGCTGGGACTACAGGCACCCACCACCATGCCTGGCTAATTTTTGTATTTTTAGTAGAGATGTGGTTTCACCATGTTGGCCAGGCTGGTCTCAAACTCCTGACCTCTGGTGATCCACCCGCCTTGGCCTCCCAAAGAGCTGGTATTACAGGCATGAGCCACTGCACCTGGCCTCAAATACACTTCTTATACTAATAATAGTTAAATTTTTTTGAGAATTATGTGCCTGGTACAATGCCTTAAGTAAGTCACAGGCATCACCTCATTTAATCTTCAAAACAACTCCTTACAAACAAGGACACTGAAGCTCAGAAAGGTTAAGGAACCTGCCCAAAGGTAGCAAAGTTATTGAGTCAACGTTGAATTGAGATTTAAACGCGGGCCTGAGCCTGAGCTCTTAACCACAAACTTATCCTGCTCTGGGTAAAATGGAGAGAAGCCCCCTCAGACCCCTTGCAACTTTTCTAAGAACAATTTGAAAACCACTGCTCTAATCTAGATCATCAGCTCCTTGAGCAAAGGGACTGTTATTTGCCATTGTGTTCTAGCATACAATGCCTGCACTCAGGAAATCTTTAATGGGTAAATGAATGACTTTTTTCTTTTGAAGATTACTGTTTAGGGAAGATTATCTATACACTTTAGTAGCCTTCAAGTGAAAGCAAGCCTAGAAAGACTTGCTGAGTGGTAGAGCATCAAGGCTCATTGGCCAGAAGGCCAGGCCATACCCAAGCTGATAAGGCTTCCCACAGTCAGACACATGGGACCAGTACAGGAGTTGGGAGATGGGCATTAGGACTTAAAGAAAATAGGGGCAATTTCCTGATAGAAGGTTAAACACTTCAGTTCTTGCTGGAAGGAGTGATTAGCCTGGTCCTTTTCTTATCAGAATTCAGCTGTTTCCACCACAGTAAATAATGGACAAATTGGGCATCTGGCTTACTTGATTTCCCATGGCTAAGGCCGATTTCTGAAGTGCAATATGCTATTTGATGTACCACAGTGAATTTGTCTTGGGCTTGAGAGCCTCTCAATGGCAACAAGCAAAAATAACTCTTGGAGAAGTTCCACACATACTGAACACAAAACACCCTAAAATGTAACCTGTACTCTGCAGCCTGCTCAGCTGAGTCCCTAATGGGGTAGCAGGCTATATGCAGATAGGAACCTGCTCAGACGGGGGCATGGAAAGGGAGGAGTATATGGGAGGAGTAACAAATGGATGGAGTGGGTTAACTGGAAAAGTTCCTGGAAGAGATGACCTGGGGTAAACTGGAGTAGTTTGGTAACTGAGAAGAGGTTATTGCAGGAGTGTCAGACTACCCACAGAGACTCTTTTTTAGCTCATTTGTGGCCTGGGTAATTGAGTGACCATGGGACATAGAAAATGGAGAAGCAAGTTTGGTCTAATTTTGAAACCAGTGTAAATTGAATAGATATCAGCAGCAGAGAGGGAGCAAAGAAGAAAACTTTAGAATCTGTGGGTTTCTGATGGAGATTCTATGTGGGTGGATTCCAATGCTCCAGAATTTCCAAATTTGTGAGCTTGAGAAGAGATTCCATATGTGGGAGCTCTTTGTAACAGAGGATCAGCAGGGGCAAAATATGAAGGAAAGATTAGTTAATGGAAATGCAATACAGTGAGAGAGAATTATAGAGGTTTGAAAGTTGAGACTGCAATGAATTTCTCTGGGATGTTTCAGTGCTGTCTTGCTGGGAAATGATGGGTCAGATAAGGGAGCTACCAAGATTTCCCTAAACACCCATTGAGTGCCTACTAAGTGTTGGACTCTGCCAGGAGATGGAGAAACAAAATGAAAAAGACACAATTTTTGTATTTGAGAAGCTCAAAGAATAAAGGAGGCAGACAGGAAAATGATCACTAAAACACAGCATGATGTGCACCTTAACCAGGGGGTTTACCCAGCTCTGTGGGATGCCTGTAGGAATCCAAACAACTACCCTCTAGAGAGACGGCATTTTGATCAGTCAACTGCTCAAGAGGTTCTCACTGAGCTACCAATAAGCATCTGGCCCTGGCCAGGGCAGCAGGGAGGTGAAGGTAGATCCTTTGCACTGGAGGGATTTGCAGAAGAACAAAGAAATGAGGGTTCACTGTGGAACAAAGTATACAGGGAACCCTTGAAGATGATAGGCTTGCAGGTGGGTTCTAAAGAGTACGGAGGATTTTGAGAGTGTCACTTGGCTTGGAATGTTTTTTTCTCCACTTTACTCAGCGAATTTGTATTTTCACAAGTCTGTTCAGATGTTAATTCCAGGTGTGTGTGTGTGTGTGTGTGTGTGTGTGTGTGCACGTGACAGTGTCTTGCTCTATTGCCCAGGCTGGAGGGCAATGGCGCGATCATAGCTCACTATAGCCAAGAACTCCTGAGCTTAAGGGATCCTCCTGCTGCTGCCTCCTGAGTAGCTAAGACTTAAAGGCCTGCACCACCATACCCAGCTAATTCATTTTTTCTTTCTCCTTCCTTCCTTCCTTCCTTCCTTCCTTCCTTCCTTCCTTCCTTCCTTCCTTTCTCTTTCTCTCTCACTCTCTCTTTCTTTCTTTTTCTGTCTCTGTCTCTCTTTCTTTTTTCTTGTTGTTTAGAGATGGGGTCTCACTTTGTTGCCCAGGCTGGTCTCAAACTCCTGGCCTTAAGTGATCCTCCCACCTCAGCCTCTCAAAATGCTGGAATTATAGTCATGCATTTCCAGGTTTTAATAAGTGATTTTCTTCTTTCCTGCCTGCCTTTTCTCCCTCTCTCCTAACACACATTCATTGAGGGCCTGTTCCCTGTGCTGGGTGTTGGGGATATAAAAATAACCAATGCTAAGGCTAAGCCCTTAATAGAGTTACAGTGTGTAGTGGAGTATGGGAGCTGCGGCTGGGGGACAGTGAGGTAAGTGCTGCAATAGCCAGGTACGTAAAGTCTATTCTCATATACCTGCTACTAAAGGTTATGTATATGCATAGTATCTAATCCTAACAGAAATTCCAGGAGACGAGCATTGCCATTCCCAATTTACAAACAGGGGAACTGAGGCATAGAGAGTGTAATGGGCTGGACTCAAAGAGAACCTTCTAGAAACTCTACAATTGAAGTAATATGTATCTAGTCAGTAGTTGAGAGGTATCCAGAGTCTTTCGGGATGAAAAGGTGTTACAGAAATTGAAGGAGGCAACCTGCTTGACAGGAATATTATTCTGAAGCATGAAATCCATCTCTACCCTGCTTTCTGCTGGAGTCAAAGTGAAAATCTAGAGTTAGAAAAACCATGTCTTTTATCACAGGTGGGAGAAATTGCCCTTCAGAAAAGTAATGATTTCTCTTAAAATTCCTTAAAGTTTCATAAACCATCTCGAACTGCTGTAGGAAAAACTGTAAAAATTTCATGAATCCAAAGCACCCTATGTTCTCAGAGCCCCCTGTACAATATCACATTTACTTCAAGTCTTTATTTCCATATTGAACCTTTCACCCCAGTGGCTATTTACTGATTTCCTGGGCCACGTAGGTAGGAGTGGAAAACTGTTTGAGCAGACCTAAGAGTGCAACCCATGGTGCTGGTGTGGGTGCTTTAATCTATCCCTCATGGCACCTCCAGCAGCTGGCTGCTGTCTGAACATTTCAACAGGACATTCCTCTCCACCCAACTCCAGGGCAAGAATCCTTCCTCGCCTTTAGAAAACACTTTCCACTCACATATATTGGATCTTGCTCTACAACTGGTGAGGTAGGCAGGTCAGAAATTGTTCTTTTCTTTTAGCAGATGGGCATACTGAGGCTTTGGAAACTAACGTTTATGGAGTATCTGCTTTGTACTAAGCACTTTCATTAAGCATCCAATCAGTCTGTCCTTCTCTGGCAGCAGCCAGGACTTTTGTGCCTTGTGGAAGTTCTGCCCATCAGTGGATCAAGAGCTATACCCAACAGATATCTCTATCTGGCACAGAAAGCTGGAGCCAGAGGGGCTCTTTGGAGACCAATCTTCAACCTCTACTATGTGTAGACAAGGGGGAAAGTAAAGTCCCGGAGAGGGTAAGAGACTCACCTATGAGCACCAAGCAAATGAGTGGTTCAGCCACCCTGGCAGAGGACTTCATATTCCCAACCCCATTTACTGCCACACAGTTTCAGCTGCTCCCTGCAGGGAACCTCTGGGATAATCAAGTCAGGAAACATGGGGATGGAACAAAGGTTTGGGGACCCACAGTCCAGTTCCCAGAGTTGCTAAGGCCTCAGTGACACAGTCGGCAAGTGCCCTAGGGATGTGATTTTTAACAGGGGTGGTTCTGTCTTTTCCTAGGGAGTGATAAATATCCTGCCATAGGGGGTAAAGAATTACCTCACCCAGAATGCCATGGCTATGGCCTCCTGTCCTCCTAGTTTATTTCTGATGTGTACGTGGGGTGTATGAGGGGTATCCTTTACCCCTCACCCTCCACAAAGTGGGTTTACTCCTTCCACAAAAAGACTCTCCTCTGGGCCAATGGACTCGAAAGCCTGTCAGGTATGGACACTCGGGTCCCTTGGTTTCTAGTGAGGAGTTGCCATCCGAGGGCCTTCTAACCTGGTGACCCAGTGGGACCCCTGCTTCCCCTAAGAACAGACCTCGGTTTAATTGAATGGTGAAACTGCGCTGTGTGTTTTTGTATGTCTCCTTGGTGTAATTATGTAGAACTGCATACTTGTTTATGTGCCTGTTTTTATTTACCATGTTTATGTTTTTATGTATACGTATTTTCTGTTTGATATTTGTGAATGTATGTGTTTTCTGCATATGGCTATGTTGCGTGCTTGTGTGTGTGTATCTGTGTGTGTATTTTGTGGGTTGGTGTGAATGAGTGCTGGTTCTGTGTGTGTTATTTGACCATGTCACCAGCTGCTCTGTTTGTCAAGTAAATGTGTTATAATTTATTTATTTATTTGACAGAAAGAGAGCAGCTTATCTTAAGGGCTGCAGGAGGCAAGAAAAGAAAAGAAAAAAAAAAAGCCAGCCCCGTGTTGCTCTATTTTAAAAACTGCTCTGCGTTGTTATGGCAGCTAATTTTCCTTAAATGATTTAAGGAAACGGATCTGTCTAAAAGAGCTGCAGCCAAGTTGTTATAGCAACACAGGCAGCAGCTGAGGAGGGCCTTTCTCCTCTAGTAAACGGGGGGAAATCACCTCGGAGTGTACAAACCTCTCAAAATAGCAACTTTGGGTTCTGAGGGACTCTGGAGGTAAAGGAAAGGGCTGCTGGAAACCCATTCACCTCCCCAGACAGACCCTGGGGGATTCTTCCTAGCAACAGCCTTTTCACTTGAGTTGGGATCTCATCATTCTTACCTCGGCTATGGCAGTAAGCACCTACCTGGTCTCCCTTCTTCCCACGTAGTCTCACCTCCTTTGATCCACTCTCCACACTGCAGCCTTAGTAATTTTCTAAAGCATGCATTGTTTATTCATCAGTGCATTCATCATTCAACAGAATATTCTCTACAGTGCCGGGTTCTGTGCTAGGTCCTGGGAGTACAGAAAGGTGCTGAATGAAATGAATAGGGCATGTTTTTGAGCAGCATGCCAGGGAACACTAGCCTTTATTCCAGAAGTAATGCAGGCCCACTGAAAGAATTTAAAGCAGGGAAGACAGACCCAGGTGGATTTAAATTTTAGAATGACTCCAAGATTTCTAGATTGAAGAATTGAGTGGCTGGAAATGCTATTCATTGATCTCTCTTTCCCTTGCTCCAGCGTTTTTGAGGACTCTCCATGGACTACTCTGATTTTCAAGACTGAGAGAGGATATATGCTGGAATATTCCTAACAAGCGGCACTTTGTTTCCTTGCTTTGATTTTTTTTTTAGTCGTGATATTTAATTCAGCTAAAAATCAATTTAAAAGTGGGCCTGAGACCTTGATTTTAGTAAGAAGAGAGCATTGGGCCATAGGAAGAAGCCAAATGCCTTGGGGCAGTGTTCAAACCCATCCATGGGCTTCCTCAGCCTGCACCTCACATGCCCTCCTCACAGCTACCTGTTATAAATCCTGCACACCAAGCCCAGAAGCTGAGGTCTTCCACCTCCATTCCATTGCTCAGATTTTCCTGGAATGCCCTCTCCCCTTTCCCTATAACTTCCCTTCTCTCCAAAGCTCAGCCACCTGATGAAGTATTACCAATCTCCAAAGGACCAGTACAAATGCAGATTTCTCAAAAAAGCTTCCTTGGATCACCCACCCCCCACCCCCACATGGATTAATCTCTTTCAGCCCCACGTTTCCAAAGCACTGTTTGCTTAATTATAGCACACCTTCCTAACTGCCTGGAATTAAAATTTCATAAGGGTCTGGCCTTCTCATCAGATTGTAAGCTTCTCCCGACTGGGACTCTGCCCTATTAATCTCTGTAACCCCAGAGATAGCTCAAGAGTCTTGCAAATGGGAACATTGAAAAATGTGTGCTGCAGTCAATTAACTGAGGATTTTAAGGCAAACACTACTTTGTTATTTAGCTTCATCAAACACTGGGTGCACCTGACAAGTACATAGTTAGATGCTAGTGGAGTTGCAGGTGGATGGTCCTGGGAAGCCCATTCACATATGGGCTTAGCTTTCTAAGATCATAACTGGATATAGCTGTGAGAGGAGGGCCCTGTCTGTGGCCTTGTGGGTGAGTGACTCTGGTTGTGTGGCTGATTGTGTGATGTGAAGTCACTGTCATACTCTGTGGTGTGTGTACTAGGAGAAAGCCAAACTCCCATGGACAGCGGGTAAGCTCTCGCCTGAAAGGTAATATCATTTCTGGTGCTAATTAGATCTCAGATCTAAAATCAGAATTGGAAAGAGAGACCTGGATTACAGAACAGTTAGAACTGGCTCCCACCAGTTCTAAAACTGATATCTTTACCACCACTAAAGATATCAAAATGTCTAAGTACAGCTCCCAAACAAGACATGGTTAGATGGTGAGGGCAGGTTAGGGACTGGGAAGACAAGGGATCTGGGATCTGAGTGAACCCTTGATGGCCATAGAGAGCTAATTTCAGTGGGGGGTAAAATGGGGTAGATGCCGAGTCCAGGACTGAAGCAAGTATATGAAGATGATCAGAATCCTCTCTCATGGGAATGGGAGTGGGTGATGCCATCTCAGGTTCTATCCTTGGGAGTGTTGGACAATCTCAGCAGGTTGCAGGGAAATCTCTGTCACCAGATCAGAGCCTTCATTAAAGGAGGACACAGTGATGGTGGCAGTGGGATCAGGGGATACTCTGAGGGAGAGATAAGATTGGGGAGGGGTTTGTGGTTCAATTCTTCCTTTTATCAGGAAAGTCTTCTAAAACCAAGTCACAGAAGCTCTAGGTTCGCTTCATCATTTGCTCAACATTTATCCTGAGCACCTGCTTACAGCCAGGTCCCTGCTGGGCGCCAGAGACCCTGAGATGAGTTAACCAGACCCTTTCCCTGGGGGACAATCAATCATAACTGGCAAACAGGGGCCAGGCCACAGTGTCCACAGGCAGCTATCATGAGAGTGGAGAATGAAACACTATGTCTCAGATCAACGGTAGTCCTCTTGGTTAAACACTTTGTTTTCAAGATCATCATTTAATACCCAATGTCCCCAAGAGGGGTAAGATTTTAGTGAGCACAGGGCTAGGAAAGCAGCCTTTGAAGTCAATGTCATCACTAATACAAGGACAGCAGGCTCCTGTTTCCAGGTTAGGAACACATAGAAGGGCTCATTCCAGAAGCCTTCCAGTGCAGGCCAGACATATCACTTCAGGTCTACTGTACACTGAGCACCTCTAAAGATGAATGCATCACTTGGCCCTGTACTAACTGTTCCTCCTGGGTTCCCATCTCAGGAAAAGTACCACACTACTCGGCTGCCCAAGTCAAAACCATAGGGATCATGCAAGACTCCTTCCTCTCCCATCAGCCACAGTCACCATGTCCCTTAGGTCTGGCTCCTTATTACCTCTAGACTCCTCTTCTTCCTTTTCAACTCCACAGCAGCAAACTCTAATGGTCTCACTGTCTCTAGTTCGGCACCGTCCGAATTTATTTTTCTAACAGGCACCAGAGGGGTCTCTCTGAAATGCAAACCTAATTTGTCAATTCCCTGCTTAAAATCCTCAGTGGCTCCCTATTCCCATGAAAGTAAAGTCCAGATTGCTCCCTGTGTCATAACAACCTCTTCTGTCTGCCCCTGGTAACAGCCACACTGAATGACTTCCAGCCTCCTGAGTAAGACACCCTCTCAGGGCAGGTGCACATGCTGTTTCCTCTGCCTGGAAAGTTCTCCCTGACCTGAGCATCCCTCATGTATCAGCCCAGGTGTTGCCTCCTGGGTTGGGTTCCCACAACCCCTGTGCTTTACTCTATAAATGCACCTAGAATAACTGTCTGTAAATGTCTGTCTCCACCAGGCTGTGAACTCGGCACCCAGCACAGGGCCTGAAGGAATGACAGTTGATATTGGAGGGTCTTGCTGATTCTCTGCTTGTTGATTCTGTGGGCAGAAGGCAACCTGGACAGGAGGAGTGAGACTGTGCATTTAGAAAAAAGCCCAGAAGTTGTCCTGGCAGTTCAGATAGTTCAGGGTTGAGTGACTATGTATGTGACACTGAAATTCAGGAGCAGAAATGCACTTAAAGCTCTTAGGGCAGATGCCTCAGGGAACTGCAGTGTTTGCAACTGGGCACAAAGATGTCTGAAGTCAAATGTGAATTTGAATCAGATCCAGGTAATGGTTGTTGAGGGTCTGCTGTACACCAGCACTGTGCTAGGTGTTTTTGCATCATTATTATTATACTTTTTGAAAAGGAGTCTTGATCTGTCACTCAGGCTGGAGTGCAGTGGCGCAGTCTTGGCTCACTGCAACCTCCGTCTCCCAGGTTTAGGTAATTCTCCTGCCTCAGCCTCCTGAGTAGCTGGGATTAGAGGCATGTGCCACCACACCTGGCTAATTTTTTTTGTATTTTTAGTAGAGACCGGGTTTTGCCATGTTGGCCAGGCTGGTCTCGAACTCCTGACTTCAGGTGGTCCGCCTGCCTCAGCTTCCCAAAGTGCTGGGATTATAGGGGTGAGCCACCGCATCTGGCCTCGCATCATTTTTAATAGACAGAGTGTACAATTTATCATCCAAATCAGAACAATTTCGGGAGTGAAAAGAGGGCATTGTTAAAAGATACTCCAGGACAGTAGGTATAAACCAGAACTCACTGTTTAGTTAGTTCTAAACAGTTAGTGAGTGACAGGACAGTAGGTATAAACCAGGAAAGCCAAGACTTATGACCATTCTACCTAGAAGTCATACTTTGTGCTTTTGTTCTTGGTAACCCCTGACATATCTTATAAATACATACTTATCAGTATTTACTTGTTTAAAGTCTATTTCCCCACTATATTGCAAGGGTTAGGGTTTTTCTTTTTCACTAGTAGAACCTCAGTGCACATAGAAAGCCCATATATAAATAAATAGAGAAGAAAGGAAAAAATGGAGTAAAAGATTGAGTGAGGAGAGAGAGAGTGGGGAAAAGAGGAAGGAACTGAGGGAGCGGGGATGCTATTCCAGGCCAGCTTGACTCCTATATTAGTGCTCCACACCCTTGCTTGAGGCATAAATGAGTAGCCTTTCAGTAAGAAAATGGCTTATACAACTAGCTCAGCACCCAAGATGTACTTATTAAGATCTAACCAGCTGATGATCAATGTATTCATGACGCAAATCATTTCCTAACATCTCTGTAACTCACTCTTGCTGGATCTGTGTTTTGTAGCATGAATGAGCGCCCGGTTGTTTGTGAGTAAATCAATAATTAATGACAGCAATGGTATGCCGAAGCCTTTTCCTCTTTAGCAACCCTAACCTACTTCCCTTGTGTTCCTCCCCCAGGCTGCCCCTAAACTCCCATTTCTCTCTTTGGGGATTTAACTAAAATACCACTTTGTTCAATGGTTTCCACTCTGTCACTCCTTCTGGTCCAATGCCATTTTTTTGTTTGTTTGGTTTGTTTTTTACTGTGCCTCATCATTCTACCTGGGAATAATTGTTTTGTATCTATAAACCATATTGCATTTGGCATAATAGGATTTTCTGTGTTCAATCCAATTCAACTCAACATGCAGTTATTGAATATCTATTATCAGCCAAATGAGAAAAAAAATGTAGGAGCTTGTTCTCTTTGAGAAGGAAGTATTGCTATTCTATCAGGGAAACTGCAGTCAACACAGAAGCCTGGGAGGGCAGAACTCTGCAGACTACAGATTCTTCCTGAGAAAATCAGAAGCAGTTTCTCTCTGCAAGGAAAGCTGATCAGGATGACATTGAGAGGTCAGGGACAAGTTCATGTCTGTAAGAACTAGGAGAAGACAGTGGGGTTTCAAATCTTAGAGAAAGGCAGCAAACCACAATCATTCTATCTCTGCATATGGATTTGGTGAGCACAGTTCACACCTTCTTTTATAGACAAAGAAGGATGAGCTGGCGAAGGAAGCAAATATCCTAGGGTTATGGTTATGCAAGACCTGACACAGAAGGTATACTGTGAAAGGACCTAGGAAAGCAAAATTTACATAGGAGGACCAAGATAACAGTTGAGTTTCATAGCCAAGAAAACTACATTGCACCTCAGGACTGACTTTTTCATTAATCCCTGCTCTAATATATCGCATTTGTTTTTAAGCGCACTTTTCTATCTGATCAATACCTATGTCGCTCTTTAATTCAGGAAATTTTCACTGGCATCCTCAATGAGGGTAAGTAGAATGGGTTACATTGGTGCATCTCTGAAGTACCCCAACTGTGTGACTTTTGTTGTCTTAGCAATCACCATCTCTCACCTGACAGCAGTCATGGGTCATAAAATCAGTCATTGAAGTTGGAAGGGACTCAAATGGAATTTCACTAGAATGTCTTCCAACAATTGAGTCTCCTCTGTGCACCCTTTTGGACTAAAAGTTGAACACTTTTAGTAAAGCAAAGCTCACAGCTCACACACACATACTCCATTCTTAGGCAGCTATAGTTGTTAAAAAGTTCTATTTCTCTACCTCTTCCCATATCCTCCACCTGAAAAAATGGTCTGTCCCCCCATTCTGCGATAGCTCTTCAGAGACAGAATACCGTGGTTTGCTTCATTTCTCTAAGCTATGAAACCCTGCTGTCTTCTCCTGTTTCTTACAAACAAGAACTTGCCCCAGGGAGCAAACTTGGTGTGAACACCCATTGTTCTGTCTGCCTATGTCCCCTTCTTTCTTCTGAAATGGTAGGCCCTCTTTTCTGAAAACAGGTACCAACCCACCCTCCAACTCCATCCACATGGTTCCAGAGAGGCTGCCTTGTCCTTGCATATTCTTGTCTTCTGAGCCAGAATTGACTTGCCCAGAAGTGGGCCTGTCCTCCCGACTAGGTCAATCACAATCCTTTTGGAACTGGAACTGGAAAATGAGCATAAGTTACTGTAGTGTTGAGAACCTTTGGATGTGACACTCAGCAGTCAAGTTCCCTATGTGTAGAAGAAGCCAGGTTACAGTCTTCAATTACATGACATGCCCTTGGTATTCTTCTAATAAATTCTCTATTTTTCTTATACTAATTCAAGTCCTATTTCTTTAGCTTGTAACCAAAGATCCCTGACAAATATGGATACACTCCAATATATTTCCTTTAACCCTCCAGACCTCCAAAACTGAATCCACTATTTGTGAGAGGTTGCAGGAAAAGAGATTGGGAGAAGGTCCTTGGGTCTGCTGGATTCAGAGAAGAGCAGGCCTAGTGCCTCCCTGGTTTTAGCTATGTATTCCTAATTTGCAGCTTCTAGTGGACTTTCCCAATACAATGCTGCCCTTTCCCAGATCAAGCCATAGATCAGCAGCTGTGGAGGGCATTCAGTTACTTACTGGGTCGTTGTACATCTGGACGATGAGTTGTTTCACTCCATGCAGGGTAGGATGGACCCATGGAGAGGGATCCAGCCAGTGACGATTCAGATCAAATCCCATCAGAGAACACCTAGGCAGTACCCAAAGTAAGAGTCAATATAGACAGGATAAGCTGAGCTTCTCACCTGTCAAAATATGCTTATGAGTAGGAGCAGTGATTATGTCACTTACCTAGCATTTATCATTTTCCAGAGACTGTTCTAAGTACTTTATATGAGTTAATTCTTTCAGTGTCATCAACAACCCTGTGAGGTCACTACTATTGCAATTCCCACTTTGCAGAGTAAGAAACTGAGTCACAGAGAGATTCAAAAGTATTTCTGTGGTGTAGCCTCATGTCAGCATCCATAGACACATGACCCATAGACACACATGCACATCTTCTCCACACTGCAGCTGAGAAAAATGCTCAGGCCACAACTACTGGTGTTCCCATTATGCCTCTTTGCTCACACCTATAGCTAATTCATTGTCTCTACCTTCAAAATACACCATAACCCAACACCTTTTTACCACTTCCTCTGGTATTACCTTGAGTGTGGGCCAAGGTCCAGAGAACTGTAATCATATTTTACCTGGTCTTCTTGTCTTCTCCTTGCCTCCTCCCACCTCACCTTCCATGACAGGGTACAGCAGAAGACTGAAGATTTCCAGACATTTTAGGCTTGGACTTGGATTCAAGTGCTCCAGTTACATAGGTTTATGTTCTTTCCCTTCCTTAGCTGAGCCTGGACAGCTAGTTGCATGTGTGGATTTGAGGAGACCAGGGCATAAGCTTTCTCTTTCCAAATGCCTCTTTCCTCAATGCCCCTGGAGGGACTGGGAGAACCCCATTTCTTATCACTGTGCTATGCTACTTTTGTCTCAGTGAGAACCAGAGAATAATGTGGAAACTTCCAGGAACTTCCTTTGGCTCCACATTCAGATTTTCACTAGCGTCCTGCCTAGCCTCTCTGGCAAGTCCATCCTTCGTGAGTGTGGGATAATGCCCCCATGGTATGCAGAGGAGATATCACTGAGTTCAGTCCCCCTGTTCTGTGGATGGTGTACTACGTGACCCTGGGCAAGTCCCTTGCTCTCTCAAGGCCTACGTTTCCCCAGCTACAAGTAGAGAAGGAGCTTCTACAAATGGACCACAAGCTTTTCAAGAGCCTCTTTCATCATGGACTGCACTCTCCCTACCCCACATCCTCAGTGGAGAGGACCACACAAAGAAATGTCCTCTCTGGTCCAAGATTTCCATAAGAGCAGTGATGCCTAGATACCAACCATTCTCTGTGCTCTAAACAGAGGGGATCACTGATGCTCACCTTCTAGGCCAGCAAGTTACCTCCTGACCTTGAACTTGCAAAGGAGTCCCTTCTTCATTTGCCATTACAACATGAGCATGTTTCTTTGTTAGAAAACTCTTTGTAACTAACATTGTAATAGTGTTATAACATGACATATCATCCCATTATATGAACCCCCATAATTCATTTAGCATTTCCCCACTGTGGCACATTTATTTTGTTTTCAGTGCTGCACTATTTTCAAAATGAACTGATGAATACTATAATCCCTAAAGTTTTCTCCACATTTCAGAATTTTTTTCTTAGAACAGTTCCCAGAAGTAGAATTGCTTGGTAAGAGGATTGACTGACTGTAAAATCACTATTAAAAATGAAAAATGGTCCTCAATATAGAAAGCAAAAAAGAAAAAAGGAACATCACCTTCCTATCACTCAGATATAACTCCTGTTAGCCTTTGATGTAGTTCCTGCCATCTTTTCTTTCTGAGCTTATAGTGGTAAGTGCAGCAGTAGCTAACATTTAAGAAGTGCTTACTAGTACCTTTACATGAATTATCGCATTTCATTTTCGCTTTTATGCCATACAAGCCCTGTATTAACATTTTACAGAGGAGAAAACAAAGGCTTAGAAAATGTAAATAACTTTCTCTAAGGTCACTGAGCTACTATGTAATGGAGTTAGAATTTGAGCTCAGGTCAACCTGATTCTCAGAGTCCAAAATCTTACCAATTGCTCTCCTTACTCTGCTCTCCTCTGACTACATTAAATTGTCTTTCAGAAAGGAAACATTCAATGCTGTGACTAGTGCCTTGATCTACAGACATATTCATGCAGTTCTTAAATATTCTTATCTGACGTATTGCTACTCATGAAAGTGATTAAGGACAGAGAGAGAGCCCCACAGCCACACTCATCTGAAACCTGCTCAGGGTAATTCGGCCAGCATATGGTGGAGCAGGCTTCAAACCCAGGACTATCCAGCTTTAATATCTATGCTCTTCTAGGGAACAAACAGTTTAAGCAAGCTCTCTGCTTTTGAGAATGTATAAGTAAATTAAGGAGGAGAGACTGGTTCAGGGAACAAGGATGAGGCAAGAGTTAAACACAGCAATTCATCACGGTTTTATTAAGAACCTTCTACACACCAAGCTCCATGGTAGTGTTGCTGGGATAGAGTGATTGATAAGAGATATTCTCTAACCTCAAGAAATGTATAATCTAGCAGAAGGAAGAAGATATGCTTACAGGTTTATATCCATTTATAATGCAGGACAATATTGTGAGTATTAAATGAGCTAATGCATAGGTTTTGGTACATAATGGTAACTCAAAAATGCTATATTGTTGTTTTTATTGGTCTGTATTATTATTTTATGCTATGTTCTATGTGAATGACATGGACTAATAGTTTTGCAGTCCATTGGAGGCTGGAATGGGCAGCAGTGGTCAGGGATGACCTCTTCTTTTCCTTCAGTCTGGGAATTAGGCAGATCTGAGTTCAAATCCATGCTCTGTTCCCTCCCAGGTGAAGTGGGCATTTGTCCATGTTCTTTGGGGAATGCCCAGCATCTAACCCTGTTACTAGATGGGGGGTTGAATGTGGTGAGTTTGCTCCTCCATCATTACAAGATGAGGCATGATTTTGCCCCGTCTCCCTCCACGGAAGCCAGATGAGCCAGATTCTATCTCTTTGTTCCCTGGAAGCCAGGGCAGCTATAGGAAACCCAGGCTCAGGCACCAGCCACTCCTGCCCAGGACGTAAACTTGGGACTGGGTGATGCGAGGCAGCAGGGAGTGCTGTGCAGCAGTGCTGCTGTGGAACAGAGGCAGAGTATTCTGGCCCTTCAGAGCTGCTCGGTTAATTGCTCTGGTTTTCAAGTCTGGCTACCAGTTTCTGTGTGATTCTGTAAGCCCCTTCGTATAAATTCCCTTTTTGCTTAAGTGGCTAGAGTCAGTCCTTGTTAATTTTAGCTGACTGCACCCCTAATCAGATGGCCCTATGAAATAAGTCATAGAAAATTCTGGCAGGCCCCTATATTGTCCACTTCCCAATGACTAGTCAAAAAACAGAGGGAATCACTGGTCTGGGTGCTGTGCTCACAAAGCTTTTCCAGCCCTCACTGAGCATCTAAATATTTAGAAAGGTACATTACCCTTGACAACAGGATGTAATCATAAAACAATTGTATCCTTAGAGATGCTCAGTTATGTGCCTCTCCTCTGCCCCCAAATAGGAATGTCCTCAGCACTGTCTTGGGCATGTCACCAGCTTGCTCTAGGATACCTCTATGACCTAAAACTCACCACCTTTCCAGTTAGCTTATCTCATTCTTGAATCTTCCATTAGAAAATTCTTCTTTCCTTTTTAGCTGAATGTGCCTCCCAGTTACTTCCTCCATCCTTCTCAGCGTTGCCCCACGGAGTTGCACAGAACAACAGGTTTATACTGTGGGGACCAGCAGCTTTGGGACTTACAGTTATGTTTAAGTTCTGGCTGTGTTCCTCACCAGCTGTGTGATCTTTTTTAAATTTATTTTTTTAAATGCACCTGTAGGCTTCTGTTTTATCATATGTATAAAGAGGATAACCACTCTGACTTTCTGGATTGCATACATGAATTAATGTCTATAAATGGACCAGGAGAATTCTCAGAAACACATAAACATTGAACAAACTATAGCCAGTGATGGCAGTGAAGTGGTGATAATTGTGGCACTGTTGAAATTGTCTAAACTTAAATATCAGCTCCTCCAGGAAGTAGAGGAGGATTTTCACTCCCTGCACATGAGGGGTAGGTGCTTTTCTTCTGCTCCCATAGCATCTGTTGCTCCCCCAGCAAAGTGGCTATAGGACAAGATGTAATTGTTGAGTCCGCTTCTCCACTGGACCATGAATTCCTCAAGAGCAAGGATGCCATCTTATTCATGTTGGTATTCCTGTGCCTGACAAAGAGCCTGGATCATGGCAGACATCGAAGAAGTAGTTGTTGAACAAACATTTCATTCCTCCTAAGCATTTTCCTGTCTCATATTATATAGTTCTCATGACCATTCAATCACATGGTAAACCTCAATTTTCTAGTGGGAGTGTTGAGGGCTAGAAAAGGTAAGCCATTCTTTCGAGGCTACATAACAAGTACTCTAAAGGGCCCAGACTAGAACTCAGGTGTCCCGTTCTGGACTTCATAGTCTCCCCAGTTGGCTATGCTGCTTCCAGGAAACCTCTGATTCAAAAAAGAACTTCAAAACTGAAGGAAAATTGTTAGAGGTCAGAGATCCTGAAAGGTCAACTCCTAGATCCAGCCTGCTAATAAAAATAGAATGTAACTGGTGATTCACAGGCATCTTCAATCCTCAGAGAGTCTAGAGCTTTTTAGAAGCTAAAGCATTTGTGATATTCTTCAGTGAGTAGTACCTGCATGGGCACCTTTTGAGCTGATTTTAAATGAATGCTTCTAATGGCACTCAATCTATCAGTAGATAAGTATTTACTGAACAAAACATCTTAGTAAAGATGCAGGATCCCTGGCTAGGAGCCTGGGGTACAGGTCCCACCTCCAATGTCTGTGTCATCTTGGAAAAGTCACCTCCTCTCCCTAGGCTCAATGGACTTATTTGTAAAATGGAATGCTATACTTCACTCACAGAGATCTCTTTCGGCTCTCTCAATATATGATTCTAAAGCATCAGTAACTGGGCTTTTTACCCCCAGAATAAGGGACTTTGGAGAAAGCATATATTTCCAATTAAGTTAAAGTTCAAAGAAAACAAAATATTCGAGGAAAAGTGTTGATACAGTTTTAAAATGAAACACCAACTAGTCAAGGATGACCAATATCTTAACATTAATTGCATGCATTGCTCAACATTTGAGATTTGTGGGACACAAATGGGAGTTTGCCAAGAGTCAAGGCATGAGAGAGCATTCCAGGCAAAGGGTATAGCATGTGCAAAGTTAGGGAAGCAAGAATGGTCAGCAATTATGCATATTTCTAACAGGCTGCTAGTATGTTCTGCTTGTGTCCCTAACTGACTATAAGCACAAGAGGCCAAGGCTGGTACAGGCTCTTTCTCTTTAGTGGTTTCAGGACCAAAAAGCAGCTGCCTAAAGACAGAGGAACGCATAAGATGGCCTCCAGATGCCAGGCTCTCACTCCTATGACTGCCAGTTTAGAGTTACTGAATGCAAAATCCTGGGTCCCTGCCCTGAGTCTCTGTCTCCTTGGTGCTCTTGTATTCTATTATTTGTTTTTAAGATGAAAATTTTGCATGAGCTCAAAATCAAGACCTATGTTCTGACAAGAAAGAATGGGGCTATTTATGGCACCAGTGGGAAAGAATCTTTCACATTAGGACCATTCTAGAAAATGCAAATATATGGGGGCCAAATTTACATATGACTGCATAATACATAATGTCTTTATTTTGAGTTGGAGATACTCTTAAGTATCTTTTCTTTCTTCCTCTAATCTGTGAACTCCATGAGGGCAGGGATAATGTGTGAGTTATCTTTCCCACCCCCACTCCAACATTGTCTACTATAAACCCAGGTGCAGAGAAGATTCAATATATTTATTGGATGAATGAATGAGTGAACAGATTAACAAAAGCATGGATGAATACCTTGCAGGTTTGCAAACATGGGTTAGATAGTTACTTTCAGATATATTTTGAAAAGTAAGCACCTACTAAATGCTAGACTCATTCACAATAATCAAATGAGATAGGTATTATTAATCCTCATTTGATAAATAAGGAAATAAAATCCAAGAAAGATTTCATCTTGAGAGGGTCACTTGACAATTAGTAAGATATAGACCTGGGATTTGAACCCAGGTCTTGTTGATGGCAGGATGGTTCACAGTCACCTTTGAGGTTCCCAGCCATCTGTGAGTGTGTGTGATTTATAAAAGAGACACTAAGCTACTCATTTGTCTGATCTTCCTATCCTGTTCTCTTTCTCGTTTGCCCAATAGCAGAGATATAATGGTTCCAGAGAATGTTATACAAATGCCAAATAAATAGCCCCATCTCATGAAGGACATCATGCCTTATCGCTATTCGCAATAATGGCAGCTAGAATGAGAGCAATGATTTCAATTCCCCTCCTTATGATTTCTTTTTCATTCTCCTCTGAAGAAGGATAGAGAAAAAGGCAGCTTGGCGGCTCCAGATCAATCTTGCCCTGAGCACCGTGAGGCTGCTCTAAGGAGCAGTGGCATTGACAAGCAGAGATGTATGAGGTATGCCAGCAATTGTCCCCCAAACACAGCAGTTTTTCAGCATTACCAATGAGCTGGATTGGATTAAGCATATTTGCACCAAAAGCAAAATAAATATTGCTTTATTTAATGCCACTAAAAGGTTGGGATTCAATTGCCCTTGGCCTGAGGCACCTTCCAGTTCTATTGATTGGGCCATGTCAGAATGCCAGATAATCTGTCATCAACAGCCCCTGAAAAATGCTTAGCATGTGGGTTGGGCTCTGCTGTTGTGTAGATGGAGGATTGCAGGCAGTGTCCTTTGTCCCAAACACAAGGGATAATCATAACACATCCACTTCCCATCACCACCACCAAGATATTTAAAGCATTCTCCTCACATCCCTTCTTAGATCATCATGACGAGGAGATGTCTGTGACCAAGACTGTGAAGACAGAGAGGAGGGTGGATAAGAACATAGGCTTCAAAGGCAGAAGGACTTGGGTTTGAGTCCCAGTTCTGTCATCTAGTAGCTTTGTGACCTTGGACAAATTCATCTGTTTGCTCAAAGACCTGAAAGTGCTGAGAGGGCAGTGACTGAATCTATTTCATTTGCCACTGGGTCTTCAGTGCTAGCACAGTGTCTCGTACACAGCTGACTCTCAGTTGAACTGTATAAATAGAGGCTCAGAAGTGGTAATTTGACCATGGTCCAGCAAGGACAAGTGACAGAGGCAGAGCTTGAACCCAGTCTGCCCAACTCTAAAGCCTATGTTCTTAGCCACCATTATACTCTGTCTTAGCAGTCCTAGGAGTCAGGTAAGAGCCTAATAGAGGGACTGTCCCTCATGTGCAGTGAGAGGTAGATGCAATATCTTTATTTTTTTAAATGGGGAATCTAAGTTTCAAATGAGGGACTAACATGAAAGGTTCCTTTACGCAAACTGACGAAAGGTGCTACCCCCTACCACCCAGGGTAATAAGTTGCAATCAGGTGCCATTTCTGGGTGGGTAAAGTACAGAATAATGCCACTTGGTTTGGCCAGACTTTGGATTGAGAGCAGAGTCATAGCCCATAGCCCCCATTGACCCCTTGACCACTGAACATTTGTACAGTGTACAAACTGCACATCCATATGGAGCAGACTTGGATGTGCCCAAGGTTTATAGCAAAGCCAAGATTAGCACTTAGTTTTTCTTCTTCCAAGGTTCATTCAGCAAGGTCTTTACCCTATAATGGTGGCCTTTTCGGCAAGGTGGTGTGACTGGGGACAAGGGCGCTCAGATCACATCTGGAAAAGAGATTATCTCCAACCCTAAGAAATTCTTCCTAGTGGGTAATGAGAGGCTTTAGAGTGCCTTCTCCCTTCCCGTACAGAGCATATACTCCAGGGATTCATCCTCTCTCCTGCTTGGCAGCAACAAACACTGGGTTCAGGTGGATTTCCAGCATTGCAACTTAAAACTAATTCTTAGAGCCAGTGACCAACTGGAAGGACCTGAGATTTCATAAAACCCAATCCCCACATTTCAAAGATGGGGAATCTGAGGCCGAGAGGGCAGAGAGGGTCTGCCAAGGTTACATGGCTATTCAAGGGTAGAGTGGAAAGTCCATTCCAGAACCAAAAGATTATTTTTCTCTATATAAGAACAATGATAAGGAGTTTACTCCTTTTTGAAAGGTCTGAGGGAGGACATTTTCTGAAGGAATACACTGGCCCTTGAGGCTAGGAATTCACCATTTCCGTTTCTTAAGTGAAAAAGGACAGAGGAAACAAAAAAGGGGGCATAAAAGTCTTTCATGTGTTCACAAGACCTGGGTGCTGGCAAGGCTCTCACCTACCTGCACCGAGCCTGAGAATGGCTCTGAGTCAAGTGTGGGCTCTGGAGCCACACGGCCTGGATAAAACCCTGGCTTGGCCAACACATTTTTGTCTTTGTGGCTGAACCTCTCTGTGCCTTAGCTCTAATCTGAAAAGTGGGAATTTTGTCTACCTCAGAGGGTTGTTTTGAGGACTCAATGAAATCATACAGGTAAAATGCCAAGGACACCATCTAGATTGAGATAAGTGCTACACATGTTAGCTGTTCTTGTGGTTTGCTCTTGGTATGATGTTCAGGATCCTTCACAATCTGGTCCCCAGTTATTCCTACACTTCTTACACTATGTTGTCAATCTGTAAACCATACAAGGGTAGCACATGATAGGGCCTGTGAGCTAATAACAAAAAGGTGCCCCCTCTGTGGGCTGACGCATTTCTGCCAAGTCTCAAGGCTTGTCAAGCCTGTGCTGCACTCTACCCTCCACCTACCCACTTAGCTGGCACCTTTGTGTGGTGCACAGACTGTACCCTATGTAGGATGCAGCCTAGACCACATGCAACAGCCACACCAGAGCACTTGGCATTCCTCAAGGATCTCCACTCACTCAGGACTCAAGCAGTAAGACTCAAAGGGCTCTGAATCAAATCACTGGGTGTGATTCCTGGATCTCCTACTATTAAAGGCAGTACTTGGGCAAATGACTTAACCTCTCTTTGAGTGTCAGTTTCCTTATTTGCAATATGAGGATAATACAAGACCTATCTCGTAGGTTCATGAGGTTGTTGGGAGGAACTCCCCATTGCTTTCAATCCCAATGGTAACTTTCAGCCCTCAGGAATGAAAAGAATGGGTCTTCTTCTCCATTCCCTCGTTTTCTCTTCCCAAGGAAGGAGATGAAACTTATCTGACTGGTCAGCTCCGGAAAAGAAGCAGAGCCCGTTTGGGCCTAGCCCCTCCTAGCATGTGTTTTTGGGATCTGGAATCCTGAAGGGTCTATTCTGGTCTTCTCTCTGCCACATGGTGTGCTTTCTAGGAGGCTTCTTGCCTCCTTTTCTGCTTGTGTCTGGTGGGAAAGTTGAATTTTGAAGTGAAGTAAAGGAGGCAAGTTTGGCCACAGATACAGACTATGCCTCCCAGGTCCTGCTTTTATCAATAATAAAGCTAATATTTTGACTCCTATTTTTCTGATCCCTGTATCTCCTTCTACATTGCAGGAATAGAATGAGAGTAGGAGCAGGAGTATGACTCATTATCACTCCAAATCTCTAGTGGAAGTACTACATATAAAACACTTAGAATAGTGTCTGACAGCTATATACATTCAATTAATGTTTCGTATTATTATATTACTGTGTTGTTATTTATTATAATTATTCCTTTGGTTTGGAACATGCTGCCATTCTCTTCCCCTGGCCAACTCCCACTCATCCTTCAAGATTCATCTCACACAGCTTTTCCTTCAGATATTTTCTCTGACTTTCCCTATCCCAACCCTCTTGGCTGGGTTAAGAGGTGCCTCCTCAGTGACTTCACAACCTGGGAATCCCTGGGCTTCCCTCCACCAGCACAGTTATCTCTTCTCTGGACTGTGAACTCCTTAAGGGCAGCGCGGGGGCCAAGCCCACCTCATATTCCCCAGTGCATGGTACAAAGTATGCGCTTGGGGATGGGTTGGTGACTTGGGAGGGCAGGAGAGGGAAAAAAGAAGAGAGGGAAGAAACAGTTAAAAGGCTTCTCAAGTGGAAGCAGAGTGCCAGCAAAAGCACAGATGTGAGCAAGAGCAGGCTGGTTTAAGACAATGGAAAGAGCCCAGGAAGGCAAGAGGAACAGATGGGAGTGGATGCAGGAAGGGGCAAGGTGGACAGTTGGAGAGGAAGCTGAAAAGAAAGTTT